>NC_000011.10:131366364-131675552 GCF_000001405.40 Homo sapiens
CCTTCCAATCATAGCTCCCCCCAGTCATAGCTTCCCCCAGTCAGAGGTTCTTTAGTCATTGGCTCACTTCTACTGGCAGAAATCTCTAACCACAGTCACGAGCCACCCCAAAGCAGAAGGACCAAGCTGTGCATTCTTTGGGGTAGTTGCAACAATGGAGATTCTCAGTCCTAAGCCTGATAGATCCTGAGACTAGAATGGAAAATGGAAAGGAAGTTTGCTGACAGCATTGGTGAGACCGGTTCCATTAGGCAAGAGATGTGCTTGGTTGAATGAAACCCTTCTGTGTGTAGCCTAGGATCAGCTTTTTCGATTTGTAATTACAGCAATGAGCAGCTGACTGATCCAACACGCCTGTATTGGTGATGCTGTGTTAAACCCAATAACAAAGGAGGGAAAAAGATGCCTTCTCTAGAAGGAGGTTAATGGTGTGCTTTTGTGAAACCTGAAGGCCATTGGGAAATTTTACTTCATGTGGCAAATTCAAGCATTGAAAGAGCTATAGCTCTCAAGATAGTTTAGCATTTAGCAGTGTTCAGAACCCAAATTAGACTTCTGGTTCGGCAATCCCTGAGGATATATTTTGCCTCAATGAATGCACAGAGCATAATGCTGAAACTGCTCTGTCCAGGAGTCTTAGTTCCCAAGCACAGATAGCTTCTACCAATGACACATGGTAGACCACATCCATCTCAACTTGGTTAAAAACAGTAAAATTAATGAAAATTAGTTGATGGTTAGGATGTCTGGCTATGGTTGGGATGGGGGTGTAATTGCTATCCTGTTTCAGATGTGGAGTTGAAATGACTCAACCTAATCTCACAGCCCCTAGGGGACAGAACTGGGATTTGGACCCCAAGCAAAGCAGCCCTAAGTCCGTGCTCTCATTCAACAAGTCATGTCAGTGACGCCCAGTGTCTGTGCCTGCCAGGTACCAGACATGGTTACCTCACCTGTGTGCAGAAAGTAACTGCCAAGCATCATATTATGCTAAGGTTCATTTAAAAAATATTTTCAAGCTCTTCTTGCTATACAGAATGGTAGGATGGGGAATCTCAGACAAGTCACTAGAACCTCAAATATACTTGGTGTATTTCTAACTCTAGTTTTTAATTCATGGTATTCTCATCCAGCAACGTCCTTCCCTCTGCCTCAGATCTAGGATCAGAGTCACTCTCACGGTATTCATGACTCCCACCGTCTCCAAAGAACTTTACAAAACTATCATAGAAAATGACCACCTATTGTGTGCTGTCTGATGAAATTAATTATATGTACCAACCATTGGAAACTCAGTTAAGATTGAAAGCAGTATATGAGTCTTCCTGTAGTTTTGTATCAACATATGTATTGTTTTGTAATGTTTATTAATAATCTCATATGCTATTGAAAGCAACAAAAAGATTCTACGCTAGGATGCTTGATATCTATTTGAGTCCCTCACAGTATTTAGCACAGGATATTATTATTGAAGTTGATCTAAGATGAAAATGCTCAGGTTTAAATCCTGATTCCATTCCTTAACTGTTGTGTGGCTGTGGACAAGCTTTTTCTGAGCCTCAATGCCCTCATTTATAAAATGGGGATGATAATATCACCACTTCATAGGTTGTGATTATTTAATGAGAAAAATGCATGCAAAACACTGAGTATCATGTCTAGCACATTGCAAATAAATATCAATAAATATCAACTCCGATGATTAATTTCTTATTATCTGTACACACCTGGGAGCTTAATAAACATTGGTAACTGTATAGATTTATTACAGTTCAGGGTAAGGACATTTACAAATGTTATTGTCCACCTCTCCTGATTGGGACTAAAGACTTACCAGTGGCCCATGATCTTTATCATCGTTCTGGAGAGAAATGAAATGGTGGTGAAAGGAAGCCACCTTCCTTCTGCACTGCACTGTTATCACCTGCCGTCACAGTTGTTCCAAAGCATTTAATTACACATGTCACTATGCTGAGCACCGCACAAAAAGACTCATCTACAGATAAAATTCTTGTCCATTGGGAGCTCACGATATCAAGGACATTTTGATAGATATGTGAATTAGAACTTAATGGCAAGAAGAAAAAAAATACCAGTTAACATAAAACATCTTTAAAATGAGAAGGAGTATAATAAATTATTCCAGTTCTACAATTTTATAGACAAGAAGCCAAGGTTCACAGAGGTGAAAGGACCTGCCTGAGGTCCCTTAGTTGTGCAGAACTATGAGAAGGATCTTGAGGTCCCCAGATCTTGAGGTCCCAGGGCCCCTTCCTCTCAAGGTCACAAGATCCCACATTCCAGGCAGTGTTGTCCCTATTCATACACAACACAAGGTAAACTTGTGGGAGGCCAAGGCTGGAAGGACTGCTTGAGGCAAGGAGTTTGAAACCAGCCTGAGCAACATAGTGAGACTTCATCTCTACTATGTTGTAGAAAATTAAAAAAAAAAAAAAAATAGCTGGGCATAGTGGGTAAGGCAGGAGGGTTCCTTGAGCCCAGGAGTTCAAAGTTGCGGTGAGCTGTGATTGCACCACTGCACTCCAACCTGGGTGACGGGGCAAGAGTCTGTCAAAAACAAAAACAAAAAAGAAAGAAAAAAGAAAAAAGCCAAGGTAAATCGTACGTCTTAGACATGTGCAAAATGGCAGTGATGTTTTCATTTCACCTCTGTACACTAAAATACAAACAGACAATGAGTACTTTTCTTCTATGCAGTTTGAAAATACATGAACATTTTTATGGGGTTACAAGGAAGTATAATAATTAGCGGTGGAGTTCTAGAAGAATATTTTTAAAATGTGTGTCAAGGCATAGTAGGGGTATGAATGTGTCAGAATTAGCTAAGGAAGGTTCTGTGAGAAACTACATTTTCTTTTTCTTTTCTTTTTTTTTTTTTTTTTTCTTGAGACAGGGGCTGGCTCTGTCACCCAGACTGGATTGTAGTGGCGCCATCTTGGCTTACTGTGATCTCCGCCTCCCAGGCTCAAGCAATTCTCCTGCCTCAGCCACCCAAGTGGCTGGAACCACGGGTGCGCACCACCAAACCCAGATATTTTTAAGGAATTTTTTAGTAGAGATAGGGTTTCACCATGTTGCCCAGGCTGGTCTCGAATTCCTGAGCTCAGGCTACTGGCCTTCCTTGGCCTCCCAAAGTTGTGGGATTACAGGCGTGAGCCACAGTGCCCAGCCAGGAGCTACATTTTCTAGATTTTTTGTTCACATCCTCTAACTTGCTTCTCATAAGGGGAAGCCAAAGATTAGAATAAACTTCCAGGCCCTAGAATTAGACCTCTTAAGAAATCATTTATGTCCATTAGATTATTTCTGTTCGGTTTTTATTCTTTCCTATCACCAAGGAGGTTAATGTCTTCAACTGTCTGAGGAACTACACAAAGTTTACACTCAGAAAGCCCCTCCGCATGTCTACCCTGAATCTTTCTCGCTGCAGTTTAAATCACAGATGCTTCTATGATTGCTTTAGTGGATGTGGATTGACCAAGTCATGGGGAATAAACTCCTGCTTTGTTTTCTTTTGAAGAAGGTTCTCCATCTTCAGACTATAGAGCTTCTTCTCAAATACCAGGTACTTTGTACCTTTCCATTGTATCATATACACATGGATGAATTTAGGAAATTGACTTCTAAAAAGTGAATGAAAAAGAGGAGTAACATAGATGTTCTGAAACAGAAGTGACAGGAGGAGAAAATAGAAAGTTATTTACTATTTTCAAAGCAACTAAGTAGAAAGGTTGATGAAAGAGAGAAAAAAAAGCTGTCACTGAATGATATTTCCATTGGAGGGGAAAATAGGTACCAACAAATGAAAATTGCCTCATCTTTACAAGTTTCACTGAGCATGAAAATGTCCCTTTAAAATTTCCCATAAGCCATGGCTGGCTATGGGATTTTTCCAGTGCAAAGGGAATCTGAGTTCAGGAGGCCAGGGAATGCCAGGGGGAAAGGGATTTTCTGATACTCAGAAGACTCAGAGACTGTCAGTTTAAAAAATGAAAGTAATATAGAAGGGGCAAAGTGGCATTTATCATTCTATCTCTCCAGGCTCCTGTCTCTTTAATCAGCTAGCCTGATTTGCCCAGTAAATGATTCCTGAGAGTGTGTGTGCGTGTGTGTGTGTGTGTGTGCCCGCGCGCGTGTGTTGTAGCTCTGTCAATCCTTGGATTAGAACCAATGATTGCAGCTTGTAGGAGGGCTGTCCAGGGCCAGATTGTACAATGTGTCTCAGTGCCAGAGTATGAGTGGAGATAATTACGGAGAAGTCATACTCTCTCACACCCTCGGCTTTCTTGTTGTGTCCTTCAGCAAAACAGTGGATTTAAATCTCCTTGCACAAGCTTGAGAGCAACACAATCTATCAGGAAAGAAAGAAAGAAAAAAACCGAACCTGACAAAAAAGAAGAAAAAGAAGAAGAAAAAAAATCATGAAAACCATCCAGCCAAAAATGCACAATTCTATCTCTTGGGCAATCTTCACGGGGCTGGCTGCTCTGTGTCTCTTCCAAGGTAAGAGCTTGCTATTGATTTGCCTTCGGTAGACCCAGGAATTGTACAGTGTGCTTTATAAGATTTGCAGACTCCCCGAGTCGGCTGTGCTGCGCTGTTTGCAGGTGGAGGAGAGAGCGTTTAGACAGCATGGCTGGGACTTCATTCTCCCGACTAGGCTGTGAGAATATTGATTTGATTCTGGCTGCTACCGGAATGGGGGAATATGTATGTGCATAAGTAAAATGTGTTTGGTGCTCCTGTTAGGACTGTGCTTGTGTGCAAGGCTCCCTGGCTTCATGCACATTCTTGCACACATACACAACGGAGCACACATGTAAGCAGGGGGAAATGACAGATTCGGAGGGCAACAGGGTTGCTAATGTGTTGCTTATGCGACTGGGAAGAAATTACAAGAGGAAACTTTAAATATCGGCCAGCGAACTTGCAAAGCTTTTAAAAGGAGCAAAGGGGAAAATGCAGGCTAGAAAGAATCAGGTGCTTCCTGTGAGGTTCTGGTCAGCGATCCAGCTGCAAGGGATGAGTCAATTTGCAGCAGTGGGGGACAACTGTATTAGTTTTAAATGTGTTCGGGGGTGTGTTTGTGGCTGGGGTCGGAGGTGTGGAAGCGAGGGGAGCCGGGGCTCTGAAATTCTAAAAAGCTTTTCGAAGTTGAAGGGAGAGAGGCAATAAGAGTCGAATGCTAATTTTCTGTTTATTTATCGGCTGAGCCGGGAGCCCTGGGGGCTGCAGTTGAGTGCAAGCTTTGATGTCCCCAGTGCTGTGTTCTGTGCATTTGGAATCGGCCTCCACCTTGAGTCCATTTGCTGCACCGTGCCTCCCCACACCCCATCCCGGCTCTCACGTCTGTTCGTTCCAGCAACAGAATTATCCACTAATCTTCTTGCTCCCACCTGCCCTGTCCTTTGGGGTAACTAGTTTGCCTCTTTTATATTAAACACAGCTAAAACTCGTAAGGATCGAGACAAGCTGAGAAACTTTCCCAGGGTGGCCCAGCAGGGCTCCGGGAGGAGGAGCCCTCTCTTGGGAGGTGAGGCTCAGTCCTATGCAGTTGTATTCCCAGAGGAAAGTTCCCTCTGACCCGGTGAAAAACGATGGGGAGTCCCACCCCCTCGCCCTCTTCTCCCCCTGCAATATGGAGTTCTCCTGATCTGGACTGAGTCCTGAGCTGTAGTCCTGCTGGCTCTTCTCCGAGGTTAGGATTTAGGGATTGCTGCTGTCCTCTTGACATAGGTTGCAGTGGCTGCAGTGTGGATCCACGTAAGGTGGGCAGAGAGACCAGGCTGGAAGGATCAAATGTGTACACCCTTGACTGGGGCTCGATGAAGAAGGCAAGGGGTGGGGACAGGAGGGATCTGTGTCGGGTGATAAGGAAGTCCAAGGTGGTGAATCTTGCAGGGATGTCCATGATGTCGTCTGCTGCACCCAACCCCAGGAGGCATGGGCCTCAGGATTCCCTGCTGTCCCCTAGGGGCTTTGGTGGGTGTTTGAGTGAAGGGAATCAACTTGGAGGCATCCTCGATTGACTCCTCTTATATAATATGAAGCAGTATCAGTGTGTGTGTGTGTGCGTGCGTGTGTGTGCACCCCTGCTTGTTCTGGGTGCACAAGAATGAAGTGGGGAAGCTGAGTTCAGGATCGGGCAGTTTCGGAAAAGCAGTTTCTGTGGGGGTTGACAGCAAAAATGAAAACTAAGCAGGCAAGGGGTAGGGTGAGGGGTCAGAGGTAGGGAGAGGGAAGGTCCCAAGCCCTCAGTCATTTCTATCTGTCCCGAGATCCATGTCTCTTCTGCCTGTAACATCAAACTGGAGACAATGACCAAACTTCCACCATCAACAGCCCTGCTGGCTGCATGCCAGGAGCCCCAGGGCCATACTGAATTTACATATAAATTAGCATACGTGATTTTTTTTTTCATCAGAATAAATGCAGGGAAGCATAATATTTGCTCATACTTTGAATCATCTCTGAATAGATGAGTAGCAAAGTGGTGGTGCCAATTTCTCTAAGGTGCCATCTGACTTTGTGGTCTTGTTCCTAACTTGGGGTAGGGGTGGTGGCGACAGCACTATCTCAGACCTTATCACATTCTACCGAATCCGGAATTTCTCAAAAAGAATGATGGCCTTATTTGTGCTACCCTCACCCAGTCAGCCCTGAACAGGCTTCAGTGGTCGTAATAGAACAAGGTTGCCCAATTTTAACGCAGAACGACCCCCAAAGACCCGCATATTGCATGCCAGTCAGATGTGGCAAAGGTGATGTCTGTTTTCTCTTTCAGAGGAAGGAAGCTGAAGTCTGCCAGCTATCTCTTATCAAACTTGCAGAATTACTGAGGCAGCCCAGGTCTTGCCTGCAATAATCCACCCCTATTGCATTGACCCAGTGGGACTAGTTAGAATGCAGCACACATTCCAAGGCGATTTTTTCTTCTCCTCTGTTTTTGTTTTAAGCTGGTTCTTCCTAGAGCTGCTGCTTCCTGTGCCTCCTGCCTCTTGAAAAGGTGTCTGGTGCTAATGGCAGGTTAGGAACCCCTCCCTGACCTGCTCCTCCCCACAACCCAACCAGCAACCAAGATCCAGCTTAGGTAGGGAGGGGGGTTTCTGAGGGAATCAGCACTGATTAGTGACGCTGACAGGAGGGGGGATTAGCTCCCTGGGGCTCTGGCCCTAAGATACACCAGGGTTGATTAAGTGGAGGCATCTCGTTGCCGGGAGCAGACGCTACAGAACTGGATCAGGCGCTGTCCCTTGCAGAACACCCACCGCCCACCTTCTGCCACTGAGAGCCTCTGAAAGGAATGGCTGCTTGTGCTGCAGCTTCCTCTTTCTAGAAAACCGACCATTTCTCCTTCGAAGGATTATTGTTTCTTTTAACACCTTCAGATTTGCTTGGCTAGGTTCCTCTCTTACCTTTCTCATTTCCTCACCTCTCCTCACATCCCGCATCCGCTTAGCAGCTAGCCTGAGACACAGACAGGGCAGAGGAGAAGGAAAAGGTGCCTCGGCAAAGTTCACACTCCCCTTCGCGCAGCACCCGGGAGGTGGGCGGTGGGCGCCGTTCGGCTGGGCAGGCCGGCCAGGTTCCTGCCATGCACAGTACACACGTGGTGCCAGCAGCAGCTTGAGCTGGGCAATGCTTCTGATATTCAGGGGTGGCAGACGAGACCATAGCAATATCTACTGGCAAAGTGGAAACATCAGCCTGGGATGATGGGACCCTGGGCCTGACATAGGCATTGTGGGCTCTTGGAAGCATGGCAGTAAGGGGAGGGCGTCAGGGAGCCTCATCGAATGGAACCTGCCTGCCAGGCTTGGGGCTGCCAACTTGAGGCAAGTTCCTGGCAAGGCGTGCACAGTGGCACAAATGTAGCTCACCTCCGCCCTTTGTATTAGGAGGCCACCCCACCAATGGGGATGGCCGTCTGAGCATTCGCTCAAGCGTGCCTGGAGAGTGTCTGCCCTGGCCGGCAGGTCTCGCTGCATGAAGACCATTCTTGAAACTGCAGCTTTAGTTACCAGGCACAGAGCCTGGTCCTGGTCCTGATTCTTCCCTTTTTTGGTTCCCTTAAAGCCAAATATAAGCCCCCAGATCTCGTCTTATCAGCTGCAATGTACAGTCCCTGACTTCTGTTCTTTCTCAGTAACCTCCTTCCATAGCGCTGGTTTTAATTCAGGCGTCCTGCGTAGTGTCTTCAGGTGTGTCTCTTGGTTCCCTGCCTGAGGTGATAGGGTCTAGATTGCCTCCTGGCAGTTCCCTGGGTTCTGCTCTCTGCCTGCGTACTGTCTGCCAGGCTGATAGTGGCTCCTTTTCTTGATGGGCCAAACAACCTGGTGTTGATTTTAGCCAAAACTTGTCCCTTGGGATGAAGTGAGCTCTCTCAACATCCCAAGAAATGGCAGAATTTCTGAATCAATATGGGGCACATGATTCTGACGTGTACAGAAAACACATGCTGGAGAGATTTGTAATGCTCTTGCCATTCAATCATAGTAGAGGCACACTTTGGGTAGGATGAACAGGTCTGTGATTTGGCTTTTTTCCTAGTATTTTGGATTCAAGCTCATGATCTGCTTCTGCTCACAAACTAGAATGCTAAAGATTAACAAACAAACAAACAAAAAACCCACATTGCTCTCTCTCTTGCTGCAGCAGAGATCCTACAAATGCTTCACACACCCAATATGCGTGGTCTCCAGGTTTCAAGCCATTTCTAGTGGTCTGAACATAGCTCCATGGGGGACATGTACATCTAAGCTCAAATTTCTCTGTTTTCTGTAGGGAAAAATCTCTCCCTCTGCGGGCCTATCTCCCCACCTGCCCACCAGGCCGGGGAGCGACTCCCCTGGGTGTTGTAAGGACTCATTAATGCTTGTAACACTCCAAACATGTGGTGCTAAGTGGAACTCCATGCTGAGATTATATTTATGCAGTTTACTTCCTTTCTGCTCTATTGTCTTGTTACATGTTTACTTTATGTCTATAGTCATTTGAAATTCAATAAAACCAATTAAACATAAAAAAAGAAAGCATGCAGTAATAAAGAAGTCGATGGCATACAGTTTGGAAGGGTCAAAGGGTACCATCCTAGTGTTCCTAGAAGCATCACCTCCCCATTGCCGGAGGGTGCTTCATCTTATCAGAGAGTGCACTGGGGAAGGGCAGAAGGGCTTTAGAAGGCACTTGCAGGGAGCATGCCTCCCATCCCTTTGCAAAAGGAGGCTTCAGTGTGGGACTGCAGCGTGAATGGTGGAGAGGGGGAGCACTAGGGAGGATGGAGCTGGAGGTAGGAGTTTCAGAAAAAATAGCTCTAATCTGGATTGGCAAAGGGTGGGAAAAAAAGAGCTCTGGCTTCTGCTTTGACTGATTTTGGTCGGTAACCTCTGAGAACTTTATTTTTTCTTTCATGTATGTATGTATGTATGTCTTTATTTATGCAACCCTCTGGATTAAGCCTGCTCTTGCTACCACTGCTTAAACTGAAAAGATATAGGACTGCATCCATTTTCCTTCCCATTCTCTCTCCCTCCTTCCCTCCTTCTCTCCTTCTGCCCACTCCCCCTACTTCTCTGTTCTTCACCTTCTCTTTTTCTCTTTCCCTTTTTCTGTTTTCCTTTCATTTTTCCTTCTCCTCTATGGGAAAAATAATTGATCAGTTGACAGATCTAGGTCAAGCTGGCAGGGGTTGCTCTGCTTCATGCAGGCTTGCCTAGGAGAAGGAGGGGAGAGCCTGTCTTCACAGTTCACAAGGAGCCCAGCTGATGGGATGGAAGCGGGGAGGGAGGCCAACGGACCATGGGCGAGTTCAGCCCTCCCCAAAAGGTTCTCTGGGATCCTATTAATTACAGAGTCTTCCATTATTTGGTATCTCTCACACTCTAATTTTCCATATCAAATTTATCTTTGCCTATTTCCTGCTTTTTTTCTCAGCTTCTATAAGCTGTCTGTTTCGGTTTTTCTTGTTCTTCTTTCTACTTGCCCCTCCTTTCTCTTCTCCTTTTCTACTGCTTCTAAAATCATGACAGGAGATCACAGAATCTCCCCTACTTAAGTCATATTAGAGAAATGGCCTTTTGTTTATTTGCAAGTGGAGAAACAGAAACCCTGCCAGAAGAGCTCTGTAAGTCATTTGCAAACTGCAAAACAAACCAACAAAGATTCACATTTTCATTGCGGAGAAGAGCGTATTTCAAGAGAGACTGTCAAGCTAAGAAATCAAATATTGGAAAACACATTCTTCAGCTCTGTTACTAAGGACATCTTAGGTTACTAAATTTGATTTTTTTTTTTTTTTTTAGCTTCAGTGAGAGTATTGCCCTTTGCGATAAGAAAAGACTGATCAAAAGACTGCTGGTTTTGGCTTTACTTCCTCATTCAAATTCACTCGCTAGTGGTGCTTCCTTTGCTCATCTTGGAAGCGCCACCAAACTCTCACCCTAACACCAAATCCATCTGGTTGTTTATTTGCCCACGGGTTCAATCACATCCAAGTGTTTATTGAGTGTCTACTACGTTCGGTGCACTGTTTTAGGTGCTGGAGATAAAACAGCGATGAAAAAGCAACTAACGGATAAGACCAAAGACCTAGTTGGGTCTCTCAGATTTGGTTTGGCTTGGCATCCTTTGTCATAAACGGAAAGCAACAACAGCAGTACCGGAAGCAAGGGTGGAGACTTCATGGCACAGCCTCTGGCCTCCTGTGCAAATGATGATGGATGGCAGGGAAGTAACCAGCCCTCAATCCTTGTTTTGAGACAGGGGTTTGGGAAGAGGAGGTGCACACCCTGGCTCTGGGTTCTCATAACACAGAGATGCTGCCTTTGCTACTCCACACAACCTCTTGTAGAAAAGGAGCTCATGGATGCCTTTGGTGTATATAGGATGGGGAATGCTGCTGTGAGTTCACTGTCTTTGTGGTCATTGTCTTGTGTGTTTGAGTTACTGGTTGATGCTGAACATCACTGTCACCTCTCTGGCCTCTCCACTTCCTTTATGCCCTGACTTCTGCACAGAACTGGAGGGCCAAGAAGATAAAAGGAGAATACCAGATAAGGCCAGGGAAGAATTTGCCTCAGACAGCTTTTGTGGATGAGGCAAATACTATTCTTCTGACCTGTGGGAGGGATTCAGAATTCAGGGTAGAGCTAAGATAACCTCCTCTATGAGAACCCTTTTAATTTGCTATCCAATCATCACATCTTAATTTAGAGTTCCTGGAATAATACAAATGCATTATTAACAAAAGGAATTTCTTTGTTTTCTTCTGATGGAATACAGTGTTTTGGGCGTCACATTGTGTAGTTGTTCTCCTACACACCCATCTTCTTTCAATCCATGGATTGTGTTTGCAGCACTGTGTGTACAGAGGTAACAAAGCTGCTCTGGCACTCACACTGTGTACTCTAGCTGCACCCTGAATGCTTTGGGAGGGCTGCTGCTATCTGCATTTCCATCACGGTGGTGGTGATCATGCCTAGGTTTTCTCATGAACAAGAACAGGTAATTACCTTTCTCATAAACCCATGATTCTTCCAAGTCCAGTGGTCTAGACCAATTATACATTGCCCAACTTGATCTCAGAAGTCAGAATGATCCTCAGTGGGTAGGTGCAATCTGCATTTATTTGCAATACTCTGTCTGAAAGCCAGTGGTTTGCAAACTTGCCATACCATAGAATCACCTGGGAAACTTTATAAAAATACCAATGTCTGGACCCTATCACAGACCAATTAAATCAGAATCCCTTTGAATGGGACCCTACACTGATATTTTTAAGAGCTCTCCAAGAAGGCCTAATCTGCAGTCAGGTTGAAAAGTGTACCTCTAAAGCCATCTGAACATGTTCAAAGACCTTGGGTAAGACACATCCCCTATATAGGCTTCAGTTTTCTCACTCTAAAATAAAACACTTGGACTAAGAGATTTTCAAGTCTCATTCCAAGTTCAACATTTGGCAATACTGCAAATAGTCTTTTTGAGTATAGTTATTGATAGGTAGTGGTTCTAAAAGAAAATACTCAGCACCAGCCTCTGCCTGCAGGAAGGTAAGAATATAAACAGCATCACAGACGAATGAACAGAGTCAGAACATGTAAATGGTGTGTGTGCGTGCAAACTCTACGTGCTATCTCATATATATGATGTTGTGTATTCATATATGCATGCATTTATTTACCTATAAAGCATCCTTAGAATGGAAGGAAAGGATTAACTTGTCATGGGTAGGGGGAATAGAACTGATAATGACTCTCAATTGATCAATTCCTAAGCCTTCCTGCAAGAGAAATTCAGAAGGCATTTGATTGAGGGTCAAAAAGGAATGTGATTGAGCTGGATTGGAGAGTGCTCAGCAATGACAAGCCTTAGAAGAAGCTCCATCCTTAGATGTGAGAATTACATATTTCTCTTCTACCTAGCCTCCCTGCCCCTCCCCAGGAATCAGTTATCCAGCTGCATTGCTTCCACTGCTCCCTCCTTCTCATGGTCAATAAAGACTCATGCTCAGAACCTCAATGACAATTTTGCAGCTTCATATGTTAGGTAGAAGTGATGCTGGCTCCACTCACATGGCCAGGACAGCTCCTGTGGTGTATGCCGGAGTGAAAACTTGTTTGTTTTCTGATGGAGTCAGCAGATCTAAGAGGCACATTAGAACAGGGCTACTGGCAGATTTGTGCCAAGTTTAGTCTCTGGGTAACCCACACACCCACCTGGCTCCCCAGAGTGTTCATACTGCTGTGCCAGACAACCCCTGATTCACAACCAGCTCAGGCTGGGAGGGAGGCTCAGAGGGACTTTCAAGATACTTTATTTCAGTTCCTCTTTTGGGCTCTGACCCCTCAACAATGCAGCTGCAGTGGTCCTCCAGCCTCTATCTCCAGTGATAGGAACTTGCATCTCTTCAGAAGTCCATTGCATCTGTCAGATTTCAGGAAGACAGGAGGATGGGAAGAAGAGGCAGGGGAAGAGGAAGGAGAAGGAGATTCTGCCTTCTTATAGAATCCAGCCACATGTCCTATATCTGGAGAGTGATTATAACGTAGCGGCTCCTAACACAGCGGCTCCAGGACCAGATTGCCTTGAGCCAAACCTGGGTCTGCCTCTTTCTGGTTTGAGGTCTGTGGCAATTGAATCAACCTCTGTACAACTCAGCTCCTCTTCAATAAGATAGAGATAATTATAGGACTTACCTTGTAAGGTTATTATAAGGAATAAATAAGTTAATGCAAATAAAGTGTTTGAATACTGCCTTGTACATAGGAAGCTCTCAATAAATATTACCTAATTCTACTACCCACAGGACTGGTCTAGTTTTTCTACATGACTGTTTTCAAATATTTGAAACTGTGATTTCCTCCCTTTCTCCCCTGGATCTCCTCTTTACTAGGTTAAATATTCCAAGGTTTGCCTCCTATTTTCTATAAAATCATCCATTAACAGAGTGCTGGTGGTTCTTCTCTAGAGTTGTTCTGCTTCCTCTGCATCCTTCTTCCAGTCTTCTCCCAGTATGTCCTGGTAGCCCAGCATATTAGAGCCCAGCATATTATAGCTTCTCCTGATTCCAAATCCAAGTAGAATGAAGTCTCAGCTCTCTGCCAAGGCATGTGAAATCCTAAGGGTCTGTCCTCAGTTTGCCTCTCTCCTAAACTGAGGCACTCCCTGCTCCATGGCCTCTTTGGGGTTTCCTGTTGCTCCCTCTGTAAAGCACACGAGCATGCTGTTCCTTTGGCTTATGCTCAGGCCCTACCCTGCCCCTCTCTACCTAGAAAATGCTTTTGATATTTTCAGACTGAATTCAAAGTTCAGTACCCTTTCCTTTGAGTCTTTTTTTTTTTTTTTTTTGAGATGGAGTCTCCTGCCTAGGCTTCAGATGCAATGGTGCCATCTCAGCTCACCTCAACCTCCGCCTCCCGGGTTCAAGCGATTCTCCTGCTTCAGCCTCCAAAGTAGCTGGGATTACAGGCATGTGCCACCATGCCCAGCTAATTTTTTTTCTATTTTTACTAGAGATGGGATTTCTCCATGTTGGTCAGGCTGGTCTTGAACTCCTGACATCAGGTGATCCGCCCGCCTCAGCCTCTCAAAGTGCTGGGATTACAGGCGTGAGCTACCGTGCCCAACTGAGTCTTCTTACTGCTTCTCTTATGCTTGCCTTGCACTTTTTCTTACCTTTACTGTTCATATCCACAACCTGTTAGTGTAGGTGACCTATTTACATGTCTATCTCCCCTTCCCAGGCTGTGGGCTCCAGAAGGGCCAGGACAATCTTATTTATCTTTATATACCTAGTACACATAGCACAGCCCCTGGGACAAATGTGACACTCAGTGTTTATGGATGAAAGGAAGGGAGGAAGACCTGAGATCCCACTAGGTATTTCAGCTGCCCTGTAACTCTGTCGACTCAAGGTGAGCTATTGTTCATTCAACTCTTCCTTATCGTTTGCCTGAGTTGTTTCAATAGGTATGCAAGAGCCTGACCTCAGAACTTACCCTTTCTATTATAAAGCCATTTTCTTAGATTCAACTCATCTCTTCTTTCTGACAAATATTTTTTTTAGATCCTAAATCTTTTTTCCCGTATATTAGTAATCCCTCCTGGCTGTAATCAATAATAAACCGGATGTTATGGATACCTATGTAGTAGTACTTGTGGAGCTCAGTATTTCAGGCTAAACTGACCCAAGAGTGGAAAAGTCATTCTAATGGTGAACTGCTCAGATCAGTAGGGGAAGGGGGAAGAACCTACGCTCTACATCTAGGTGAGGTGCTGGCATCAGAGGGAAGAATGGGGACAGGGAAGGTTGAACCTAAGAAAAGAGGAAAATGACTGGATGAATTCATCTAGTTGGAGAAGGTGAAGTGGTCCAGTGTTTTTTAGCTGTTTCTCCAAATCTAGTCTCTCTTCCACAAAGCTGTCCACTAGAGTACTTGACTTTCTTCCTGAACAGTCAAGAGGAAACTCAGCCCAGTCATGGAATGGATTAATCAACAGCTTTTTTTCTCAATGCAACTGGTGATACACGAATATTTATAGTTGGATAAACCATTTTGCTAATTCTGAAGACAAATAAGAATTAACTAATCATTCTACATTTCCTCTTCCTTTTCCATGAAAACTTCCTAATAAAAGGATCTAAATGCCATATTGTCATTTTTTTTCCGTTATTTTTTCATACTGCTAACTCCTTGTCCAAGGTCAAATAATTTAATAATTAAATCCAGAAGCTTTTTCATGGACTCCTAGAGTTGTGAGATACCGTGGCATTTCACTTGCCCTGTCTCCTCCCCAAGGCAACAATGCCATCTGAACTGTGTTGATTAATTCCTGCTCAAGAACTCCAGAGATTTCTAGTGACCAGACACTCACTACCTGAGTTGTGGCTCTCAGTTCTGGCTGCCTATCAGAATCACCTCTGGAGATTGTTATAAAGCAGATGCCCAGGTCTGACTCTCAAAAATTCTCCTGGCACAGGTCAGAATAGGGCAAGTTCATCTCTATTCCAAAAGAACAGCAGATGATTCTATTGGGAGGTACAGCTAAGCATAACTGATGTTAACACTCTTTTTCATAGCTGATAAACTATGTGAGAAAGCACTTTGCAATTCTGGCAGGCATTCTTGATGCCTCCTCAATATCAATTCTATCCTTTCTCTTTTGAAATAGTACTCTAAATTTTTTCATAGTAAGAATATGCCCATTTAAAATACTCAACTTCCAGATTCTGTTATGACATATGGTCATATACTGCGGTTCAGGCCAATGGGATACAAGCATAAGATGACTGGGTACAGTGTGGAGGGTTGTACTTGGATGGCCTGTGCTTTTCGGACTTTATTATTTTCCCTTCTTGACTGGGAGACTGGGATCCTTCCTGGAGGTGCAGGATCCCACTTACAAACAGGAGGACAAAGAACACATATCAAGAATGACAGAGAAGGATGCTTGTAGGTCAAACCACATGGACTTGCTGTTTGGGTAAATAAAAAAATAATTGAGTATAGGTAATTTCATATATCTCAAACTGATAGGGGGAACTCAGGTTCAAGATGACATAGCAGTTGTACCAGCTCTAGAATGCATAGTTATAAAGTTATCATCACTTGTGAAAAAAAAAATCTCCATTTAATTAGTTTTCTTTTCCTTGCAGCTGAATACAATCCTAATGAATCTATGTGGAACAAAACTTTGCCCCTCCCTAAGTTTTGCCTTTAGAGCTATCAGGATAGAAGTAAAAGTGTATGATCCACTTTCTAAGAGATGACTATCATAGACCCTACTTATCTTATCGTGGCATCCTTCGTTCTTTCTTGTGATCATCGCATGGCACAGTTTCTGGAGCACTAATCATCCTGATCATTATCTTTGAAACATGACCAGTTTGATAATGATCAACTGAAAAGGTTTTGCCAGAGCAGACTCTGCCAGCTGTAGTCTGACTGGCAAAGTAGAAAGTGAACTGTTACTTAGCAGATTTTGGACTTTATAGTTACATAGGTTCATTCAATTATTGTGTTAGTTTCATTCTTTTTTTTTGGATATGCCACATCCTTGGCTCATTTTGAGGCTGTATTTGTTCCTCTCACAAAATAACTGATTCCATAAGACCTTGCCTATCCTTGCTCACAGGTGATCTTCTCTAAATGATCTTTTTAAACACTTAAAACTTTATTGCCCCTGTGTCCATTGTTTAAATCCATTGAGATTATTTTTCGATCCCGATGAGATGTCTTCATCAGCTTTTTGTTATCTCCAAATGATACAGACATGACATCTCCACATCATTGAATCTAATGATAAAAGAACAACATAATCGATCTGAAAGCATGGCCAGGTGCTTACTTACATTTATATTTCATCCACTTCAGAATTATTTGTTCAGACCATACTAGGTATTAGGCATACACAACAACAAGGCAGGCATAGTTCCTGCACTCAGTTAGATAGACAAGTGACTACCACGTGGTAAGTGCTAGAATAAAAGCAGGTAAGTTTGCTATGGCAGCATTTGGGAGACTTTTCAGGACAGGAAAGTTCTCTGGAAGGAAGATATGTTAAAGCTGAGAGATAAAGGTGAATAGATTTAACCAGGTGAGAAGAGAGATGAGTGTTACAAGTGGAAGAAATTGCATATGCTAACGTCTACAGGGAAGAGAGCATGGTAGGAGTTCAGAATTCTGAAATCAAATATGGCTAGATTGAGTGTGTTTGTATGGGGTGATGGGAGGAGGAATGTAGGTGGAAAGACAAGAGGTATATGTAGAGAGGTAGGTAGAGGTCAGGGCTAGAATTGTTTTCATTGAAGATTTTATACTGAGGGAAAAGGGTGCATTGAAGCGTTGTATGCCTGAGAGTAACATGACCACATTTGCAGTTGTAGTGGCCAAACAACATGATTTGGGTTCGTTGAAAATGGTAATGTGTCACTCTAGTTACAATATGGGAAATGAATTGAAGTTGGGCAAGACTAGAGGAAAGGGAGCCTCCTAAGGGACGTTGCAACCAGTTAGGCATGAGGTCACCAGAGTGACAGTTGCAGAGAAGGAGAGACATGGGGGTATTCAAAAGTTGTGGAGGTAGAAGGGTTAAGACTTGGAGATGGACGGGGAAGAAGAGGATAAGTAATAAAGAAAGTGTAAGAGGACTTCCGTTTTCTAAGTGAATGGCTTAGAGGTGGGTTTTAGAGAGATAGTAATTAATGCAATTTGGGTCATGATGGGTTTAACAGTAGCTTTCCAATATGAGGTTAGCTAGATGGATCTGAAACTCTGGGTATGAAAAAAGACAGTCTTCAACACAGATACAACTAATTACCCAGGGAGAGAGTAAGGAATACATAAAAAAGAATTGAGGGCAAACACTAGTCTTTAAAGGCTGGGAGGAGAAGGGATCTGGAAAAGCAGATTGACAAAAAGTGGACAAATACATAGGAGAAAAATCTGGAAAGCATGAGGCCATCAAGGCCAAATGGTGTAAATTTGAGGAAGGCAGGAATGTCAGCAGTGTCAAATGTTTCTAAAGGATCAAGGGAGATTATACTTAGTTGCAATAATCTCTTCCATGTTCTTGGGGATAACAGTTTTGTGGGGCGGAACAATGGGGTGGGGATACAAATAGAAAGAAGAAGTGGAGTCAGAAAATGAGTGTAATTATTTCAAAAGGTTTTCTAATTTAAAGAGAGAGAGAGAGAGTGAGTGAGATGGGCAGGGGCCAGGGAAGGAGAGGCAAGAAGGAGGATGTGGTGATGGCTGGCCAGGTGAGGCCCTCAGGGAATACAAACAGGTGGGAGGAGTGGCGAATCCTGAGAATAGGTACAGAAAGAAGTCTTGAAAAGAAGAAGAAAGACTGCTTCCATTACTCTTTAAAGTGAGGAAGGAGAGAAGTGTTTGAGAATATGCATTATGATTAGATTCAGCTGCAAATGACAAAAATGATGCAATTAGAGTGGCTTAAATAACGTAATCTGTATCCCTCTGGTTATGGAAATACTCTACTTTGTCTGTTCATGGCTAGTGAGGTGTTCCCCAAACTCAGGCACCCAGGCCTTTCTGCCATCTGGACCTGTTGCACATGGCCTTGCCTCCACAGTCTAAGGCGGCAGCATCTGTGTGCCAGAGTGGAATGAGGGAGAGATGAAGAAGAAGCAGGAGGTACCCGGGCATTGCCCCCTGCAGATGCTCCTGGAGGCCATCATGTGGCATCCTTGCTCACCTCCTCTTGTCCAGGACTCAGCCACATTGCCATACCTAAGTAGAAGAGCATGTGGGAGACTCACAATCCCCTGTGGATGATCACATGCCCAGACAAAGTCAGGGGCCTACCACCATGGAAAGAGGGATGGACATTAAGAAACTATTCGTGTGTCACATGAAAGGAGGAAAAAGTAGTATTCCCTTGATAAGGATGGAAGAGGCCCTCTAGTCCATAGGGTACACATATGGTTAAGGCAATTCTACCATAAAACCATGATGTTTCAATATCACTAGTCATTAGGGAACCACAAATGAAAACCACAACGAGGTACAACTTCACACCCATTAGGATATCGCTGATGAAATAAAAAAGGAAAATAAATATTGGTGAGGATGTGGAGAAACTGAAACCCTTGTGCGTTGCTGGTGGGAATGTAAAGTGATGCAACCACAGTGGAAAGAGTTTGGGGGTTTCTCAAAAAGCTAAACAGGCTGGGCTCAGTGGTTCCTGCCTATAGTCCTAGCACTCTGGGAGGCTGAAGCTGGAGGATTGCTTAAGCCCAAGAGTTCATGACCAGCCTGGGCAATACAGAAAAATCTCATCTCTACAAAAAAATTTTTTTAAAATTATCCAGGCGCAGAGGTGCACACCTGTAGTCCCATCTACTCAGGGGGCTGAAGTGAGAAGATTGCCTTGAACCCAAAAATTCAAGGCTACAGTGAGCTATGATTGCACCACCGCACTCCAGCCTGCACAGCAGAGCAAGACTCAGTGTCTAAACGAAACAAAATAAAACAGAACAACATTAAACATACTAAATCAGTCAGTGAATTGGAAAAAAATAAGCTAAACATGGAATTACCATATGACTCAGCAATTCTACTCCTGGGTATATATTCAACAGAATGGAAAGCAGGGCCTCAAACAGGTATTTATACATGAATGTTCATAGCAGCATTATTCACAATAGTGAAGGTAGAAACAACCCAAGTGTCCATCATCAACAAATAGATAAACACAATGAGGTCTATGCATAAATGGGTATTACTCAGTTTTAAAAGGGAAGGCAATTCTGACACATGCTGCAGCATGGATGAACTTTGAAACCATTATGCTAAGTGAAATGAGCCAGACACCAAAGGACCGATAAGGTATGATTCCACTTTCACGAAGTACCTAGGGTAGGCAAATTCATGGAGAGGCTATCAGGGGCTTGTGGGAGGAGGGAAACAGGGAGTGATTTAATGGTCACAGAGTTTCTGTTTGGGATGCTGAGAAAGTTCTGGAAATGAATGGCAGTGATAGTTACATAATATTGTGAACATACTCAATGTCACTTAATGGTACACTTAGAAATGGTTAAAAGGGTGAATTTTATTTCATGCGTATTTTACTAGAATAGACAAATGAAAATTAACAGAAGAGATAATCAGCTGTCTGTGGTGTAGGAAGGAGGCAGGTAAATGTGTAAGCTTGGTGGCAGGAAGTTAAAGGAGTTCGCATTTGCTGGCTTTTATTTGCCCTGAGTATATTGCAGGGAAAATAGTGTGTGTTTGCACACACCTATGTCCAGGTCCACATGTTTGTGTCCATATACCTGCAGCCTGGTTTTTCCAAGAGAGCAAAAAGGACTAAGCTAGTTGCTTGTGTAATGGGAGAGACAGCTGATGAGTGAACCAGAGAATCCTGTGCAGTATTAATCACTTTTCCCTCATGCCACTGTCTTTTCTCTGGACTTTAACTAAAAATATAATCTACCCCAGTCTTCTTTCTTTATCCCTTTTTTTGATTCTGCTCCTACCATTTAGGGCCATCTCCCAAACATATCCAGAGCTCACCACTTACTCCTTTCTTGCATTGCCTTTTTAAGGAATTAAAAAGATATGTTTTTATCTTTACAAATTACAAAGCTTATTATATCAAATACATTTCTTAATCTCCACATCAATCAGAATATCCTTTCTCAGCCCAGTCTATCATTAACTTTAGGGGCTGAGTTTTTTCCCCGAGCCCTTATTTTCACCATCTTTCAAATAGGATATTTGAATTTCCTTGGAAGATAGTTTTCACATTTAACTGAATTAACTGTGTGAAAACTTTCGGCACTCAATTCATATTGCAAAATTAAAAGCCAATGTTTTTGAAGCTCACTGACAGCACAGGTACTCGTGACTGGACCTCCCTATCAAAGTCATCTGCTTCCCTTTCTTGGAGCTCTCTCTCTCTCTCTCTCTCCCTCTCTCTCTCACTCTGTCCCCAGCACTCCCCTCTTCACTCTGCTCCATCGCCCCACCAAACACTGAACACTGGTGCCCTTGCACAGCTCCATACCTTTGCAGGAGCTGCTCTCTAACGGGAATGTTCTTCCTGCAGGATCAGGACAGTGGAACACTGTACATTCCCATCTTAGTTATGAGTGATGATGGAGTAAATAAGACCAGGAAAAGAATTTAAGAGGCTGAGAAAGGAGAACAACAATAGCAGAAGAGGGTGCCTTTAGTTAACAACAAAGTATTATATATTTCAAAACAGCTAGAAGGCTTGAAATGTTTCTCCCACGTAGGACCATTGTTTGAGGTGATGGATATCCCTAGCACCTTGATTTGGCCATTACACATTCTATGCATGTAGCAAAATATCACAGGTACCCCATAAATACACACAAATATTATGTATCAATAAAAACATTTGTAAAAAGAAAATACATCTGAAACCCACTCCCCCCTTAAAAAAAAAGGAGAACAAAAGTTTGTCAAGACTGACTCCAACCCATCATTTTTATAATTAGCCTTCCTGGGGACCCCGGTTTCTAATCTGCCCTGGGAAAAGAGAAAGGAGTCTGTGACATCTAGCATCATTAGACCAGGACTCTCCAAGCGTGGTCTCCAAATCAGAAAGTATGGGGCCAGACCCCAGCAATCTGTGTGTCAAGAAGCCCTTCAGGATATTCATCCTAAAATTTGAGAACCATTGATTTAAAGGAGTGTGAAGACTGAATGTTGGGAGCTCTTTCTGGAAGGGCCACTCCCAGGGCTGGACATGTGGAAAAGGAAGCAGCAGCATGGACCCTGCCTCCTGGGAGGGGCCTCAGTGTCTCTCGAATACTCTCACCTTAGAAAAAAATCCTTTAAGCCACCGGGACAGAGGAGGCTTGGTGGTGTGTAAGCCGTATAAATATGTACATTCACTTATCTATGTAAGTACATATAGATTCCCTTTGGCTAGGGCTGCCAGATTTAGCAAATAAAAATCCAGGACACCAGATATATTTAAATTCCTGATCAACAAATGATTTTTATTATGCAGAGCACATACTAATACTAAAAGACATTTGGGTTTTGGGTTTTTTTTTTTTTTTTTTGCAATTCAAATTTAATTGGGCATCTTTTTCTTGTTTTTAGCAGGCAGGATATCCTACCTTTTGCCCGTAAGTATTAGGTACTTAGTGGAAATAGCCTGATCAGAATCAGTGTCTAAAAGGTAGAAGTGGGTTTTAATGGCCTATTTATTTACATTTTAATAGGAATGTGTATGAGTTGGCAGGGAAGAAAAAGAATGCTGCTCTTTCTGGCTCATTGTATTATTTTAAGATCTGTATTTGGGGAAAGAGAAAGCAAGGAAGAGAATATAGGGAGAAAGATGGTGGTTGGCCTGGAGTGGTGGCTCCTGCCTGTAATCCCAGCACTTCGGGAGGTCGAGGCGGGCGAATCACTTGAGGTCAGGAGTTTGAGACCAGCCTGGCCAACATGGTGAAACCTCATCTCTACTAAAAATATAAAAATTATCCAGGTATGGTGGCACGTGCCTGTAATCCCAGCTAATTGGGAGGCTGAGGCAGGAGAATTGCTGGAACATGGCAGGCAGAGGTTGCAGTGAGACAAGATCATGCCAATGCACTCCAGCCTGGGCGACAAGAGCAAGACTTCATCACAAAAAAAAAAAAAAAAGAAAAGAAAAGAAAAGAAAAGGAAAAAGAAAGATGGTGGTTGAAAGTAGCCTATATGCCAGCAAGTCCTCCCTCTAGTCAAGTAACTGAGCACCTATTATGGGCCAGGCCCTGATTCACATGACCCTGAGTGAGATGAGCAGCAACGCTCTAGGAGGTTGAGCTCCCTGCCTCGGGCCTGGCTCCTGGGCAGGTTCCCTGCAGCCACCCCTTACCTGCCCCAGGTGACAGGATGCCACCTCAGAGGGTGGGACCTTGATGCTGTGGCTGGGCAGTGAATGACAAGCTTCCTAATGAGATGGAGCTGGGGGAGCGGCTTGCTGACAGAACAATTTGCCGGTGCCCAGAATATCTGCCCAGCCTCGGCAAAGCGGCAGCCTGGCGGGCGGCAGAAGAAATTTCAGGATTTATCATTCGCCTTGGTGGCAGGTGTGCCGTGAGCCGCCCTACTTCCCGCTGTGCTTCTCTAGACCTGCAGACTGGATGGGCAATCCACCCAGGCTTCTAGAGCCTCGGGAAGAACGTGTAAAACTATTTCCTATTTTTTCCTCCTCCTGATCAGCTTGTGTTGATGTAAATGACTGGAAAAGCAGTTTTCGGCTTATTTTCACAGCTTAAGGGCTTCGTGAGAAGCTTATTATTGAAAAATTAGAAACTGAAAACAACTTCTTAGACAATGAAATAGCAACCCAGAGACTGTGTGTGTAAGGCTGGGTGTGCTGTAACTGGCTGCGTTACAAATAGGAACTCCCCTGGGATTCAGTAATCAAACACGTGGCAACAGGTTGTCTGTTTCAACAGAGAGTGAGTAATCAAAGGAGATTTGCAGTTAATCCAAATATAACAGCAAAGCATCCAAGGGAAGCCCGGGGAAAGGAGACCAGAAGGGTGAGGGGTGGATGAGGCCACTGGTTTGGAGTTCCAGATGCAACAGAGAGAACTGGGAGAGGGGCAGAAGGTTGATCTCTCTGGGTGCTTGTGTTGGTCCATTTGCATTGCTATGAAGGAATACCTGAGACTGGGCAATGTACAAAGAAAAGAGGTTTATTTGGCTCATGGTTCTGCAGGCTGTATTAGTGTGGCACAAGCACCTGCTCAGTTTTGGGTGAGGCCTCAGGAAGCTTTTAGTCATGGCCAAAGAGAAGGGGCGCTTTCATGTCACATGGTAAAAGAGGGAGTAAGAAAGAGAGGAGAGGGAGGTGCCACGGTCTTTTAAACAACCAACTTTCGAGTGAATGAGAATCCATTACTTTGAGGAGGGGACCAAGCCATTCATGAGGGATCTGCCCCCACGACCCGAACACCTCCCACCAGGCCTCACCTCCAATACTGGAAATCACGTTTCAATATGAGATTTGGAGGGAACAGACTATCAGCAATGGAGGAACAAGCTGCACAGAGGAAGGGGAAACTGAGTCTTGGCTACACATTGAAGCAAACCAGAAAAATAACCTGAGCACTTGGCCCCTACACTTGACCAGTGATGTAAAATTTGGGAGGAATTAATTAGCATTCAGTGATTTACTTCAAAATCCTGAGTCCTACACAGGATTGAGGTCGGGGTGGAGAAGGACTTGCTCCAACTCGATGGGCTAGAAAGAAGAAAGTGGTGCAGGCCTGGGAAACAGTGGTAACCATCAGCATTTCAGGGAGACACTTCAGTTTGCATGTGTATCTCCATGGTTCTCAAAGTGTGGTCCCTGGCTGGCAGCATCAGGGTCCCCTGGCACTTGTTAGCAATATGAATTCTCAAGCCCCACCCCCAGAGAGCCCTCTGACTCTGGACCTCTGAGAGGAGGCCCAGCCATCTGTGGATCAAGAAGCCCTCTGCATGATTTTGTTGCATACTTCAGTTTGAGAACCACCAGCAGACCTGGTTACCTGGCCAGAGGTACCAGGAGGTGCTCACTCAGGGTTCGTATGTGGGCTTGTGTGTGAACTACTACGCCCAGTCCCAGGTGAGGTCCTGGAGCAATTCTGTGCTGACCCATCTGTCCTGATCTTCCTAACCACACGGGGCTGCGGGGAAAGGCACACTTACTACACGTGTGCTACTACCATGTGCCAGGCACTGCTAAATGTTTTATGTGTGATATTTTATTTAATCTTTCCCTGAACCTTGTGAGGTAGGGGTTGTAGATAGCATTTTAGTGCTGAGAATATTTGAGTTCAGAAAGGCCAACTTGCCCAGGTCTCTATGTTTCCTGAGTCTGTACCCTTATTCATTCTCACGCAGCCTCTCCGCCACATACTTCTCTGTCCCCACATGCTTTGGGTGCCACCTACACAAAGCAACTACCAGCCTGGCAGGGCCCCAGCTCTCCACTGCCAAGCTTGGCCCTCCCCGCCCCACTCCTTGCCTCATGTTAATTTCCCACCTGAGTACTGAGTACTTTATAAATAGCAAATCTAAAATGAATTTTCTACCAGCGATCATTAGCTCCCTTGACATCCATTAAACATTCTCGCAAGCAGAGCGAAGTGACAAAAGGGATTGATTTTTACAGTATGTTTAATAGGGGAAAAGAAAGAAAGGTGTTGACAAGTCTTTTTTTTTTTTTTTTTCTGTCCTGATATCACCAGGAATTTGAAATCAGTCAAATGACTTTTATCTGGGAAAAAAAAAAAAAAAAAAAGAAAAGAAAAGAAGAAGGCTAGGATTGGGTGCGGGAGGAGAGGGTCGGGAGACAGAAACAGGCTCCCAGCACCCTGTGCGGCTCATTTCTACACCCGTGACAGGTAAACATAAAGTTAGTTACCTAGTGCCAGCCACCAAGATGAATATGTCAGATTTAATGCTTCAAAATATATAGGGTCCAAGCCAGGGAGGGAGTAGCGGGGAGTGGAGGAGGAAAGAAGGCTGTATTAAGGGAGAGGGAAAATAACCAATCTTCTGCTGAAACTATTGGAAGAATAAATGTGTTGATGCAATAGTTGAAGTCAGAGAAGGCTGGCATATGAGGCACTGTAGCTGAAAATTTAACTTTGATTTCAATTTTCATATTTGTCAGCGATAATTAGATTCAAGAAATGTTTTGCCACTGCTCTAAAATACTAATAAGTAGAGGCCTTTGTAGTTTGGTTAATGGAGTCTTTTTTCCTAGTGGTCTAGGAAAATTCCATTAAAGCAAAAAGTCATACTATATTACAGTGTTTCAATACGCATTGACTCTGCTGCCGCGGTGATATCATCCCAGGGATGGGAGTCCTGTGTGCAACCACAGAGCCCCTGAAGGGATGGGAGTCCTGTGTGCAACCACAGAGCCCCTGAAGGGATGGTAGTCCTGTGTGCAACCACAGAGCCCCTGAAGGGATGGGAGTCCTGTGTGCAACCACAGAGCCCCTGAAGGGATGGGAGTCCTGTGTGCAACCATAGAGCCCCTGAAGGGATGGGAGTCCTCTGTGCAACCACAGAGCCCCTGAAGGGATGGGGTTGGGCTTCATAGGCCTTAGCTGTCTATCATTTCAGACCTGCACAGACCTCCCTGGCTCATGGGTGAGGGTAGGGGAGAGAGAAGAGCAAATTCAATAAAGCCTCGCCTTGAGAAGGATGTGTTTTATAAGCTTCGCCTCCTGGAGCAGGTTGAAGAGAGGGCAGGAGGAGTTGATGGGCACCTGCCTGAGGAGAGGAAGCACTTTCCCTGCTCTCCCCAGTCTGGACGCCTGTTGCCTGTTCCTTTAATGAAGAAGCTCCACCCAGTGGCAGAATCTACATGCACTCCTCCTCCCAAGCCTCAGCCTGCTCTGAAAGTCTGGAAGGTTGCTTTCTCTTGAGATCAGAATTTGATTAAGAGAACCAAGGTCTATTATTTTTGACTGGCTTTTCCCTGGAGTGCCTGTGCATCTCTGATATCCCAGGTAACTCCCTGCAGGGCAATATGGGGTGGATTGGGCTTCACCTGCTTTAATGTAGAGGTAAGTGAAGGGTTAAGTGTATTGTGCCCACACACTCCAGAGAGTTCCTGTGGATGAGGGAAGGCCTAGGGCATCCTCATCTCCCTTCTACCCTACTTTCCACACCACTCCCCTGCCGTCAGGGATTAATAATCACATGCTGGGCTTATTCAGACGGGCTCTCTCTGTCTGGAACGCCCTCTCGTAAGCAGACTGCTGCTGCAGCCACCTGTTAGCCCATCTCCCTGAGCCCAGGGACCTCACGGACCCTGCTCTCAATTGTCCTTCCCAAAACTCTGAAGTGGATCCCCAGACTGGGATGCCAGTCCTTGCCAAAAGAAAGCCCCATGGGCCTGTGTGATCTCACCCACCTCCCCACACATGGGCTCCTTCATGTCAAATTGTGCTCTTCTTGACATAGTAGTAGAGAGACTTGGAATTTACTAATCCTAAACCACAAATGGGAAGTGATGGAGGAATGGACAGATGGCAGGTAAGGGGAGGAGGGTCCCACCAGGATTGCCACCTAGGCCTGGATAAAGATGACTTGCAGAAGCCACACGAAGCAAAAGGGAGATCACGCCCATTCCATTAGTGCAGGGCAGCAGCAACCGCCCATCCTTCCCTGTGCCCATCCTGGGTGCTTCTTTCCTGGCCCCGTGCCCTCCTCCTACTGCCCCCACCACCACCTCCCAGGGTGAACAGAGAGGGAGGGCCTGTACTTCTTCCCAACAGCGCAAAGACCTACCTTTGGCCCATGCCTCTCTCTCTCCGCCCCTCCTTCCTTCCCTCTTTCCCCACCAATCGCTGCCTAGCTGCAGCTTCACTTTTCTCTAGTGGCATGTGCCAGATCTTATCCCTGTGAAGCACTTGAGGATGAAAGAAGGAAGGGGATATTAAATCCACCAGTGATACGTGCAATTGGGAGAGGCTTTTGTTGTGTCATTTCCTACCTCCTTCAGCCTATTAAGCAAACAAAAGTGCTTGTGGAATGAGAAATGTAAATGGCCAATGCAAGCCGATTAATCCTAGATGTACAATTCCATTAATAAGGCCGCTTTTTAATAGGCGGCTCTGGCAGCAACAGCAGGCAGGCCAGGAATTGATGTATTCTCTGTAATTGTATTGCAACTAATAGGATATGAAGAAAATTGTACCGGAGAAGCAGGTCTTTCAACACGATTTTCCAATCAGCTGAAATAATGACTTGCAGGGGAAAGCCTTGAAAAGGAATGACACACACAAAAATACAACATCGTCCAGAAGTGTCCATGATTCCCAGTCCCAGCTTGAAGCTTCTTTCTTTCTTTTTCCCCTGGCTTCCCTCATTTCTCTCTCTACTCCACTCTCGTTCTTCATCTCTTCTTCCCCATAGGTAATGCCAAGACCCAGAAGAGTCTGGTCACCTGTGGAGGGCCTCCCAGGGAGATTCCCCACCCCTGCCCCCCAGCCTTTTGCCTGTCTAGGCCCCCTCACTGGCTGAGATTGCTTGGTCCACCTTTTGAGAAGTCAGAGCGAGAAGGAGAGAGGCTGGGTGCTCTATGGAGAGAAGACTGAGTAGGGACTCAGTGTCGGCCCTTCTACTAATGCTAGTTGTTGAGTGACTTTGGAGCCATGCCTTCACCTCTCTGGATTCTTATCTGAACGAACCTT
This sequence comes from Homo sapiens, assembly GCF_000001405.40. Classification (NCBI taxonomy): domain Eukaryota; kingdom Metazoa; phylum Chordata; class Mammalia; order Primates; family Hominidae; genus Homo; species Homo sapiens. Next base: position 131,394,575 of record NC_000011.10, read on the forward strand.
CCAGCCCCAGAATGCAGCAGCTCTGAGTGCATTTTCAAAGATCAGGCTAGGAGAAAAGCTGGCATCCTTTCACTTCAGGACCAACGAAGGCTATCTAAGAAGAAGAGCCCTTTTCTAAAGGGGTGTCCTCATTATCTGAACATCCATCTACTGAGAGGCCCTGCAGAACTCAGGCATCTCAGCGTCGAGCTCAGCTTTGGAAATCAGGCCTGTGTGCATACTTAATCATGGATAAGTTGGTCAATTCACTCCTTCCTTCAACAAATATTTGCGGGGTGTCAATGGTGCACTAAGGCACTGTTCTAGGTTCTGGGAATGAAACAGTAAATAAAGCAGGTGAAACAGAAATCAATCCTTGCCCTCATGGTGCTTGCAGTCTATCCAGTCAGCAACACTTTTGGTGAGCCTAACAGCTGGGGTGTTAGGTACGGGACCTTTCTCTGAGACTACTTAGGGATGGGAACTAAAAGCCCCTCTGCTGTTGTTTACTTGGCCAAGGTGGCAGTGGGAGCCAGGCTGCCTTCACATGACCCCTGCCAGCACCTCTCAGTCCTGCTCTCAGCCTCTCCTGGTCACTGGGTCTCTGTCCTGCCCATTTGTGTGTGGACTCTGACCCTTCCTTGGTCACAGGCTGGAGAGTAGATATAAAAAGAAAAGGCAAAGCACATTTCAGTTGAAGTCCCCAAGGAAACTGATATGATTGCTGAACAGAAATGGTTCCAATAAGGGCAGAGAGGAATATTGCTTTTATAGCTTTTGAGACATAAAACATTTAGAAAATGTGATTGACTGGCAGGGTCTAATTTATCATTTATCTCATTCCCTCTGCTCTCACACTCTGTCTTGCTCCCCACAACACCCAGGCAGACACTCATGTGCAAACTTTTTTCTCTCTTTTTTCTTTCCTTTCTTCTTCTCTTTCTGAGACTTGGATTTATCATCATTCCATTAAGCAGGAGAACTCCTGTGGCTATTTATAATTAATGCTCAGAAACCTGCCAATCCATTTAATGACACTAACAGGTCATGGCCCCCTTATAGCTCTCCATTAATCATCATTAGAACCGCTCTGAGTTTTTACATTCCTTTTAAATGTTAATTCACCTCTGTAATGCTCCTTTTAGTTAAAACTGTGAAGGGAGAAGTGGCTGGTGTCTCCATGCTGCCTGCCTGGGAATGGCGTGGTGGGGTTGATGAAGTCTGGCTGATTTCCTCTGTTCTTTTTCTCCTCTGACCCCTGTCCCTGCTACCAGATGTCAACCCAGTTTATTCTTTGGTTGTCTAGATTTATCTTCTAAAAAACACCCAGTGGCTTAAAGTTCTGGGCAAATAAAGATATTTGAATACCTTTGGCCTCCCAAGGCTCAAGCAACAACCTGTGAGAAGTTCTTGGCTTACCCACTAAGACCCAGGGTCCTGACGTGGCAGTGCAGCTCCTAGAGGTGAGGGGGCAGAAAGGGTTCTGGAGGTGAGCAGGGTCTAGAACTGTTCATGCAATGTCCCAGCACTCAAGGGCAGGCTCCAGAAAAGCAGGTAAAAAGCAGTCAGGTAAAGAATTATCTTTCTTTCTATCAAGAGAGCTGACCACTTGCTTCATTTTTGCTACTGATGGGCAATGAGACTGGGCAAAACATTCAACCTCCTTCCTCACCTACAAAACGGGGTCCATATCTGTCATTTCCAAGGATAAGGGTTAAATCTATAAAATATTAACTGGCATTGAAATCATCCTGGACTTTTAAAACCGATCTCAGTGCCAGGCGTAGTATCAGTGTCATTTCTTGAGCTTCTCTGCCACTTTCCTACGCACAGCTTGACCTCCTGCTCTGCAGCCTTCATCCCCGTGGATGTGTACACCTTCACACCTCTCGGTCTGTTGCTTTTAGATCATATTTCACCAGCCATAAAAGTATATTTTGAATCATTAAAACAAATATGGTGAAAGAAGTTAAATTAAGAATGGGTAACACATGGCTGGGCGCGGTGGCTCACACCTGTAATCCCAGCACTTTGGGAGGCCGTGGCAGGGCAGGTGGATTACTTGAGGTCAGGAGTTCGAGACCAACCGGGCTAAGATGGTGAAACCCTGTCTCCACTAAAAACACAAAAATTAGTCAGGCACTGTGGTGGGCAACTGTAATCCCAGCTACTCGAGAGGCTGAGGCAGGAGAATTGCTTGAACACGGGGGACGGAAGTTGCAGTGAGCTGAGATTGTGCCACTGCACTCCAGCCCGGGCAACAGAGTGAAATTCTGTCTCAAAAAAAAAAAATGGGGAACATAAATGTGAACACCAATTCTGTTATTGATTAGCTGTGCAACTCTGGGAAGCTCACGTCACCTCTCTGGGCCTCATTTCCCTTACTTCTGGACTCTATATTTTTAAGACGCCATGATCTAGTAAATCCTGTGATTTTATTGCTTTCCTGTGAGTCTTCCCAAGGGGCTAAGACAGTCACTCAGGAATAACTGGGAAAAAGTGGTCCTGTTTTGACCATCTGAGCTCTTAATTTTTCTTGTCTTGTCAAGTGACATGCCCCAGAGTTGAGTGCTCTAACAAAAGCAAACACAAATATATGAGGAAAATAGACAAAACATTTTTAATTCATTTTTGACTCACTGTCTCATTTTTCTAGGCATAATCCATCTTCATGTTAGGCCTTTGGAACCATACACTTGAATTTACTTTCAAGGCTGCCTGAAATCTACATGTTCAGCTGAGAGGATCCCTCAGGGCCAACTAGATAGCAGATGCCTCATCAATTTTATCATTTTACCTTTTTAAGTACTCCTTCAGAATAGCTTAACCTCATTTTATACAGGGGTAAACTGAGGCTTTAAGAGGTAATGTGGCTAGTCCAAGGCTGATGTATTTTGTAGTTTTCAAGGTCATGAGTCAAGCCTAGCTCTCCTGAATTGAAGCCCAGCTTCTAATTTTGTATTATTTCATCTTGCTTTGCCCACTCCCATAGCTTTCTTTGGGCGGGCATGAGGCAATACACCTTGAATGAAATAAAGACGTGTCCTATCAGTTCTCCTGTTCTGGCATGAGTTATAACTAGTGACCTCTGATTTGGACTAGCAACCTCCTTTCCTGAGTTTATTCTTCATTGTGTTCAAGTTCCCTTCGGCATCAGGATGTATAAATGGGCTTCCTGGGGGTTTTCTATAAGAAAGCCCACCAGCCATGCCTTCTCTTTTCCAGTCTTTGTACGTGTCCCCAGTTCTTACAGGGACAGCCATACTCATCTCTCCCTTCCCTGCAGAGCACCGCTGATAGTCTAAGTAGACACCAGTCCCCAGGCTGGGCTTTGGCCATCTGTCTGCCCTTCACTTGAGAATGCAATAAAATCTGCTTGACAATTATGTCAGTACAAAGGGCAGAGAGGACTGCATGTCAAAAAGCTGTGTAAAATTTATTCTTTCAAAGGTTGTATCAAGAATATTCTGGCCAAAAAGAGCTCTAATAGCAACTGATCACTGTGTCATCTGATTCTTTTTCACATGGCTACTTTCCCCTATTAGTGGATTTGTGTTAGTTCTGCTTGGGACCAAGTTAATAACGATAAGACCTTATCATAATGTAGCACTGCATATGTTTGAAAGGGCTTTCACGAATCGATTATATCATCAAATCTTCATGACTGCAGTTGGATTTTAGAACCGAAAGGGCTTTGGAAAACACTTAACCCAACATTCTCAGTTGATTATTATTGATGTATTTTGTTTAGCTTAAGTAATGTATCTTTATTAAATATAATTTGGAAACCATACAAAGGAAGCTTTAAAAAGATTTAAAGTCACTCATGCACAATTACATTTAATGTATTTTTTTCTAATTTTTTCTTATTCTCTGCCATGGTTTTCATTATGTAGTTATAATCATATCATTTATATCTCATTTTTTTCTTTTAAGAATAGATCAGAAACAATTTTCCATGTCGTTACATAGTATTAGTGAGCATCGTTTTAATTGGTTTCATTATATTACATCAAGTAGATGTACAATACCACTGCACTGTGTTTGGACATTTATGTTGTTCTAATTTTTTGCTGTTGTAAATAATGTTTCAGTGAACATCTCCATGATTATGGCCTTATTCCACTGTTATGATTATTTCCTTACACACGATCACTATACATTCTATTACCACCAATACTCTTACTTTACTCAGGGGAAACTGAGGCATGGAAAAACAAAGTGATCCCAGACCCCGCATCCAGTTAGTAAAACAACACAGACCCCAAGTGAGGTCTTTTGTCTCTTGGTTTCACATTACTTCTATTATATAATATAGTGGTTTTCAGAATTTCTAAATAAAAGGCTTGAACATTACATGAAAGTAATTTTATTTTTAGTACCCAGTGGTTGAGAAAAAATTACAATAAAAACTGCAATAAATATTGTAGCACCTGTAAACAACGTGTATGCAATTAAACACAGCAGCATTCATATGTACTTGGAAGTGGTGCAAACAGTGCACTTGGAGAGAAATGCATTGAAGCTGCCGACAACACTTCATGTGCATATGGACCCTAAATCCCTTTTAAAACTCCCCTCTTCTCCTCGCACCCCAAACTCAGGTCCATTGTTCTTTAAAAAGAAAGCATCCTTAGTTTGCTGCCAGGATGTTCATTCCAAGCTGGAGTCCATGGGTCCATAGTTATCTCCCTTTGAACCTCTCCTGCCCTGAATTTACAGGGATAGCAAGCATGGTAGAAGAGAGATGGACTCACGATTCTGAATATTGAGAGCTGGAATAGTCCTGCAGTGAGATTAATGTACAGACTTCAGGGCTCTACAACCCAAAAGAAGAGTCTCCAGTAATAACAGTAGTTTAAATTTGCTGACTGCCTTCTAGGTGCTAGGTACAACCCCAGTTGCTATGTATGGATTGTATCTGTTCATTTTTACAAGATTGCTGTATTTGTCACAGTTTCACAGATGAGGAGACTGAAGAGGATAGTTGAACTGACACAGAAACTGAGTGATAGGGTGGGGCTTTGAGTCCTGGAAGTGTGGTTGCTAATCCTATACTCTTACCCTCAGCACACAGAGCCCCTCACTCAGTGTCCCCAGACATTTGAGAAGAGATGTGATGAGGCCGGCCATGGTTCTCTTGTGGTCAGCTCTTGTTCTAATCCTTAGCGCCCATTTGGAAACCAGTTATGGGGAAAGCACAATGTAGGACTCTTGGGACTCTGCACCTGACTGGCTGGCTTTCCAAGATCACTGAGATGGCTCTTCCTCCAGCATAGAAATTGATGGCTGGTTATCCAGACAGCAACCTCTTTTGCCCATGTGCTTGGTGCTCTGTCATGGCGGGAAAAGTAACTATGCACAGATCATGATTATGGTATTAGATTGGGTACACATGAAATTGCTAGTATGCACCTATTTTGATGTATGAAAATATCATTTTCATGAGATTCATCCTAATTTATGCTATGTATGGGGCCTGATTGCCCTAACAGCTCATCATTGATTGGTAGCATGTTGTAATAATGAAAGAGAGATGGATATCTAGCTACCCTACCCACCCCCCATCAGCATAAGGAAGCCGAGAAGGGCCCCAGTAAAGCTGAGAACATTGGAGGATGACAAGGCTGTAAATGAATAGACAGGACGTCACCTGTCCTTTCTCTCCAATCTCTCTTTGTGTCCCCTCAGTTTACCAGCTGTCCCGAAGCAATTGCAGCTCAGTGTCTGTTCCCACTAGCTTTTGTGAGGGCTCTGCTGGGGCTTTTATCCCTTGTGCTGAAGACCATGCTCATTTTCTCAAACACAAAGCACCAGAGGAGCTCCATCCAAATGCACAATCTTTATTCCCGGACCGTGTCTCTAGTTTAAATTCCTGGAGTGTTGGTCAAAAGCATGGGATTGAGAACTAGAGGGACCTTGGCTTGAATCCTGATGCTACCACTTACTGTGTGACCTTCAACAATTTATTTACTGTCTCTCCCAGCTTTGGTTTTGTCAACTATTAGATGATTTTGATAATTAAAGTCCAGAATAGATGTAAATGTGTTGATGGGCATTGTCGACATGGAACACATTGTTACCTCCTTCTTTTCTGAATCTGGTGACTAGAATAGATACCAGAAAAGAAAATCTGAAGTTTCTGTTTTCACAGAGAAACCCTATGTACTGAACTGTAAGCTGATACCTAAGTTCCAGTAAGTATTGATATGCTTATGTGGACAATGTACCAAAGCATTTGAAATGAGGAATGTTTTAGAAAATCTAGGATATGTGTTATCATTTGATCACTCTCCCTTCCTTGAGCTTTGAATAAAACCACTTTTCTTCCTGCTTTCTTTGGGTCTAACATTGGGCCTTCTATGTTTCTGGAGTCTGATACTGAACTTCTTCAGCAATACCTTCCCTGCCACCCCTGCCACCTGCCACACACACACACACACACACACACACACACAGAAATAGAAAAAAAAAAGGAGAGTGAGGCATGCATAGACAGACAGAAAATTTGAGACAAACAGAGAGAGACAGGAGAAGTGGAAAGGAGAAAGCAAGAGATAGATCAAAACACAACCACAAAACCTAAAAATATTTAGCCTTTAATTAAAAAATAACAACAAAAAAACACCTAGAGGCCTTAAAAAGCATACCCACACCACACAAAGAATACACTCTCAGGTCATCTAGCTCATCCCACCAGAGGGCCACATCCCATCAAGAGAGCTGTAGCATTTGAGAAGGTGTCTTTTTTCATGGTAGACTATTGGGAAGTCTCTTCTTAGTTGTTTCCTTGGGTGAAAACATGGATTTTGAAAACAGGTAGACAAGGGTTCAAATCCCTGATGGGCCCTCTACTGGATATATGATCTGAGCAAGTTATTTAACCTGATTAAATGGAACTGTAATACCTTCTCTTAATGTTGTTATAAGCGTAAGTGCAGTAATATGTAGCCATACTTGATACATAGTAGATACTCAGTAAAGACATGATTTTAATTTCTGGAATTCAGATGTCCTAGTAGTGATTACTTCTTTCTCTGTCTTCCATTGGATATCCTTTATACCCACCTGTGCCCCTCTACTCTCTGAAGATACTAGGCATTTGAAAAAGATGTTCTACTTGAGACTATTAGAATGGTAAACTATTAGAAATCATAAAGAATTTCCTCCAGATAAATTTTACCATTGAAAACTTCTTCATTACCCCATAATTATCCTCATCATTATGTGAGTCAGGCCACTGGAAATATATATATATATATATATATATATATATATATATATATATATATATATATATATATATATTTTAATTTAAACTAGGACCTTCACCAAGAGAGAGACTAAATTATGACTAATGGCCATTCCTTGGCCTCTTAGTTACAGATGTAGGAGAGATTGTTAGCCATGTCTTGCTCAGCCATCAAAGTCTTGGCAGAAGACACCTTGCTCTTGTGGAATAGCATGCCCTGTGAGCAGGGAGTTATTCTAAGAGAGTTTCTAGATGTAGTGCCAATTTTGGAAAGACAGCTGGCAGGAATTGGGCAAAGGGTCGTCATTGACCTATATGGGTGGGAGCATTTGGCTTCACAGAGCCCTAAGCATAGATTATATTCCAAAAATAATGTTATGGATGCAACACCATGAAAATCACATGTCATGTCATAACCACCATGATGAAATGTTGGATCCATATTTAGCAATTATTGTGGTCTCTGCTATAATACTCAGTTCCTTACACAAGAACTTGTCTAGGATTCAGCAGTTTATACTGAGGTGTTCAGAGGAGCATGGTTAATGGAGAAAATTGCTTATCTCCCCAAGAAAAAGAAAACTAAGTCATAAAAAAAAAAAAACAAATATTGGAGAATCCTGCTTGCCCAGTGGCCAAATAGGGGTTAGCAGATTAGTTTCCATGGGAAGTGTCAAAGAAACAAGAAACTAAGAGAAAAAAAGGAGTCACACAGAAGATGGACCACATTAATGGGGCCTATAGGAAAACAGCACAAGCCAACCAATGGAGAGAGCCAGTCCAGCCATCAGCTCCCTCGTGCGTGCCCACTCAGAATGGAAAGATATACAGAGACTACCAAGAACCAACATAAGCCTGCAAGAGAATGCTACTGTCTAAAAAGTAATTCTTAAAGCATATAATCCAGAATGAAAAGTCCAGGCAGAATGACATATCCTCTGGCCATATAAGTACTATTGAATCTTTACCAGAACTCTTATTAGAATTTTACAGCGTCTGCTGTAGTACCCTAGAGATGCTCCATAGGAATGATCAAAGGGCTGTATCATAGGGCCTGTGAGGACTGTCATAAGGTAATGGTGTTGTCCAGAAGGAGAAAGAAATTTAAGGGGTGACTTAATAAATTTCACAATTAAAATAAAGGATACTCCATGTGGATGACAAGCAGCTGCTCTTCATTAGGCTTTGGGGACTGAAGAAGTCGAAATCCAATTTAATTGCAGTAGAAAAAGCTTAGACTGCATAAAAGGAACAGATAACCAATCTGCTTACAACTTTTTCCAGATTCTGAGATTTTTAGGCCTCCTGAATTGTCACTGTTCCCTGAGAGGAGACACCGTTTACTTACAATCCAGTCACAGACAGACTCACCTCTTTGCTGGAGGTGTCCCTAGTAGTGACCATGTAAAATAATGAGACATTCAACTGAGTGAGCAATGGCTCAAGTCCACCTCTGTGTCCCAAATGTTACAGCACATCACCTACACATAAACCCCCAGTTTTTCACTCCATTCCTATTTTCACTTCACTCCTTACTTTCTATAGATGCTTTGGTCCTATGATCACTCTTGCAGACACTCTCAACTCTCTGGTTCTCTTTCCTTCTATTGTATTTTTCTGGCAAAAATCTCAAGTCTGCTTGACACCACCTATCCACTTTCTCTGATCCTGAACCTTCATAACTAGATATTGCTGGCAGAAAGAAAGAAACAAACAAACAAACAACAAGATCAACAACAAAAAACCCAATGTGGTCTGTGTCATTTTAAAATCTCAGAGTAACAAATTGCAAATGGGTGTTTACTACTGCCCAGGAATCCCACTATGCACTCTTAGGAGGTTTGCTTTTCTTTCTTCAGAGACATCTAATTCGTATCTTCTCCCCCTCCTCAAAAGTTTTATAATCTTCCAAAAATCTCCTTATTCCCACTTGGAGTGAATGACTCATATTTCATTGAGAAAACAGAAGCAATCAGGAACTAACTTATCTTCCAGATACCAAATCTCAGTATACCTGCCTTTCATTTGTAGGGCCCGAAATTCACTCCTGTTATAATGGAAAAAAATATTTCTCCTCATTTTAGAGTTCAACATCTCAATTTATGCTCTGGGGCCTCTCCTCTCTCCCCTCAAGGATTTCAATCCTGCAATTATCTTCCTCTTTCTTCTACATCATTGCATATTTCCTCTCCACTCGGTCACTTTCATAAGCACATAAATCTCACCAAGTATCTCCCATATTTAAAATGGCAACTGCAACATCAACAATCTCTCTTGACCTCCCTTCTTCCTTTAGCTACAAACACGTTTCTGCTCTTCTTCTCGGTAAAGCTTCTTACAATAAAGATCTTCATGTACAGTCTTCACTTTTTCAGCACTCGCACTTCCGCTTTCCAGCCTGGCGTTGGTCCACACCACCCCACTAAAGCTACTCTCATCAAGGTCATCAGCAACATTTATAATGCCAAGTGCAGTGCTCAATTTCCAATCTTTAATCTACCTCTCAGCAGCGCTTGACATAGATGACCCTTTCTGTCTTTGTGAAATTGTTCCTCTTGGCCTCCCTGGCATCGCGCCGTCCTGGCTTTCTTCTTACCTCACTAAACCCTACTCTGTTTCTTTTGTTTCCATCTTCTTCTCTGTATGCTGGGTCTGCAAGGTCTTGGTCTTCAGGCACTTCCTCTGTCGATCCACTTCTCCGGGAGATCTCATCCAGTCCTGTGGTTTCCAGTGACCTCTATATACTGGTGACTGCCAATTTTACATCACTGCCCAGACCTTCCCCATGAACTCCAGATTAATAAAGACATCCCACACTTAATATGTGATTTTGTTCATTGGTTCATCCATATTTTCATGTCTCTGAAATTGGGACACATCCTTCAATTGATAGCATCTTATAATCTGCACCTGCCCAATGGAGAGGTTTAGTTGCCATTGCCTGAACAAGCACCGACTTAGTCACATTCCCTTCCCTTCATTGAGTGATAGGCATTGCTGGTACTACATGTGTTAGGGTTAATTGCCATTTAAAATTCCTTCAAAAATGATTCTTTGAATCACACAGTGATTCGCCATTGAAATAAAAATGATCACATACACAGCAATGCATAGAAAGGGAACAGCAGGGTGTAAATTTGATAACAGGGAAGTGCATATCTGTCTATGGAAGAATGACCACAATTCCGTATTCCCCTGCAAAACAACAATTAAGGGCTTTATGGGACCAAAGACAGAAAGAACATCCACAGCTGACAATTTTTTTGTTGAGACACATGAAAGGTTGTCTGTTACGCTTCAACCTAAGGCAGGGAGAAATGGGCAAATCCCTTGGAATAGCAGAAGAGTTCTGATCAAGGGAGGCTGGTATGACCAATTGAAAGTGTCCCTCACTCTTTCTTGGTGACATTTAAGTTAATTACACACCTTAGAATAGATTACATCTGTTGACTGCCAATTTTATATCAATGCCCAGACCTTCCCCATGAACTTCATTGCATCCATTTGATGCAATATGTGTTTCAAATGGAAATTGTAGTCCAACTATCTTCTGCCCCAGTGAGAGGCTGTTTTTCCCTGAGTCTCCCCTAACTTAGTTAAGGGCACACTTCTAAACTTATTGCCCAAACCAAAACCTAAGATTTTTCCTTGTCCTTCCCTTTCCTTCACCCTTAACATCAAATCCATTAGCATTTCTTGTTAGTTCTACCTATAAATATATCTCCAATCCATATTTATTCACGTTTGCGCCAATACCTTCATGAAAGGCACCTTGCCTGAACTCCTGCAGTTGCCTCCAGGTGGGTTTTGCTGCCTGCTCATTTTCAACCCATCCTTTATCTCATGCCTCCTACAATCCATTCTTCAAACAGTAACCTACATACTTTCCAAGCATACATCCAATTTTGTCACTCGGCTTTATACTTGGAATGAAATCCACACCCCTCCTCTGTGGTCTGTTGGCCTCCACTTGCCTCTTAGAGACCCTCATACATCCCCATCTTCCTCAGTGAGTATGCTCCACTAACCCTGTCCCTCCTTCTGGTTCTTAAACTTGCCAAGTTTGGTCTTACTTCAGGGACTGCACACTTGCCATGTCTTCTTCCTGGAAGGTTTTCCCTCCAGATCTGCTGCTGCTGGCTGCATTCCACAATTCAACTCTCAGAGAGCCCTTTCTCTTTCACCCTATTTACTTGCACTCCGTCCTTCTCTATCAGGTATTCTGTGTAACTTCCTGCAACTTTCTGAAACTGTCCTGTTAATTTGTTTACTTGCATATTGTTTATTTCCTCCAACTAAGGTATTAATTCAAAATGACAGGGTATTGTCTTGTTCATCACTGATCTTTAAGACTTAAGGTGGTATTTGGTAAATAGTAGATAATTGCTCAATAATGTCAGAGTTAAAAAGGGAAAGAAAATTTCTTTATTATTACTGGGAAGTGATATATGAATGTAAGAGCATCATCCCTCCAAAACATGAAATATACCTCCTTTCTATCTAGAAACTGGGACAAGTTGTTTAACTTCATTTACTTTCTGGTCACTTATTAATTTAGTGGCCATATTAAAATCCTTATCTCTCTGAGGGATTTTAAGAATATATTGAAACAATTTACACAAACAAATATCTTGCCACACAGTCAAGTCAACCTTACTACAGCAGCCCTGCCTTATCCTCACGGGATAAGTTCTAAGATCCCCAGTGGATGTCTGAAACTCTTGGATAACACCAAAACCTATATATGCTATTTTTCCTCTTATACATCCTATATATAACATATGATAATGTTTAATTTATAAATTAGGCACACTAAGAGGTTAATAACAAAAACTAATAATAAAATAAAACAATTATAGCAACATACTGTAATAAAAGTAATATACATGTGATCTTGATCTCTCTCACAAAATATCACACTGTACTGTATTTAACTATTTTTGGACTTCAATTGACTGCAGGTAACTGAAATGTGGATAAGGGAGAATGACTGTATATCACTCTGAGAAGTGGATAAAAGCTCTTTCCCTCCTCCCAGAGTGCACAAATGTGCTCTAGGGAAATGGATAAATGTACATGCATAAGTAACTTTTCATTGAGCAGCTCCAAAGACCACAGGTAAAGGCACTTTCCTCATACAAACATTGGTTCACATTAAGTCTCTTTTCAAGGTGATTAAAACGACTCAGAAAGTTAAGATGTTCCCTTTTTGCAGTTAAGACCACAGAGTAGCATTTACGTTTTAAATATTGAAGACGCAAGTCTGTCTCTAGCCACAGGCACTGGCTTACTATTTTCTTGGTCCCAGAGCCAGACCAACTAACTCCACTTACCATTTCTATCAGTGGCTTGAGGGTGTCCAGAGAATATAGTTACAAGACTGGATTTTTAAAAGGAAGGAAGAAACCCAAGGCTCTCAGGAGAGGACCGAAGTGACTCAATGTGCCTGTCATGAGATTCAGTAAGTTTTCACCTAAGCAGATCTATTATGTGGCCAGAAAAAACAGTGTCACAAAAGACAGCCCTCTGCACTGGCACTGTCCTTTGCTTGTCAGTTTGTATACAAGAGCTACATACAATGCCCTGGAAAACAGCACTTCGTGGAATTGTGTAATATTTTATAGCAGCATCCAGTCTGCAGACTCAAAATCCCAGTGACTAAGAACAAAGGTGGGACATGCAGAACATATGTGGGAAACATTCCTCGGACCCAGGGGTGGGACAGGTCAGCCAGGGGAGGAGGAGGCTGAAGAAAGGGAAGAGCCACAGAAAGGCTGAAAGTGGGGACAAAAGGCTTCCAGCACCTCCCTTGCACTCTATTTGGGCTTTGTCATACTTTCTGCCTTAACTCAAATACTACAGGGTCATCCCTGATGGGTATAAAGGGGAAGGAGTCATGGGTCAGAAAGAGTTCCTAGGACATTCTTGCCCTCGAGGTTTCCTGGCTTTGCAGCTGGAACCAGGGCTGGCTCCCGGGCAGGGAGAGGAGACGCTTCCTGATGAAGTTCGGGCCCACCCCTTTCTCTGAGCAAATATGCCAGTAGCATTTGGGTTAATGAACTGTGCCTTTTAATAAATGGTTCTTATCTCACCAGAGTGGTGCTAAATTGTCAGGATTTTAAATTAACTTAATAGTTTCGTGGATGGTACTTATTCACTGGTTACTCCGAAAGTAGCGCGGCCCCCAGCCAGGACTTCTTATTGAATTATGCAACAGTTAGTTATTTCATTTAGGTTTAAGGGGAAGTGTTTAGGATTAATGTGCAATGCCTCAGTGCCCCCCTTAATGGGCATTTCCAGGCCTCCCCTAAACTAAAAGCCAGTTATTAATCACTGGGTCACTCAGTTGTTCTGTCGATTGAGAGAAGTGATTGCTCTGGTCCAGGAATGGCCAACACCCTCCCCGGCCAAAAGAGGGAGACAAAACGCCTGTCTTCTCTTGCTCACGTTTGCAAAATATTTGCTGAGATGTGCAAACCCCTATCCTGCCTGTAAGAAGCTTACGTAAGTTAGAAAGTGGAAGTACTATGACAGAGGCAGCTGTGAAATCCTTGGACTTTTGAAGAGGAAGAAAAATGAATTCTGTGGAGAGGAGAGGCAGAGTAGGGGTGAAGCATCTAGAAGGTGCTAACATTTGAAAACTGTATAACATTTATGTGATTGAAAATATGAAGAGCATTCTAGGTAAAATTTTAATCTTGTGCCTCTCTACCAGATAATGATCAGCCTTTGGGCAAAAAGAATTGCCACTTTTGAGTATTTACTTTGAGGCTGGTGTGAGTTCATTGCAGAACCTTATGAGGTATCAACCAGTTTGTTTTCACCTTGCAGATGAGAAAACTGGGGCTCCGAGATGGTAGATGCCTTGTCCAAAGCTCCAGGATTTTTGGCACACAAAGATTCTAACTCAAGCCCAAGTTCATCAGTGACATTGTTTTCTCGTATTCTCAGCTAAATCACTCCTGCCCTGCAGACATCACATCGGCACTCAGATCATCTGCAAAACTTTTGTCAGGGATTCCATTCTGTCACACCACAAACCTGACTTTATTGTTCAGTGGAGGGTGAGGCAATTCCTTTAATTTACTCCAGAGGCATCATATCATCCCAAAGCAGGTTCACCCATCATGCATCAGAAACTACCTTTGGAGAAACAGAAATCAGGTAGCATGTGGCAAGTATCAATGTTGTGCCAAGCACCGTGCCAGGCAGGGACTGCAGCAGGCAAGAGGTTGCTAAGACATTATCTGCACCCTCCAAAGCTGTCAGGGCCTACATAGGAGGAACACTGTCCCCACTAACTGGAGATATGCAAGCCATGACAGAAATCATTGATGTCAGCAAACAACTAACAGGCAGGTGTACAGCCAAATACTAACTGTGAAGCGAAATCTAGTTAAGACTGCAAAGTATTAGCATCAAACACTTGTTTGAGAAGCAGAAGGAAGCAGGAGGGTGTATAATGGAGATTGAGAATGGACATTTACCCCTTTGCACTTTGAGTCCTCATTGAAGCTGCCCCTGAGAGCCCCCATCTGGGCTACAAAGAGGTGTTGGAGGGAGGAAACCTGGAGAAGCTTAGGCACAGCCTTCTGGCTGCCTTCCACAGAGAGGTGCAGGAGTCCCACGGTAGTTAACTGGGACCGCCCTGCTGGGAACTTCAGGTGTCTCTGCCCCCGGGCAAGGACTCTACTGAGACTGAGGAGAAACAGAAAACAAAACCTGGCCCTTTCAGCTTCTCTGCTGGTCCCTGGGAGAGGCACAAGGGGCCTGCTGAGTGGAGTGACCTTGAGAAGGTCGAGCAGGCCTCTGAAGTGGTGCAGCGGCACGGGGGCAGGGGAGCGGCATGAGCCATAAAGGAAATATTGTCTATAAAAGCCCCGTTTTCCCTTTCTTCTGGAGCAGGCACAAGGCACTGACTTCATTTTGCATTCATAAAGCCTGCCTTTGGAAGCGCCTTTAAGAACTGCTGCAGGAAGCCTGAAGAAACATGTTGGAGGGTCAAACACACATCTCCTTGGGCTTTCTTTCATCTGTCTTAAAAACAAAAATCTCTCCTTTTTTAATCATCTCCTCCTGTAAAAAGGGCTAATCTTTTGTTAGCAGCAGCCTCCCATGGCACAGCATCTCAGCAATTAATACAAAAAAGCAAGGAAGATGCAGGTAGAGGAGGGGGCCTCTAGCTGAACAGGAAGAGGGCCTGGGAGTCAGGAAGGAAGGGTGAAGGATGGGAGAGGGGAAGCTGACCGGCTTTCCCTGGAGCAGGGAGCAACAGATGGCAGCTGCAAGGCAGGCCAGGCACGGGTCTCAGAGAAAACGTCCTATTGGGTTCAGGGTTTGGATGCAGATCTATAAATGTGGCCAGAAAATCCAAACTAGTTCCATCAAGGAGGGTGCAGAAGCCAGGTGTGGTAGCTCACACCTGTATTCTCCGAGGTAAGTGGATTGCTTGAGGCAAGGAGTTCAAGACCAGCCTGGGCAATACAGCAAGACACCATCTCTATCAAAACTAAAATAAATAAATTAATAAATTAGCCAGGCCTGGTGGTGCATACCCGTGGTCCCAGCCATTTAGGAGGCTGAGGTGGGAGGCTCACTTGAACCCAGGAGTTTGAGGTTGTAGTGAGCTATGAGCTGTGATTGTACCACTGCACTCCAGCCTAGGTGACAGAGTGAGACCCTGTCTCAGAAACAAACAAACAAACAATAACCAAAAAAAAAAAAAAAAAAAAAAAAAACAGAGAAGGACAGAGGAAGTCATTTCGGTGGGCCATGTCTGTTGGATCTCTTCTTCCTGGGACACTTCCCTGATTTCTTGCGTCAATCTTTTTTTGTAATTATGTCGCCTTAACGGAAGAATATATCCTTCAACTCTGTTGTAAACAAATTGGTATTTTCTTTATTTCTGATTACGGCCTTTGCTTTAGGATTGTATTTCTAAAAATATACTATTACCCTGCTTAAAACCCATTTATGCCTGGTGTTCCATTATTGGAACGCTAAACATGTGGGAGTTATTTATATCCTACTGCTCGAGGGCATCAGCAAGGTCTACATCTTCACACTGAAAAAATTGTAACCACAGGCATAAATGGGTTAAAAGCCTCCCAGGATGCCCCATTTTTCCTAGGCTAAAACTCCAAACACTACAGCGTTGGTTAAGGCTTTTGAGCCCTGAGTTCTATAAACATTTCACCCTCATTTGCTGCCAGACACTTATACCACATACTTCTATCCTCATATCCATGACTTGGCCATGTTCTGATGCAGTTTTGTCCCTGGGGGTTCCCACCTGGCAAATCCCTCCTCGATCATTAAAACTCTGCTAAAATATCACTTTCCTTGTGAGGGTTTCATGGACTCCTCCTGGGGGTTTTAATCATTTTCTCCCAGCTGCTTGAGTGGAAGTCCATGTGCATCACTTATAACGTGCTTATGAAATTGTAATGCAATGATTTGTTTATATGGATAATTTTAACCTCCAGATTTTCAAAAGCACGGAGAATGACTTACCCTTCTTTCTAGCACAATGCCTGGTTCCTAGTTGGCACTGAGCACACGTCTAAGCTAAAGATTGCTAAGGATGTAACAATATAAGACAATAATCTACCCTCAACACTCAAAGGTAAGATGAGAAAGAGGAGAAAAAGGCTTCCGGATTGAGGTGATTTTATTTCACCAGACAAGACTAAGGGGATGGAGAGAAAAGGCCTCCTGAAGTATTTAGGGGGGGCCGTGTGTGTGTGTGTGTGTGTGTGTGTGTGTGTGTGTGTGTGTGTGTGTACTTGAGAGCTGGGGAAGCCAAGTAACATTGAGATGACTGCAGTCTACAACTCTTAGGGGTCCTGAAATCAGGGGAAGGTGATATTCTTCTCCCAAACTTGGAGGAGGAAACCCCCGGTGTCCCCACATCGCAGTTGTACGTGGGGATGCCTTTCCGCCCACCATGCCAGATTTGCAGAGCACAAAGAGCATTCCGGGCATATCAGAGCACATGGCTGTCACTTCTTTGTACTTCTTTCCCAATTATGTGTTTGGAACAGAGCCCTAAGGACAGTTTTATGCAGCAAAGGGAACAAAACTATAAGCAGCATTTGTCTTACTTGTGTGAAAAGAGCTGTTGCAAAACCCCTTGCATGGTTAGATGAGAAAACATAGCTGGGCCCCTCTGTTCTCAAGCCTGGGATTCCTGGACCCAGACCTACGTGGACCCTTGTCTTGCAGACTGAGGCCCGGGTGCCAGCCTGGCAAAGTGTTTTTCAGTGTCAATGCAATTCTAAGAGCAAATTTCCTTTCATTGTATTGAACCCTAAGAGCTATACATTTTCCTCACCCTTTCCTGTTCTGTGTTAGCCTGGAAACTCCTGCCAGAAGGGATGTGAGAGCTGAGAAGGCAAGAACAGCATTTGTTTGGGGCTCATGGGCCTGTAAGTTCTCATCATGAAACAATGACGGACTCAGCAGGTTAGGACCTGTGAAATTTACCAGGATAGACCAAGCCCCAGGCTCAGCATGTATCATGTTTTGGGGCATTTCAGTTCCATGGAAATGATACTGTGCAGAAGAAAGGAAGGAGCAAACTAAGGAATGGGATGGAAAATAAAAGCAAACAGTTGTTTATCATGTGTTTTCAACCCAAAGCATAGATTTGTGACTCTTATATTCACCTGCATAATCTCTATCACTTCAATTTCTACATATTCTAGAATATTAAGACAAAACTGTCCTCCTCTCTCCTCCCCACCATATCAAATTAGACATTTAGATAACATAGCAAAAGTAAAAAAGTTTGTTGATTCGCCCAAGTAATTGACAGTAATGAATTTGTTGCTGAGTGATGTGGTTTATTGATGGCACTCGTATCTCATCTGCTGTCTGTGCTTATAAGTACAGTATTGGTGCTTAGCTTGTTGAGTTAATAAAATCTACAAAGTGGTTTTTAAAAAATAATATGTACTCTAAAGCAATTCTCAGCAAAAGCAACTCCCTTCTTACGGGGCGTGTGTGTGTGTGTATGTTTCTTAATCATCACTAATAACAAGAAAGGGAAAATGTCTGCTTTCTGCTGAATCGTTTAAGTGGAGAAACCTACACTAGGAGAACCTTTTGTCATCAATGGTTTTAGATTCTGGGTGGAGCCTGGCCCAGTTACTGAGGTCTTAGGGCAAAGGATAACATTAAACCTTTAAGACCCAGCAAGACCTTACACTGCCTTGGGGTGAAGACGAGGCAGACCTTCTGTACCTGGTTTTGTGAGGTTCACACAACTCTTTGGTCCCCTTCCTGCCTCAACTCTTCCCTTGTGCCCATAGAATAGATAACGGCTGTTCTTTCAAAGGATAGAGTCAGGTGCCAGAATAGAGTTGGTGCCACTTTGTAACCTCCTCGGAGAAGTCACAGCTTGCAAAAATATTGTTATCCATGTTAGTGAAGTAATTAAAATGAACTAATCATTTTCCAAAATATTTATGTATTGAAAGCAATTCCAACTGATTGCCTTTAAATAGCATTTTATTCTGTTTTCAGTAATAAACAGGAGCGTGCTTCCTTTTGCTTTCTGGAGCGCCAGCCCACCCACTGTGGTGAAGCCGCCGGAGTGGTGTGAGTTGAGTACAAGTTGCGAACAGTGCTGATCAATGGCACGGCCCAACCTTCCAACCCTGAAAGAGCCCCTTGGCTGCTCTTGTCCTCAGGCCAGAGCCGTTTTGTCAGGAGCTTTGGGAAGAGCTACCATTCTGCAGTTACTGTGGAATTTTCTCCCCAAGTGGGAATCTTTGTCAGCTCAGTGCTATTTCCTTTATATCACAGTCTGAGAGAACCAGTCGTCTGATTAAATTAAGGCAGGCACACAGACAGTTGGGTTGCCAAACCTAGGGATGTTATTAAAAATAATAGTGTTTATGGCTGTGTTGTCTTTGAAGGTGCAAGTGAGACACATGTTCCTGCCGTGTGGGCAGCAGGTTCCTGGCAGTCCAAACCCGTGGGGACAAGCAGGACAAGTTATGGAGATGAAAAGGCAGGAAAAATGAGTCCACATGGTTACTGTGTTGATCTGGCTGTGAGGAGGGCAGGGGAGACGAGGAGGGCAGGGGAGACCATGAGGACAAGGCCTCCTGTGGCGAAAGGCAGAGGGAAGGTGCAGGGACAATCTCTGGTAGAGTAATAGAATCCTGGTTCTTAGACCCAGCTTGACCCTAACTAGCTATGTAATTTTGGGCAAGCCTGCAACTGAACCTCAATTCATCGGCCTTACCTGTGAACAATAGATCTTTAAGGTTTCTTCCACCAGTGTCGCTCCTGAACTCTTGAAAAAGAATCCACAGGCAGAGAAAAGGAGGAGCAGGGTATTCTGGTGAAAGGTGGGGCAGCATGAAGCAGGTAAACTCTAGAGACACATGTTACACTGTGGCTCTGTCCACCAATTCTGGGAGATGAAGCAAACCCATGTCCTGGGGGCATGGATTTTCTTTGAGCAGAGGCTGGAGAGCTGAGGTCTCTTCCTTCCCTCTCCAGGACTGAGTGGACAGTCTGCCTGCTGCCTTTGCCTCTGGCCTGCCCATTGCTGAGCTTACACTCTGCTGGGACCCCAGTCTCTGATCCCTCTAAAGGGGCCAGTGCTAGAGGTTGGACCCAAGTTTCTCCCATGATGAGTGCTGCTGTGTGCAGATCAGGGCAGCAGGTCCGGGACTGCCACTTCCATCAGACAGGTTCTTTCTGAAGTTCAGGAGCATTCGGGAGTGAATGGAGTCCTTTGGAGGAGAAAGGATCAAGGGCAACACTCTGTGAGGTTCTTTGGATGCATATACCATGGTCTCCCATGCTCTGCCCTGGCTGTTTTCCCAGCATCCCTGGTTTTTGCAAGTACTGGCATGTGATGGACTGCTGCCAGTGATGGACAGAGATCCTTAATTGGTTCCTCATTCCTTCTTTAACTTTGTCCAAATCAGCCTGCCTATTTCTTCATTTACAATGTCCTGCCTTCCTGTCAATGTACTTGCATTTTTCTAAGTTCTTGCAGGTTCTTTCCAACCCTTCAGAAGCTTGCATGTTAGTCCTTCCATTGCCAAACAGGGTTGTCTATACAGTGCTGCTACCCAGGCCTTTGGAAAGCAAATTGTGCATCCCTAAGCCCTAAGCCCCAAACCCAACAGATTCCAGTCTCCCCACTTGCTTCTGACTCCTAGTGTGAACAATTGTGATGACGCTGGTGTGCATCAGGCAAAAGCCAGGTCAGATTCTTCCCTTGAGACTGATAGGACCATTTATTATTAGTGAATCCAATAGCAGGCCATCTGGAGAGATAATAAAGGATGGAATTGGAATGGGGTTGAGCTGTAATTGCAGACTCTTAAAAAGGATCCTAGGTGTGATTTTCTAAGTCAATGGGTTTTGAACTTAAAAAATTAGTGGCACCTTTCTACAAAGAGAATCTCCTCGCAGTGCCCAATATATAAAGCAGATGAAGTGAGTTTGCTCTGGAAGAAACTGGGTCGGCCTGATGCCTGGTGTGCCACAGCTCTTCCCAGAAGCTTTTGGAACCCCCTCTGAGCCCTGGCTGTGGTGAGCACACACTGAATGCTATTCGTCTAAGCTGACAAACTCTTCTCCAGGCAAGGTCATTATGGGAAATGCTTAGCTAATTTATATCCATATTGCTTGAGAATATAATCATATACCACATTATTAAGCATAAACAAAATAACCCTAAATCAGTTATTCAAAATTGCACATCTAGTAAAGAGTAGAACAGAAACCAGGACTGTGGGCACCTGACTTTTAGGCCAGGACTCCTTCTCCTAAACCAGTAGCCCAGACAGTAGCCACCTATCACCAGGAATCTGTCAGAAAGCAGATTCCCAGGCTCAACTCCAGGCCTACTGGATCTGAAAATGTGGGGGTGAGGCCCAGAAATCTGTATTTTAAGAAGGTCTCCAGGTGATTCTGATGTATGCTGAAGAACAACTGTCATGGCCTAAACCACGATGACTCTTGAATTTCCCCATTAATTTATAATTTTCTTAGTGGTACATGGGTTAATATCTTGGAGGTTTTTGCCCTCATTGTCTTTATGTGTTTATTTTGGTAGTGGGCACAGGAGGTAGTAGGGAAGACTTAAACATATACACAATGTCCTTCATTATTTACTTTGGGACTAAGGTTGTCAGACTTGGAAAATGAAAATACAGAATGTCCAGTTATATTTGTTGTTTGGATAAACAATGAAAACTATTTTAGTACAAGTATGCTCCAGAAAATATTTGGGACATAATTACACTCAAAAATAATTTGCTTTTTTATCTGAGGTTCAAATTCAACTGGGTATCCTGTATTTTATCTGGCAACTATATTTGGTACAGATCATGAATTAGGAAGTTTCTTCTTTTCATGTTTTTTTTTTTCTTCCCTTTTCTACACCCAAAGCCAGGGACATATCTCAATATTGTGTTCTTATTTCCAAACCCCTTTCTATGTTGGTAAGAAAACCAGGGGGAGAGAGGAACTAGAGGGTACGAATGGTAAATGAACTTAACCTTCAAACTCATCATTTTTTACCATTATTATTTCACTTACACATTTGCTGCGTTACAGGAACTGCTGAGTAAGAAGCCATGAAAATCTTTGTCAAACACACGGTTGCCTCTCCCTGAACTCCCTTCTACCCATCAAACACCATAGCCTGTCTGCCACCTTCAACATTGGCTGATGACTTCTTATTTTCTACTCACTATGCTTGGGGAGCCAACTAGACTTACCAGCAAAATCAGGTGCATGTGTATAAGACACAGTTAGACTCAATAAACAGATTCAGTCTAAACTTCCATTGTGTGTGGGGACAGGGATGGGGAACATCTTGGGTGAGGCAAAGAAAGGACCACTGGTCTTACCATAAGATTTTCCAAACAAACTTGAACTTTTAAAATAACTTGATTTAAAAATCAAAGGAACAGATTTAAAGTCTTGTTTTTGATATAATGTCCTTTTAAACAGAATTTGAATTAAAGAGTGGGTTGGAAGATTGGGAGGAATGTTAGCAGAGAAGTGCAAGTGGAAAAAAAGATAAAAATAAATGTTGTTCTCATTATATCCTTTTCTGATTGCATTTGGTGGCGAAATGATCAGTAGACTTGTTTTCCAGTCTCAATTCAATTTCAATATTAGCACGTAACCTTGGGGGAGTCACAAAGCCTTTCTTATTGTCAATCTTTTCATTTGTACAATGAGGATATTTGTAGAATTAGACAACCTCTAGTTTAATGGCTAATGAATTGTATCATTTTTCTCAGGATCTACTAAACTCTCAGATCTTTCCATTAATCTGAATCACAGCTTAAACTCATAGTTATCCTGACAACCTCATGACAAGCAAAATATCAGCTGATCAAATACCATTTGTTTCATCTATAGGACTGTTCATTAAACACAAAAAATAATTTCCCCCTTATCTTCTACAGCGAAAACCTACCCAAACTGTGGGCTCAGGGCTAACTCTAATAAAATACCATGTTGGACTCAGACCCCTCTGATCTAATTAGTATAACCTGTATTTGATGTGGAATGCTTTCCTGGCTCCAGAAAGAATTGTATTTTGTTAGATATTAAGAGACTTGTTATTTAGTATTAGTGGGAACTGGAGAGATAAGTTAATTGGTCTAGAGCAAACTTGAAGGCAGTGTGTAGCCCTATAGGTATAGGGAAGGGTCTAGCCCTTAGTTCTGACCTGGAGTTTGGGTTATTCTGAATACTGTAAACTCTCCAGGGAATTTATATTAAGGAAAATTAGGGCTACTGTTGCTGGATGAAATTATTGATTTAGACGGAAAATGACACGTTCATTATTTTAATTGAGGTGTTCAGTTTGGCAATTTAAGTAAGGGTTGTAAAAATGATCAAGAAATAAGGATCAAAGAACCTAAACTATCATAACTCTCCAAAATCCATCTGGACCAGCTCTCTTCCTCTAGGAAGATGGGGCCTAATCCCCAAGAAGGAAGTCAGTCAATGATTTTCTTTCCCTTGATCCACAACATGTACTGCTAGAAAGTTGTATTTTATGTCTCACCTAGAAGTCCCTTTGGCAGTGTAAGCATTTTGGAAAACAGTCCATGGTGGAAAGTGTCCTGGGCTTTTGGCAGTTTCCTGACAAGTTTTGTTACAGGTTTCATTTGCTCTTTTAATGGGATTTTTCTCTGAGCTATTGGCAGTCAGAGAGGTTCAGACAACTGGCTGAACAGGAGGCATCATAGGATCATAGAATTGTAGAGCTGGAAGGAACTCCTGGGCTTGCCATTCAGACAGCAATCATTTTGTCTTAGGTTCAGCTAGGAGGTAGCGAGGCCGGGATGATTGTATCCAATCCTTTTTGCCACATGACTAGACTGATAGAGACCTTTAAATGTCAACAAAGCAATTTTGAATGGGATTCAGAGCTCACTAGGAAGCTGGTATCAAAGCTGTGATGTTAGAGGACTCATAGAAACCAAACGCCTTGCTGCATCCCAAAGGCAGCGTTTTGCATGGGCTTCAGGCTGCCACAGCTTTATCGGCATGTCTGCATTTGCAGTGATGCATGCTAGAAGCTATGGTGCAGATCTCTGTCGCCACATCTGTGAAGGTCAGACGCCACCTAGAGATATTCAAGTCTCCTTTGTTTCCCATCTTCCACTCACAGGGATTGGTAACAGTTCTTTCAAAGACTGGGCTTTAAGGAATTGACAGCAGGTAGAGAGGGAACAAACAGCATGTGAATGCAGAGCAAGTGGTGGAGGCCGGCACAGGGATTAGGGGCACCATGATTAAATTGGCCTCGAAAGCCCACACATCCACTCACAGACTAGACATGATTATGTTCCTGTTTGTCTCTGTGCAAAGCCAACTACTTCTACCCTGGTAGGAGTCACTGGAGAGGTTAGGAGAGATAAAACCAAAATCTAGATTTCCCTGGTCAGTCTATTGATTCTCTATTAAATTGCAAGAAATCAAAACAGATCACCAAGGTTTTGTCTGTCAGCTGATGTTTGTGTATCATATGTATGCAAAGTCTCAGAGCCAGGAGGGCCTGTACTCCACACCAAATCTCCTATGCATTAAAATCAGGGTGGCGCCTCATGAACACTTCACCTATTGTTCTTTCATTGCCAAGTGGGGAGAGATAATCACCAAGGTACGCACTTACAAGACCAGTCTAGAGACCTCACAAGTCAGGGTGAGTCGAGCAACTCACTTGGGTAAGCTTTCATAGATCCACCCATCTTCCCATTTACCCACCCATCTGTTCATTCATTTATCCATCCCTCAAAAAAATGGCTCAGCCTACCATGAACTGAGTTGAAGCTAAGTATACCTTGGTTAAAAACAAACAAACAAACAAACAAACAAACAAAAACAGACCTGGGCTTCATCCTTGCCATTATTTTATAGTCTAGTAATGGAGTCTAGTCCTCAGTCTTAGAGAGAACAGCTAAACTGCTGGTAAATTATTTGTCTGATTTTCTTACCTTATATGTGTATGAAAATCTGTTATTAGGTGCAAGTAAATTGGTGAGTACTACCACAGTGCACATGATGAAATAACGGAGAATAAGACAGGGGTAGAGGGAGGTTTCCATAGGTAGAATGATCCAGAGAAGGGCTTCTGGAGAGAGGACACCTAGGCTGAGGCCTGAAGGATAAGAAGGGACCAGGGATGAAAAGAGCAGACAGAAGAGCATTTCAGGCAGAGGGAGCAGAATGAGGGGAGGCAGTGAGGTGGGGGAATAGCTCAGCATGTTTCAAGGGACTGAAAGAAGCCATCGTGGCTGGGCTGGGTAGGTGAGGGAAAGAGTGAAATGGAATGAAAGGGAAGGGGACAGAAGCCACATCATGTAGGTGGTTGAAGGCCATAATAAAAAGTGGGATTTTATTTTAAGTGCAATGGCAAGACATTGGAGGGAGGGATGGAGGTATAAAGGATTCTTTGAGCTGCTGTGCCCAGAGGAAATTGGAGGAGGGCAGTAGCAGATGTCGGGAGGCCATTACACTCAAATAAAGTGAGAAATGCTGGCGGCTTAGACTGGAGTGAATGTGGGGCAGAGCTGGCTGCCCACCATTTTTGGAGCACTCAGCCTGAGCCATCTGTGCCCACGAATGCTGTTGGAGGATTCTGCTAGGCAGCCATCATCAACCTGCCCCTTCCTTTGGTTGTTGGGAGTCAGGTGATCAGCACCAGGTACCGTGTCCTCCTCTCACGTAGCAATTGCTCAATGGCGTTTCACGAGTGATGGTATAGCAGGCTGCATAATGAGGGACCATTTGTCCCTAAGGGTGTCTAGGCCCTAGTCTCTGGGACCTGCAAACAAGATGCCGCCTATGGAGAAAGGAACTTTGCTGATGTGGTTAAGAATCCTCAGATGGGGAGTTATCCTGGATTATCCAGATGAACCTGATGCAATGGCAAAGGTCCTTATAAGTCAAAGGCAGGAGCAGGAGACCTGATGATGGGAGAAAGAGGTTGGACAGCTGCTATGAGGGGCCACGAGACAAAGCATGCAGGCAGCCTCTGGAGGCTGAGAAAAGGGAGGAAACAGACTCTCTAGAACCTGCAGGTAGAACCAGCTCCGCAGCACCTTGACCTTAGCCTAGGAAGACTGCTTTGGTCCTCGGCATTTCAGAACCGTAAGGTCATAGATTTATGTTGTTTAAGGCCACTACGTCTGTGGTGATCTGTTACAGCGGCAGTAGGAAACTAACATAGACAGCAATGCTGAGTACATTGTGGAGGCTTAAGGCCCACTTCACTGGCAAGATCTTTCTCTTCACCTCCAAAACTCCATGTTCTAGACCCACTGGGAGCTAGAGACTGGCTCCCATTCTCATGCATCCCTGGCTCTTTCCCTTCTGCAGAGCAGCCATTGAGGGAATTCAAGGCTTGGGCATCTGGAAGTGGGTGGGCTCAGGAGACATAACCAAGAAAAGCAAACAAAAAATGCATTTGTTTTATTTCTTTTTCATTTTTTATAAAAGTCCATTTTAGTCAGTCTAGGGAACAATGGTGAGAGTGTCATGTCTTTAGAACCAGCATTTGTTGGCAAATGCCTGGTCTGGTTCTCCTCCATGATGTAATGCCTCCTCTGCTTCACGCAGACCACACTCTGGAGCTTCCCACCCATTCTCTAGCCTTGGCCTTTCTCCCTTGCCCTCTCATCTCTTTCTCCAGTCTTTCTTCATCCCAAGCAGATGGAGTGTGTACCCTTAGACCTGGAGTCCAGCACGCAGGCCCCTGCGGGTGTGAGATGGGCTGGAAGCTTGAAGAGAATTCGACCCGGAGGGAGAAGCATGCCATCTTATTAACTGCAACTTTACTTCAAGAAATCACGCATTTGACCTGAGATCAGTATGTCCTGTATCTGGCTGCAATCTGCCTCCTCCCCTGGAGCCTAGGGAATGGCTGACTCTCATGCTTCTTGCCCTGGATGACCAAAGGCCCTTGGCTAATATTTTTTCTGTGAAGCGACAGGGTTCACCTGTGCAAGAGAGGACAGAGGCATCTAAGAAGATTTCCAATCCCGCCTGCACATGGCCCTTCTCCTGCCTGGAGGCCGGTGTGCAGCCCTGCCTGGGGGGAGAGGAGGCATCAGAGGGATGCTGAAGGTTCCTTTGGATCCTTTGACCTTTTCCCACATAGACTCTTTTTTTGATACCAAGACTAATGATCTGGTAACCCTCCAGAAAGGCATCCAGGAACAGGGGCTTAATTAGGACTCATTTATAGGAAGCTACTGCATATGCAGTTCCAGCCGGTTTCCCTAAGGGCCCATGGAGGAGATGACGGGGAGGTGACGTGGGTCAAGATTTAGACTCTCCCTTTCTCAGAACTGTCTCCTATATCCTACCTGGTTCATGCTTCCCATGCTCCACCTCAAATTTTAAACAAAGCAACTGCTGACTAACCTACATATCTTTATTAAGAACTACCCACCTTAGCCTAGGGAGATGCATATTTAGCATTGTGATTATTTGGGGTTAGCTATTTTCTTCTTATGAATACACATGAGGATTTTCCTTTTCCTCGTAACTTTGTTATGGTGGCTGCCTTGCTAATAAGGGTTGTGCCTGTAAATGCATTTTACTTCCATAATTATTGGGGGATTTACATGCTCTCTGGAGATATTAACTGTTCTGATGTCCTGTGAGTAGGCAGTGGTCAGGAGCACAAGCCCGTGAAGAATCCGTGGATGGAATAACACTGAGAGTTTGCAAGTTCAAATCTGAGCCCTGCATTTTGTCCACAACGTAGTTAACTTGATGTAGGCATCCCGTCTACTTTGCCTGATGGAGGAAGGGAAGGGGTGTGGTTTATTTTGTCTGAGCACAGGAGAGCTCAGGATTCTGATAGGCTGTTGCAGGGATAGCTGGGACATCTGAGAACAGTCACATTTGAATGTTTCAGAATATTTCAGAACTTGATGCCTGGCCAACTTCAATCTGCTGCCTGCCTTCTTCCTCCTCTGCCAGATTCTCCATCACACCCTTGCCGGGGTCTGAATGTGTATCTCCTCCCCACAAGGTTTCCCATCTTCAGTCTGATTACAGAATATTACCACTGGAACCAGGTGCTTGGAAGTCAGTGTTAGATTGAGAAATGTATGTCACGTACCTGAGTCTTTAAGGGAGCCATTAGTTTTTGATCAGGCGCAAATTAAGTAGAAAATCAGAAGCGGCAAAGTCCTTCTGGAATCTGCTCTGTGACAAATTTCTTGGGCAAATCTCAGAATCCCCCAAATTAACAAGCATCTTTCAAAGTAAATTGGGCCATCCTCCCCGCTCCAAATCATACAGAACCTGAGCACTTCTAGACAACTATCTGGGCAGGAAATTGTATGAGAGCACTTTTCCCTCTCCCGCCCTTCCAAGGAATGTATACCAGTATAAATCAAGACGTCAGCATGCAGGAAGTCATTGCAGATGGCTAATTTTACTCCTTCCTCCTACACTTCAAATCCACTTGCTTATCTGATGCATTTTACATGTGAGATTTATTTTTCCTTCTAAATTTTAAATAGTTGTTGAATATTGAGGGAATCATCAGCTTAAGATCAGGGACTATATATCTTCCTGCTCTTGTTTCTACTTTATAACCATGAATGAAGTAGTCTGCAAACAGAAAATAATCAATAACAAGATCTACTTTTGCTGAGCATTTATTATGTGCCAGGAATTGTATTAGATGCCCTACATCTTTGCTACACAAAGTGTGGTGCCAGGACTATCAGCATTTTCATCACATGGGAGCTTTTTAGAAAGGCAGACTCTCAGGCCCCATCTCAAAGTTGAACAAGATTCAACATTTGAACAAGATCCTTAGATTATACATATGCATATTATAGCTTCAAAGGTGCTGCTTTGCATCCTTTCACTTATTACTTAGAGTAACTCTAGGATGTAGGACCTATTGCACCACTTTATAGATGAGAAAACTAAGGCTCTGGAAAATTAAACAAGTTGCCTAAGATCTCACCAACTAAGTGTCTGATAGGGGATTTAAATTCAATTTTCTGTTTCTCCATATTCCATGCCTTTCTAGTTCTGCTATGATGAGTTAGAGGAGAATCCATTCATAGTAAAGATTCAGCACCCCCAAACATCTGCATTCTCTAAGTTTTGAAGTTTTCTAGAATAAGGCTGATGTCGTTAAACTGTTTAAAGGTGTGGACCTGTAGGACCTCTACTAGTGTGTGTAGTTCATTTATTCATTCACACAAAACATGCTGTTGTTGCTGAGCTTCTTCCTATTGGTAAGTGGTGGCATGATAGGTGCTTCCAGGGGCACAAAGTCGACTAAAGGGCTTGGTGCTTGCCTGGAAAGATGTTTGTTGCTGACAGTCGTGAAAAAGCTAGCAGCCCCGAGACCATGAGCGCTTTCTGATGTCAACTCAGAATCCGCAAAAGAGGCAGGCTGCCTGGAGGTCAACAAATCCAAACTGACTTGCAGGTAATAAAGTATCTCGTTCTGTCTGCATTGTCAGTCAGGGTGCAGCACCTTCCATCTCTTATCTAGGAAGGGAACTGTAGACAGCAATTCCAGTTCCTCCAGTGACATCAGCAGCCAGACTCTGCATTCCAGCACACATTGCTCATAAGTAGGGTGTTTCCATTTCCCCGAGGCTTCTTTAGGAGGAGGCTACAAGTGGTGCCCACCTGACCAGCTGGTTAGGGAGGTAACCCTGTGTGTTTAACTTCCACTTCACCCTCCCTTCTGAGTGGAGAATGAGCTTGAAGCTGCCATGCAAATAAACTCTAATGACTTTCTTCTTGCATTTACATTATTAGGCGTTCCTTTGACTGACGTTATGATGATAAATGAAAAATGCCTTGCACCATTACATCAAGCACTAATGCAGAATAGGAAGAATTTCTGCTCTCTCACTTATTTTAGGGAAAGAAAGGAAAAAAAAGAAAGAAAATAGCAGATGGGAAATCAATTGGATCCCTATGTCCTGCTAAGGTATTTGCATACAGGCTGCCAGGAGCTCAGTGCCACTCACACTGCACTGGAGACAGGGTCTGTGTCTCTTCCTTGCCTCTTCTGTACTGCAAAGTCTGTGCCAGCTGAATTTCAGTTTCTCAGGGATGTACGAACCACTTAGACCCATTTGACAGGCAGGCAAACTGAGTTATGCACCTTCCTCAAGTTATTTCAGATAAATGCCTGGAGGATCTGATTGACCTGTGAAGCAGCATGTTTATCTCAGCAGGAGCATGCTGATAAGTTACCGTCTAGTTTGCAATTGCTTAGTTGTTTTTTATTTCTTTTCTTTTCTTTTTTTTTTTTTTTTTTGGCGCAATCTTGGCTCACTGCAAGTTCCGCCTCCTGGGTTCATGCCATTCTCCTGCCTCAGCCTCCAAGTAGCTGGGACTGCAGGCACCCACCACCATGCCTGGCTAATTTTTTTTTTTTTTTTGTATTTTTAGTAGAGACAGGGTTTCACCGTGTTAGCCAGGAAGGTCTGGATCTTCTGACCTCGTGATCTGCCTGCCTTGGCCTCCCAAAGTGCTGGGATTATAGGCGTGAGCCACCACGCCCAGCTTTTTTTTTTTTTATTTTTTTATTTTTTTTGAGACAGAGTCTCGCTCTGTCACCCAGGTTGGAATGCGGTGGCTCGATCTTGGCTCATTGAAACCTCCGCCTCCTGGGTTCAAGCAATTCTTCTGCATCAGCCTCCCAAGTAGCTGGGATTACAGGCACCTGCCACCATGCCTGGCTAATCCTTTTGTATTTTTAGTGGAGACAGGGTTTCATCATGTTGGCCAGGCTGGTTTTGAACATCTGGCCTCAAGTGATCCACCTGCCTTGGCCTCCCAAAGTGCTGAGATTACAGGTGTTAGCCATTGCGCCTGGCTAGTTGTCTCCTTTTAATGTGATATTTGATACCTCTTGGAGTGTTTGTTTTTGGTTTAGGTGGGCTGAGAAATAATTCAAATGAAATAACTGATGTGCAAGTTTCTGTGCAATCTCTGGCCATAGTTTCCCAAAAACGCCCTATAGTTCCTGCCGCGAGTTACAAACCCTCACACCTAAACAGTTTGGCTTCAGGTGCCTCAATCAATAGCAGCTCTTTGATGTTAAGGCTCAAAGACACTAAAGCAAATAATATACACATTAAAAGCCCAACAACATGATAACGGGAACTTAGAACTCTGAGAGAGGAAAAAGTCCAAAGGCTTCCCTGAAGCCAGGGTCGAATATTGGCTATCCTTCACAATCACTAAAACAACATATTGATAAGACACAGCCAAGTTCATGGTTTCTGGCACTAAGGAAAGCCCCACACCTGCATAGTGTCAGTAGTGCCTTTGAGGGAGAAGGGCAAAGCAGGATCACTTAGGAGATTTTGAAGCCTGGTTTAAGGCAAGTCTCTCAATGCAGGAGCTAGGGAGGGGGCTGATCAGTATCTATAGGAATCATGATGTAATCATGTAGGATCACTGGATATAAAGAGTTTGGGGGTAGAAACTGTCCTTTAATTTTTTTTTTCTTTTTTGGTAGCTTAATGGGTCTTTCGGTAAGTTCTTGGGAGGAACAATAAAGTTATTTGCAACTGTTATCTTCCTGGGCAGTAGTAGAGTTGTGTTGAGGAAGACAGTAAAATAGTCAAGACTTGTTAATGTAGCTGGTAATGTGTGCAGAAATCTTGGACTCTCACCAGGCGAGACATGAGGCTGATAGTGGTGGAGATGCTTTCTGGAGGTGGTGACCAATGGCCACGCCTGCTGGGAGGTTGCCAGTGTCCCACTTTGGGAGGCATCACTGAGGGCTGGGGGGTCTTTGAGGCGTATGCTTCAAGCTCCTTGTCCTCATTAGGCCAAGAGGTCATCTTTCCCTTCAGATTCTTCTCAACCTTGCTGAAGACTCCTAGTGGCCATAATCTGGGTGTCAGGATGAAGTCTGGGAACTGAGTGCACATCCCTGATTCCATACACACATTTCTTTGTGGACCCCTTGAGTGAGGAGGACAGAAATCCTGCTCCAGGACAGTGGTGGGAAGGGTGGCTGCACAGGGGTTAAGAGCCATGGGAAGCCAGTGCATCCCCACAAGGGCACGACCCTGAGCTCCTCCACACACCCGAGGAACCCTGCTTTTAGCTCAAAGGAGCCCCGTATGCTGTGGAGAATTCCTCTGCTACCAGCCTCTGAGAAGTTGTACTGAGCAACTGTGAATAAGAAACAATTAAATTTGCTAAAGGTCTGCGAAATCAGATCTAATCTCTTTGGGGACTTGGAAAAAACAAGCAAACAAAAGAGCTGAGTTATCGATTGCTGCATTTCGGCGGCTCTTAATCTGAAATGAAATCAGGACCCAAAGGCCAGAGACCCCGATATCCATTCTGCACTTGTCGGAAGGCCCACCTGTCAGAGCCCGAACTTCTGCTCAATGGCTAAATTAGTAGGCAAGTGGCAGGTTGCAGAGAGCTGTGGCCATTGGGCTTTCTTGGGGCACGAAAGCGGAGGAAGAGCTGGCATATTTTCTTAAGTGTAAAGCAGTGGAGTAAATTGAGTTCACTGGGTCAACATTCCTCCTCCTCTATCCACAGAAGCACCTCACCCAATCAGCAGACTTTCTCTCCAGCCTTAGATCTCCCTCTTATGAGATGCTGTCATTCTATTATCCTCCCCCAAGTTGGTCTTTACCCCTTTGACCTTCAGAGGTGGAGAGGGCAGGAGGGCAATGGTTCTGGTGGTCAGGGGCTTGCCAGGAAGGAGAAAGATGCTGACCTTGAATAAACGACATATGTAGCTTTCCTGAGTTAGGTTGCATCTGGGATGCAGTGAAAGGTAGCAGCAGTCTCGCTGTGGCTGTCCAGTCCAGAAGCAGAAGACCGGCACCTGAGATATCAAGGTATCCAATTTGGGAATGCTTTTTCTGTGGGTGTGTAGAATTGCAGGAAAGACCATAGCATATTCCCTGAAGTGAACCCAAATAAGGTCTGGGATAAAAAATCTGAATCTTTAGGCATTAACTGTGAAAATGTCTAGTCAGAATGTCTTTAAAATGGCAGCTTCTCTTATCAGTGTATTTGTGCTGAGAAAAAAAAATAAGTATAGCTTCTCAGTTTACCTTCTCTGATCCAGGGACAAGAAAGAAGAAAATGACCACTACCTCTTCTTAATAAGACCCCTTGATCTCTACACTCTCCAGAAAACCACATCAGGATTTACCTCACAGGGTGGACAAATCTGAAACATTCTAAATAAAAGTTTGAAATTCCCATTTTGCAGTAAATGTGACTGGGCCTCCCTTAATGCCTCCTGTCCCTCGGTGTTCTACCTGTACTTCCCACTTCACCTGGTGTCTCAGCTAAACTTCTTGAAAGTGGGTCTCTAAGTTTTCAGTTATCGTGTATTACACAGTTCATTGCAAATCAACTTCCATCAGGACATGTGTCAAGGTCAACCATGACCTTACCATTGACTCATCTTTTCATTTCTTCAACACAGTTGCTTTGAAGGGTTGGCATGATGGGCCTCCATCCTTGAAGTGCTTTGCAATCTTGACCCCCAGGTCGCTGTATTCCTCTGCTCCTCCTTCTGCCTCCGTGAAAACCCATGTTTGCTTTTCTTCTTTTCTCTGAGCTAATATCGATATCTGTTGAGGTTTCATCCTTGTCTCTCTTTTACATGTCGACATACCATCTGGGTGATCTCTTTATTACATGACTTCTACTCTCAGTTTCACAAAGATGACTCTGAAATTTACATCTTTCACCAGATCTCTCCCCTGGGATCGAGGTTCATGTTTCCACCTACCCATTAAACATGTGGACTTGAATATGCAAGAGGCCTCTCAAACTCAGTATGTAGAAAACGTTATTCTCAAACCTTCTCCTCCCCTTGATGTTATTATTGGGATCGATAGCATCTCAACCACCTGGCGGCCCAAGCTGAAACTGTTGGTACGCCTGTCACTCTTCTCTCTGCCCACCTCCTTATTCAGTGTAAGTTCACACTTCTTAGCTGAGCACGTGAACATCACCGTAAGTTGGCCAAAACTGCCTTTCCAGGCTGCACCTGCATCCAACCTGGGCCAGTTTTCTACACTTGCATATTTCCTCCCTACTTCTTGATTTATCTACATATATCTACTATGTGTGGCCTCTTTCCTCTTCCATGCCCTCAGTGCCTTATCCTATGAGACCTGCTTTGGATGGTGGCCCTCTTGCATGCCCTCTCTATTCTCCTCAATGGACCTGGCCACCTCCTCGTGGTCACTCCCACACGACATGCTTCCCCCTCTTTGTGTCACACTGTGTGTGACACATCTGTCTTCATCCCCTAGACTTGAGGAAAGAACAGGAAGAAATTAATACTTTAATCTTTGTATCATTTCAACCTCTTAGCACAATTTCTGACACATAGTAGAGCCTCAAAAAAACCTGGCCTGATAATTGAATAAATGCTTGGATTAGAAATAAATTCTGGGGGTGATGGCTCACGCCTATAATCCCAGCACTTTGGGAGGCTGAGGCGGGTGGAACATTTGAGGTCAGAAGTTCAAGACCAGCAAGGCCCACATGGTGAAACCCCATCTCTACTAAAAATACAAAAAAAAAAAAAAAAAAAAAAAAATTAGCCAGGCCTGGTGGTGGTTACCTGTAATCCCAGCTACTTGGGAGCCTGAAGCAGGAGAATTGTTCGAACCCAGGAGGTGGAGGTTGCAGTAAGCCGAGATCGTGCAGCTGCACTCCAGCCTGGGTGACAGAGTGAGACTCTGACTCAAAATAAATAAAGAAATTCTGCTCCAGACTAGGTGAGTCATAAAAGTATATATGGTTCTACCACAGAGCCCTCACCTGAGAACTGGAAGGTGGTGATGCTTTGCGTCTGATTTTTAAGGGATTGAGGGATGGTGACAAGAAAACTGAAAATGAACGTTGTGATTCCCTAAGCCTCTCAGGAGAGAGATGCCAAGGGAGGGGGTAGCTGCCTTGTAAAAGAGTTCAAAGAGCATAGGAGAAATGGGGAGAACACCTGGGTTCTCCATTCCTTCACAGTGTGCACAAGGACCCCCCGCCCAGCCTCAGGGTTCTATTTGTAAATAGGGTCAAGAGACCCACTCTACCAGGTTGTTGCGAGAACTCAGTGAGTGCCCTAAGTGTTTTCACAGTCATTTAGGAACCCAGATTTGAGTGTCATTACTTTTTAGAGCAATCATCTGTGATGCTAATGATAATGATGCTTGTGAAAAAAATAAGAATAATAAGGACAAAAAGTGACACACAAATAAATAGCTGTTTATCTCGCATAGGAGTGGGGAAACAAATGAAAATATTGGAGAACACCAGAGCCACTTAAATTGACAACTCTGGTGTTTCCATATATGCTATTTGAACACATCCAGCTGGGGGTCTCTCGTGCAAACAAATGGTAAAGAATGCATTTTTTTCCTGTCTCCATATCACCAGGGTTTTCTGCTCACACAGTGTTGCGCTAATTGCATATTCAGTAGGATTTATAATGCAATTATGAATTCATACCATAAACGTTTCCTGGTCTCCTGAAATAGCTTGCATTTCCTTCAGATGTGTCCCAAGGCACTCTGATCTTACCCTTATTATGGCACTGACATTGTAATTGTTGGTTTACTTCTCAGTCTGTCCCAAATATTATTGGAGCTTTAGGACAGGAACTGTATCTTGTTCAGTATACTCCTGTTACCTAGTGTCGAATGAAGCACTTAAGTTTTGCTCCAAAGCTATTTGCTGGCCTTTACTCATTCATTAAATACCTATTTGTGGAGTGCCTGTCACTGTGCTGGGCGCTGGGATATGGCAGCATCAACCATGTTCACTCACAGAGACTATAGCCAGGAAGGGAGTGGCCATACAGAATTATTTAATGAACGCTGTAATAATTGCAATAAAACAAAAATACAACATGCTTAAGGCATGTACAAGGGTCCCAACCATGTGTGAAGGCATAGGTAGTTCTTTGAGAAAAGTATATTTTTAAACTATGAGGAAGACTTATCCATACAAAGAGTTCCAGGGATGGGGGTGGAGCTAGGTGGGTGAAAGGAAGAATCCAGAATGACTGAAGAGCAGAAAATCTAGGATGGGAAGGTATATGGACTGCTGTGATGGCCACACATCTGAAATCCAGGGAGGTATGAGGACTTGCTTTCTCCAGGTTCCAAGTCCATTAATAGCAGAATAAGGACTGGAATCCACAGCTTTTTCTCCTGGGCCACACTGTAAACATACAGCTGTGGTTAGGAAAACGAGAGGAAGCCTTGAGTGATGAGAGAGTGACAGTGGGCAAAGATCCAGACTGATTACACAAAGGGAAGAGGCAAGTTCACCCTGAAAGTTGCATCATGTTCAGTGGCACTCCATGCTTCTTCCTGAGCCCTGGCACTTGTGCTGTACCTTATCACAGCACTCCAGCAGGGCTGACAGGTCCTCTGCCCCCCACCATGGGCCTTGCCTGTTTTCCTCTGTTGGAGGGTCTCCCTGCAGGCTACAGCAGCCAGGACCTTTCTGGGCCACACAGTCTGAATGACCTGCTCTTCCTGAATGCTCTCTCCTGGCAGCGTTCTGCGGGCTGCCGCCCTAATAGCCTGTCTCCCCACAGGCCCCAAACATGTTGCTGGATCAGAGTTAGTATCTTTCCCACCCGCCAGGCTGTCCCCCGAGGGACTGCCGTCTCCTGCAAGCTGTAGGGAGATATGCTACGGTGATTCATATTAGCTTGATTTGCAGCCGTTCCACACAGTGTCGCAGAGACCTGCAAAATCCCCACAGTCTTGATTAGGTTTGCCTTTTGCTGTTTATCAGTGGTACCTGTCTATTTTTATAGCCACCCTTCAGCCAAATTCAGGATTGCAGCTTTCACGGTGGGAATCATTCCCTGGTCATGTGCATCTCTCATTCGGGTGTCTTGTGGGCAGTGGGAGAGGAAAGGAAAGCAGAAAGGATGCCCGAGGGGAAGGTATTTGACATTGTGAGGGCTGCTTTTCTGGTGAGGGCACCGGTCCTTGGTATTCTCTTCCTGGCCAAAACATCTCCCTCCTTAGACCCCTCACATACTTAAACTTAGTTGAGTTGGTGGGTGGACAAGATGACAGGCAGATGATGAGATAAAAAGATAACATTAAGCGCATTCCCAAAATGCCAGAATCTCTAGGCAGAATGCCAAGTTGTCCTCTCACCCAGTGCCCACCTCTGCATCTCAGGTTAAGAGAGTAGCCCAGGCCAGTGATCTGCTTACCTGCTTCCCTCCACAAGGAAGAAGCTCTGGGCAGCAGAGACTCTCGTGCTCATGAGCCATCCCCAGCCCCCGTGTGGCTGGCCCAACATCACTCATGATTGCAGTAAATATTTACCTTCTCATCTGTTGCTCACAACCACCCTGGATCTGGATAAAGTCATTTTGGCTTCTATGCCCATTTCACAGATGGAGAGGTGACCCTCTCAAGGTTACACAGAGCCTGGAGCCAAGCGTGCATCTCCTAATGTCACAGCCACTGGGTGAGGGTCTCCTTGTTATCCCAACCCAGCTCCCAGGGAGTTTCCTCACAGTCCAGCAAAGAATCCCACTCCCTACCCCTCCCCATCAGACACTCCCCCACACCCAACCACCACGCAAACTTCCCTGTTTGGAGTGGTAGAGGGAGGGATGATAAAAGGTATAAAAGAATGAAACATTCTTATGTTTGATGATTCCTATTTGATGAATGAAAACAATATTTAATGAGTGCAGGAGGTTTTGAACCTACCTAAAATGGAGGGAAGATTTAGCCCTCTGCATTTCCAAGACCTCATCTTTGTCCTGTGTGAATTCTTACCATTAATAGCAAAATTGCAGACAGGGGGAGTACTACATTCCTCCTTAAGAAGAGAATGCCATTGTTGACATGGGAAGATGGTTCTTGAGAAGGGGTTGGAGGTAGGCAAGCTCATTTGTTCTTTATTCCCCGCCAGTCCGTGAGGAAATGTCAGACAACAAGACCTATCCCTTCATGGACTCCATAGTTTAGTGAGGGAAAAGGATATTAAGTAAATAATTATCTCATTACAAATTGTGATGAGTGCTCAGTAGAATAAGTTTCTGTGTGAGAAACTGACAGAGGATCTTCTTTACATTGGAGGATGTTGGGGAAGACACCTTTGAGGAAGTGACAGTTAACCTGAGATGACAAAGATCAACGCTGCCTGGTTAAGTCTGGCTAATGAATTGTTCAAGACCACATGGTTAGGACAACTGAGACACAGTACAGTGGGGCTGCGGGGACTAGGGGTCAGAGGACCTCAAGTCTGAAACTTAAAAAATCGTGTATTTTTTGTGAAAATAATTAAATATCAATAGTACTACAAGTGTAATTTTCAAAAGAAAATTGACTTTACTCTCCTCATCCAAGAATTCCATTCTCCAAAGGCAACCATTTTCAGCTCTCACCTGTTTATTTGGATATTTACCTCCAGATTTCTCAGTAATGTGTTTATAGAGTTACTTCATAAATTCTAGACATTCATCTACTACAAAAGATGAAGATTTAGCATTCTTTTTTTTTTTTTTTTTTTTTTTTTTTTTTTTGAGACGGAGTCTCACTCTGTTTGCCCAGGCTGGAGTGCGGTGGCGCGATCACAGCTCACTGCAAGCTCCGCCTCCCTGGTTCATGCCATTCTCCTGCCTCAGCCTCCCAAGTAGCTGGGACTGCAGGCGCCCGCCACCACGCCCGGCTAATTTTTTGTATTCTTTTTAGTAGAGACAGGGTTTCACCATGTTAGGCAGGATGTTCTCGATCTCCTGACCTCGTGATCCCCCCGTCTCGGCCTCCCAAAGTGCTGGGATTACAGGCGTGAGCCACTGCGCCCAGCCTAGCATTCTTAAACCTGTCCCATCACATTTAATTCTTCCATTTTCCTAATAGATAGTTTTACATGACAATTATTCTTTGAATCAATTGTCAGTATTCAAATTATAAATATTAATGCAAATAAAACCAAGTGAATTATGATTACATTGACTTTCCTATACAACATTCTGTTTTTCCTGGAGTTACGTATTTTCTGTGTATGTCTATTTTTTCCCCACAGTTTTCCCATTTTCCTGCTGCCATCTGGAACTCCCATCACCACTAACCAGGCCTCTCTCCTATTTTGGAATCCCTGCCTCCAGGGCCTCATGACTTTTTATTTATTTATTATTATGATTATCTTTAAATTTCTCTTGTGTTTTGGAAGAGTGTACTTTTCAGTTACTTCCTGAGGAAAGGGTAAGCAACTTGCTTCACACATGACTGTTAGTTTGATTGGGTTTAGAATTTTCACCTCAGAGTAGTTTTCCTTCAGAATGTCCTCTATTCTCTAACTTCCATGGTGGCTCTTTAGAAATGTGCCTCTCTGATTCCTACATCTTTGTATGAGTTCTAGATATTTTTTTTTCCTTAGGAAGATTTTAGGCCACTCTTTTTATCCCTGCTATTTTGGAGTTTTCTTAGGTATACAAGGTGTTGATACAGACTTTTTAAAAAATTATACTTTAAGTTCTAGGGTACATGTGCACAACGTGCAGGTTGTTACATAGGTATACACGTGCCATGTTGGTTTGCTGCACCCATTAACTCGTCATTTACATTAGGTATTTCTCCTAATGCTATCCCTCTCCCTATCCCCAACCCCACAATAGGCACCGGGGTGGTAGGTTCCCCGCCCTGTTTCCAAATGTCTCCATTGTTCAGTTCCCACCTATGAGTGAGAACATGCGGTGTTTGGTTTTCTGTCCTTGTGATAGTTTGCTCAGAATGATGGTTTCCAGCTGCATCCATGTCCCTACAAAGGACATGAACTCATCCTTTTTATGGCTGCATAATATTCCATGGAGTATATGTGCCACATGTTCTCTATCATCGATGGACATTTGTGTTGGTTCCAAGTCTTTGCTATCATGAATAGTGCCGCAGTAAACATACGTGTGCATGTGTCTTTATACTAGCATGATTTATAATCCTTTGGGTATATACCCAGTAATGGGATTGCTGGGTCAAATGGTATTTCTAGTTCTAGATCCTTGAGGAATTGCCACACTGTCTTCCACAATGGCTGAACTAATTTACACTCCCACCAACAGTGTAAAAGCATTCCTATTTCTCCACATCCTTTCCAGCATCTGTTGTTTCCTGACTTTTTAATGATTGCCATTCTAACTGGTGTGAGATAGTATCTCATTGTGGTTTTGATTTGCATTTCTCTGATGACCAGTGATGATGAGTGTTTTTTTCATGTGTTTGTTGACTGCATAAATATCTTCTTTTGAGAAGTGTCTGTTCATATCCTTTGCGCACTTTTCGATGAGGTTGTTTGTTCTTTTCTTGTAAATTTGTTTAAGTTCTTTGTAGATTCTGGATATTAGCCCTTTGTCAGATGGTTAGATTGCAAAAATTTTCTCCCATTCTGTAGGTTGCCTATTCACTCTGATGGTAGTTTATTTCACTGTGAAGAAGCTCTTTAGTTTAATTAGATCCCATTTGTCAATTTTGGCTTTTGTTGCCATTGCTTTTGGTGTTTTAGTCATGAAGTCCTCGCCCATGCCTATGTCCTGAATGGTATTGCCTAGGATTTCTTCTAGAGTTTTTATGGTTTTAGGTCTAACATTTAAGTCTTTAATCCATCTTGAATTTATTTTTGTCTAAGGCGTAAGGAAGGGATCCAGTTTCAGCTTTCTACATATGACTAGCCAGTTTTCCCAGCACCATTTATTAAATAGGGAGTCCTTTTCCCCTTTCTTGTTTTTCTCAGGTTTGTTAAAGATCAGATGGTTGTAGATGTGTGGTGTTATTTCTGAGGCCTCTGTTCTGTTCCATTGGTCTATATATCTGTTTTGGTACCAGTACCATGCTGTTTTGGTTACTGTAGCCTTGTATTATAGTTTGAAGTCAGGTAGTGTGATGCCTCCAGCTTTGTTCTTTTTGCTTAGGATTGTCTTGGCAATGCGGGCTCTTTTTTGGTTCCATATGAACCTTAAAGTAGTTTTTTCCAATTCTGTGAAGAAAGTCATTGGGAGCTTGATGGGGATGGAATTGAATCTATAAATTACCTTGGGCAGTATGGCCATTTTCACAATGTTGATTCTTCCTATCCATGAGCATGGAATGTTCTTCCATTTGTTTGTGCCCTCTTTTATTTCATTGAGCAGTGATTTGTAGTTCTCCTTGAAGAGGTCCCTCACATCCCTTGTAAGTTGGATTCCTAGTTATTTGATTCTCTTTGTAGCAATTCTGAATGGGAGTTCACTCATGATTTGGCTCTCTGTCTGTTATTGGTGCATAGGAATGCTTGTGATTTTTGCACATTGATTTTGTATCCTGAGATTTTGCTGAAGTTGCTTATCAGCTTAAGGATATTTTGGGCTGAGATGATGGGGTTTTCTAAATATACAATCATGTCATCTGCAAACAGGGACAATTTGACTTCTTCTTTTCCTAATTGAATACCCTTTATTTCTTTCTCTTGCCTGATTGCCCTGGCCAGAATTTCCAGCACTATGTTGAATAGGAGTGGTGAAAGAGGGCATCCCTGCCTTGTGCCAGTTTTCAAAGGGAATGCTTCCAGTTTTTGCCCATTCAGTATGATATTGGCTCTAGGTTTGTCATAAATAGCTTTTATTATTTTAAGATACGTTCCGTCAGTACCTAGGTTACTGAGAGTTTTTAGCATGAAGGGCTGTTCAATTTTGTCAAAGGCTTTTTCTGCATCTATTGAGATAATCATGTGGTTTTTAACGTTGGATCTGTTTATGTGATGGATTATGTTTATTGATTTGCATATGTTCAACCAGACTTGCATCCCAGGGATGAAGCTGAATTGATCGTGGTGGATAAGCTTTTTGATGTGCTGCTAGATTCGATTTGCCAGTATTTTATTGAGGATTTTAGCATTGATGTTCATCAGGGATATTGGTCTAAAATTCTCTTTTTTTTGTTGCGTCTCTGCCAGGCTTTGCTATCAGGATGATGCTGGCCTCATGAGTTAGGGAGGATTCCCTCTTTTTCTACTGAGTGGAATAGTTTCAGAAGGAATGGTACCAGCTCCTTTTTGTACCTCCGGTAGGATTCGGCTATGAATCCGTCTGGTCCTGGACTTTTTTTGGTTGGTGGGCTATTAATTATTGCCTCAATTTCAGAGCCTGTTATTGGTCTACTCAGGGATTCAACTTCTTCCTGGTTTAGTATTGGGAGGGTGTATGTGTCCAGAAATTTATCCGTTTCTTCTAGATTTTCTAGTTTATTTGCGTAGAGATGTTTATAGTATTCTCTGATGGTAGTTTGTATTTCTGTGGGATCGGTGGTGATATCCCATTTATCATTTTTTATTGCATCTATTTGATTCTTCTCTCTTTTCTTCTTTATTAGTCTTGCTAGCAGTCTATCAATTTTGTTGATATTTTCAAAAAACCAGCTCCTAGATTCATTGATTTTTTTGAAGGGGTTTTGTGTTTCTATCTCCTTCAGTTCTGCTCTGATCTTAGTTATTTCTTGCCTTCTGCTAGCTTTTGAATTTGTTTGCTCTCGCTTCTCTAGTTCTTTTAATTGTGATGTTAGGGTGTCAATTTTAGATCTTTCCTGCTTTCTCTTGTGGGCATTTAGTGGTATAAACTTCCCTCTACACACTGCTTTAAATGTGTCCCAGAGATTCAGGTACGTTGTGTCTTTGTTCTCATTGGTTTCAAATAACATCTTTATTTCTGCTTCATTTCGTTATTTTACACAGTAGTCATTCAGGAGCAGGTTGTTCAGTTTCCATGTAGTTGTGTAGTTTTGAGTGAGTTTCTGAATCCCGAGTTCTAATTTGATTGCACTGTGGTCTGAGAGACAGTTTGTTGTGATTTCTGTTCTTTCACATTTGCTGAGGAGTGCTTTACTTTCAACTATGTGGTCAATTTTGGAATAAGTGCGATGTGGTGCTGAGAAGAATGTATATTCTGTTGATTTGGGGTGGAGAGTTCTGTAGATGTCTATTAGGTCCACTTGGTGCAGAACTGAGTTCAAGTCCTGGATATCCTTGTTAACCTTCTGTCTCGTCGGTCTGTCTAATATTGAGAGTGGGGTGTTAAAGTCTCCCATTATTGTTGTGTGGGAGTCTAAGTCTCTTAGTAGGTCTCTAAGGACTTGCTTTATGAATCTGAGTGCTCCTGTGTTGGGTGCATATATATTTAGGATAGTTAGCTCTTCTTGTTGAATTGATCCCTTTATCATTATGTAATGGCCTTCTTTGTCTCTTTTTATCTTTGTTGGTTTGAAGTCTGTTTTATCAGAGACTAAGATTGCAACCTCTGCTTTTTATTTGCTTTCCATTTGCTTGGTAGATCTTCCTCCATCCCTTAATTTTGAGCCTATGTATGTCTCTGCATGTGAGATGGGTCTCCTGAATAGAGCATACTGATGGGTCTTGACTCTTTATCCAATTTGCCAGTGTGTGCCTTTTAAGTGGGGCATTTAGCCCATTTACATTTAAGGTTAATATTGTTACATGTGAATTTGATCCTGTCAATATGTCAGCTGGTTATTTTGCCCGTTAGTTGATGCAGTTTCTTCCTAGCATTGATGGTCTTTACAATCTGGCATGTTTTTGCAGTGGCTGGTACCAGTTTTTCCTTTCCATGTTTAGTGTTCCTTCAGGAGCTCTTGTAAGGCAGGCCTGGTGGTGAGAAAATCTCTCAGCATTTGCTTGTCTGTAAAGGATTTTATTTCTCCTTCACTTATGAAGCTTAGTTTGGCTGGATATGAAATTGTGGGTTGAAAATTCTTTTCTTTAAGAATGTTGAGTATTAGCCCCCACTCTCTTCTGACTTGTAGAGTTTCTGCCGAGGGATCCTCTGTAGTCTGATGGGCTTCCATTTGCTGTTAACCTGACCTTTCTCTCTGGCTGCCCTTAAAATTTTTTCCTTCATTTCAACCTTGGTGAATCTGACAATTATGTGTCTTGGGGTTGCTCTTCTTGAGGAGTATCTTTGTGGTGTCCTCTGTATTTCCTGAATTTGAATGTTGGCCTGCCTTGCTAGGTTGGGGAAGTTCTCCTGGATAATGTCCTGAAGAGTGTTTTCCAACTTGGTTCCATTCTCCCTGTCACTTTCAGGTACACCAGTCAGACGTAGATTTGGTCTTTTCACATAGTCCCATATTTCTTGGAGACTTTGTTCGTTTCCTTTTACTCTTTTTTCTCTAAACTTTGCTTCTTGCTTTATTTCGTTAATTTGACCTTCAATCACCGATACCCTTTCTTCCACTTGATCGAATCGGCTGTTGAAGTTTGTGCATGTGTCACGTAGTTCTCATGCCATGGTTTTCAGCTCCGTTGGGTCATTTAAGGTCTTCTTCACACTGTTTATTGTAGTTAGCCATTCGTCTAATCTTTTTTCAAGGTTTTTAGCTTCCTTGTGATGGATTCGAACATCCTCCTTTAGCTTGGAGAAGTTTGTTATTACTGACCTTCTGAAGGCTACTTCTGTCAGCTCATCAAAGTCATTCTCCATCCAGCTTTGTTCCATTGCTGGAGAGGAACTGCAGTCCTTTGGAGGAGAAGAGACGCTCTGGTTTTTAGAATTTTTAGCTTTTCTGCTCTGGTTTCTCCTCATCTTTGTGGTCTTTATCTACCTTTACTCTTTGATGATGGTGACCTATAGATGGGGTTTTGGTATGGATGTCCTTTTTGTTGATGCTGATGCTATTCTTTTCTGTTTGTTAGTTTTCCTTCTAACAGTGAGGTCCCTCAGCTGCAGGTCTGTTGGAGTTTGCTGGAGGTCCACTCCAGACCCTCTTTTCCTGGGTATCACCAGCGGAGGCTGCAGAATAGCAGATATTGCAGAACAGCGAATATTGCTTCCTGATCCTTCCTCTGGAAGCTTCATCCCAGAGGGTCATCTGCCTGTATGAGGTGTCAGTCGGCCCCTACTGGGAGGTGTCTCCCAGTTAGGCTACTCGGGGGTCAGGGACTCACTTGGGGAGGCAGTCTGTCCGTTCTCCAAGCTCAAACACCATGCTGGGAGAACCACTGCTCTCTTCAGAGCTGTCAGTCAGGGTTGTTTAAGTCTGCAGAAGTTTCTGCTGCCTTTTGTTCAGCTATGCCCTACCCACAAAGGTAGAGACTACAGAGGCAGTTGGTCTTTCTGAGCTATGGTGGGCTCCACCCAGTTCGAGCTTCCCAGGATGCTTTGTTTACCTACTCAAGTCTCAG
Organism: Homo sapiens; assembly: GCF_000001405.40. Classification (NCBI taxonomy): domain Eukaryota; kingdom Metazoa; phylum Chordata; class Mammalia; order Primates; family Hominidae; genus Homo; species Homo sapiens. The sequence continues at coordinate 131,439,510 of NC_000011.10, forward strand.
CAATGGTGGATGCCCCTCCCCCTGCCAGGCTGCTGCCTTGCAGGTTGATCTCAGACTGCTGTGCTAGCAGCGAGCAAAGCTCTGTGGGCATGGGACCGGCCTAGTCATGCACGGGATATAATCTCCTGGTGTGCTGTTTGCTAAGACCATTGGAAAAGTGCAGTATTTGGGAGGGAGTGTCCCGTTTTTCCAGGTACCATCTGTCATGGCTTCCCTTGGCTAGGAAAGGAAAATCCCCTGACCCCTTGAGCTTCTCAGGTGAGGCGATGCCCTGCCCTGTTTCAGCTCACCCTCCATGGGCTGCACCCACTGTCCAACTAGTCCCAGTGAGATGAACCAAGTACCTCAGTTGGAAATGCAGAAGTCACCCATCTTCTGCATTGATTACGCTGGGCACTGCAGACCAGAGCTGTTCCTATTCGGCCATCTTAGGCTTTTTTTTTTTTTTTTAACTACTCTCCTTTGTACTTAATACATTTCTCTTCTATCAGTTTTGAAAATGTATCTTGTGGTATTTATTTTTTAATTTTCTCCTCTTATTTTCTTGTTTTCTTTCTGGCAGTTTTTTAAAAAGATGTTTTATTATTTTCTGTCATTTATATTTTCTATATTTTTTGTTCTGATTTCTAGGAGAGTTCTCCAACTTTATCCTCCTATATTTAAAATTAATGTTCCTTAAAAAAATTTAACCTATAACTTCTTTTAATTTCTAGGAGTTCTTTATTATTCTCTGCTTATTGTTATTTATTTATTTTTCTGTTGAGAGGTGGGTGCTAAAAAGCCCTTTGGAAGCTCTACACATAAGTTTGTTGACTCAAGGGCTTCTCTTTAGGTTAAGTGGGAGCTACACATTTTGGTGAAGATCCCTCAAGTGTCAGTAATTTTTTCTGTATTCTTGTGGGTGGCTTTTTCAGAGAAAACTTCCAATCTGCTTAAGTTCCTCCTTTTCTGACTCTACCATGCTTTATTACCAAGTGGTTCTCAAACTTAGACATGCATCAGAATCCCTGGGGAGCCTGGGACAACACAGTCTGCTAGGTCCCTGCCCCTTCACACTTTCTGATTCTGTAGGTCTTGGATGGCCCCTGAAAGTGCATCTCTAACAAGTTCCTGGGTGATGATGATTCTGTTGGTTTGGGAACTACATTTTTGAAAACCACTACTCTAGAGAATAAGCTCTCTATCTCTTCCCAGGAAAGCAGTTTAGCTCTCAGGTTCCACAGATGAGTGACGGAATGTAACTCTTCCTCATACAGACTTTCAACAGTTGTCTTGTTTTTTGTGCCACCCCTCACCACAGCCTCCATAAAAAAAAAAAAAAAAAAAAAAAAAAAAAAAAAAAAAAAAAAAAAAAATTCATGCCCGTGTCTGGGGGTTTGCAGCCTGAATCAGCTTGCTTCTCCTCCCCAGGCATTTCAGTTTTTGCTTTCCCTGCTTTGCTGAATCAGTTACCATTCATTCATCTGCTTTCCATCCTATACAATTTTGCCAACGTGTTTCATCTGCTGATGTTTTCTCTCATTTTATTTGTCTATATAGATTGTTTAAACCATTGTTTTAAAGGGGTATTGGGAGGAAGTAGAAGTTAATCCAGTTCTTCAGGCCACTGTAATTAGTCATGTCAGGAATTATTTTGATTGCAAGCCATTGTCTTTCTTTCCTATATTAAGCACAGCTCTTTTTGGTCATGCAGTTAGAATGAGCTGATGCGTCTCCAACCAAAGCCCAGAGACCGTGAATGTGCCATTATCCTAATCATGCAAAGCACTCTCATTTCTATTCTTGCTGAGGGAGGAATGCTTCCCAGAACTAAATTCCTAACTACGGAAAGAAGAAAAGGCAGTTTGAGAATTTCTTGACTGTTTGGAAATTTTTTCTAGCACAACAAGCTGTTTATCCTTTACTCTGATTCTTATTGAATTAAGGAAGGAGAAAAGAAATCAATTCACTCTCCATATGCTGCACAGCAAAAACCACCACTCACAACACTATGGAATATGTAGGGAAGGGGAAAAGAAGATAAATCCATCAACTAACAAGATAAGTGCCTTGTTCCTCCATCTGTTACTGCTGTGTCCTTATCTAGGATTGGAGCATGGCAGCTCCGATATATCTCGTGTCAGGTATTATATTCCAAACCCATATGAATGAATTTTCATGCTAGTAACCATCCATGATCTAGCCCAGCCACAGCTAAATTTGTCCTAAGGCACCAACTGTCTTTTGCATTTGGAAGTCCATTGAATTCACAGACTGGAATAGGGTTGTCTGCTGCTGCCAGAGGATGGTATCTCTCTGTAGCTTTTCCAGCACGGCTGTCTCTGTTGTGCTAGAGCTGGTGCTGATGACTTACTTGATTCACTCCTGAGGAAGTGCTGATGTTCTTCCAGGAGATAGGGAAAACACTGGAGGCCTGGAGAAAATGTCTATAGAAGGCCCATAGATGGGTACATCAACAAGAGATTGAATCATTATTTAGGTGATTGATTAGATGCACCACTCCTCAGATCACAGGGTAAAAATTCAGAAGACTGTTCAATTGGAATGATATCTCACGCTCTTCAGCAGCCCCAATTATGCGGAGATGATTTCCTCATTCACAAACAGTTTATTTTCAGGACTGAGCCTTAACTGAGCATCCAGGTGCAGAAGCGGAGATGATGACATGTGGCATGGGAACCCGTGATTGTGGCATTTTTGACAAGGGCTGAAAGTCGCAGTAGACAGATAAAACTTGTTTGCATCCGTGGTTGAGACTGAGACTCACATTTTATTATAGCAATTGTGTGATCCATCTATGTTAACATCACTGTCTTCATCATCCTCCTCATCGATGACAGCAATAGCAGCAGCAGCAGCAGCAGCAATACAACAGAGGGGACATGACAGCTTTCAGTGCATGGTCAAATTCTTTTTATTTTATTTTAGATTGGGGTTGTACCCATGCAGGTTTGTGTCATGGGTATATTACATAATGACAGGGATTGGGCTTCTAGTGTACCCATCAACCAAATAGTGAACACTGTACCCAATAGGTAAGTTTTCAACCCTCATCCCTTTCCCATCTTCCCCCCTTTTGGAGTCCCAAGTCTCTATTAGTTCTGTCTTTATGTCCATGTGTACCCATTGCTTAGCTCCCACTTATAAGTGAGAACATGCAGCATTTGACTTTCTGTTTCCGAGTTATTTCACTTAGGATAATGGCCTCCAGGTCATCCATGTCACTACAAAGGACATAATTTCATCGTTTTATGGCTTTATAGTATTCCGTTATATATATACGTGTATATATTATATATATGTGTGTGTATATATATATATACACACACAGACACACACAAACACCACATTTTCTTTATGCAATCAATCATTGGTGGACACTTAGGTTGATTCTGTGCCTTTACTATTGTGAGTAGTGTTGTGATAAACACACACGTGCAGGTATCTTTTCTATATATAATAATTTCTTTTCCTTTGGTAGATGCCCAGTAGTGGGAATGCTGGGTTGAATGGTAGTTCTATTTTTAGTTCTTTGAGAAATACCCATACTATTTTCCATAGAAGGAGATATTCTTACCTGTTTCCATCTCCGTCTTCAGAACTTGAGGGCATCTAATACACAGTACGTGTGGTGAGCTGAACAGGGTAAGCTAGATTTGCTGCAGTGTTTAAAGAGAGATACAATGAGTAACTCAACTTTATAAGTGGTAGAGCACTGGAAAGAAGGGAAATGGGTTGAAAATATTTAGTAACAAAATTCAACAATGAAGACTGGCCATATTGTAACAGAATAAAGAAGAGGGAAAGAAGAAGCTTGTCTTTTCCATTTCAAGCTAGAATGCCTGGGTGTATGGTTGTATCATATTTGGAGAATAAGAGAAAAGTCGGTCATATTGCAGAAGAAAATATATTTTCTTGGAATATACTGAGATTGAGGTGCCTGTGAATCATCCAGAGAAGCCTGTCCTGCAAGTAGTGAGTACATGAGTCAAACTCAAGGGAGATGCCCAAGGCTGGAAATATATGCATCGAGCCATCAGTGCACAGGTGGTGTGGTAGGTCACCCCTAAGACAGTCCCCAGTGGTCCCCATTGACTGATCTCCATGCCCTGTGTTATTCCCTTTCCTAACTGTGGGCTGGACTTATTTATTCAATTTTAATGAGTAGACCACAGAAGCAGCTATGGGAACTCACTTCCAAGGTTATGTTATAAAAGAAGAGTGACTTCCATCTTAAGATGTCTTTATCTGTCCTTCTTGAATCACTTGCCTTGGTGAATGCCAACTTCCATGGCATGAGGTGTCACTGTGCAGAGACCCACCCACCTGCCAAGGAAACAAGGCCTGTAAGAAGCATGTGAATAAGCTTGGAGGAAGATACCTCCATACCTACATTTGAGTCTTCAGATAAAACTATAGTTCCAGATGACATCTTTGCTGCAACCTCATAAGAGATCTTGACCAGAGACACTCAGCTAAGCCTCATTCTGCTTCCCGACCTACAGAATCTGTGAGATAGAAAATGTTTGCGTTATTAAATTGCAAGTTTTACAGTGATCCGTTACAAAGTAATAGAAAACTTACATAGTTAGTTAAAAGAATGAGAATAGTTGAGAGTTGAGCTCATTTAAGAAAAGGTGGTAGAGAAAGGGAAGTCAAACCCTGATGCTCAACAGTGGCTAAAGGTTAGAACCAAAAAAAAAAAAAAAAAAAAAAAAATAGAAGCCAATATGGGGGACAGAAAGAAGAAATGGAAGAAACAATAAGAATGAAATGAGAAAAAGCAGGGGCAACTTGACATTATAAAAGTCCAAGGAGTGCGTCTTATGGAAAGAGAAAGAAAAGGGATCAGATTGCTCATATCAAATGCTGCAGATGGTTCGAGTAATACAAGGTTTGAAATGACCTACAAATTTTGCAGTTAGGAGGTCTTGGGTGATCTGACTAAAAGCAGTTTCAATAGAATAGGGAGGATAGAAACTAGAGAGTTGGGGCTTGAGAAATAGAAAGGGAAAGAGATCATGGACTATGTTTTGAGAAGAATGAATTGAGGAAGGAAGGAGAAAGATTGGATGGTGAAGAAGGTCATGGCATAAATTGAGGGCTTTGCATGGAAGGTTCTTGAATGTGTTTATGACTATACTAGAGCCTTAAGAAGTGTGGTTGTGGGGGGTGTGGCACAGAACATTTAGGTTAGGTTAAAGATGACCAACAGAAGAAAGCCATGATACAGAAAGAGTGGAGAAGTTGGGGTCAAGGATACAAGTGGAATCAGTTGATCTAACAGGGCTTTCTGTTGGCTAAGACTGGAGAGAAGATGTAAGAGAAGGTTATATGTGGGTACAAATGTGTTTCCTGGAAGGATGATGAGAAATAGTGAGATTACATTAGACCTTGATTTTCTCATAAAATCAGGAAAGGGGTACGTATCAAATCAGTGCTTCTCAAACTTTTCCATAAGTAAATATCTTAATGAGAGAGAAAAGTAAGTGCATATCCATAGCAACCTGAAGTCATAGTATAATACCAAGAAGTCAGCAGCAATATTGGAATTTCACATCAATTATTAATCTATCCTATTTGTATGATGATCCTTATTATAGCCATTTTTAATATAAAACATTTTGAATTAGTGATAATATTTAACTTTCCTCCCAAATGATTAGAGCACACTGCATGCTTCTGAGAGCTGCATTGTATTTCTCCTGTGGCATTTGTATCTCCGTACACTGCCCTGTACCCCTAAGGGTATGTATACAGCCATGCAGAGACCCAGCTTTACACTATCAGCACCCACTGACACATTTGCACATTCAGATTTGAGATTCATTTAGTTCTCATTGGTCACCTTAGGAAGCACAGTGCATCATCTGAATGCATGAATGAGAAAAGGAAAATTCACTTTTAGTTGAAGAGATGAGGTGAGAAAGCAGATAGGCAAAGAAGACAAGACCTGGGGATCACTGTCTAAACTGGGTAGACCTGTTTAGCATACCAGAGATAGGGCTGTGACCTTGTGGGGTGTGACAGATGAGCTAACCAACTTTGAGGTCAGAGATGGCTTGTGGTAATCAGTCCCAGAGTGTGGGAGCAGGAGAGAGAGACATGGAAGTGTTTAGAGGTGTACTAGTGTAAGTGACCAGGACACATGTGACTTGCTTGTTTTTCCAAATGATGAGCCTGGCAAGCATTCACAATTCCTGCAAGATGAGATTTATCCAAGTACCATCCAACCACCTTTGCTTTTGGGGTGCACTCTATTGTGAGCCCAATTATTTTTTTCTTTGAGGTCAAGGGTTAGCAAACTCAGCAAAACCCACCGGTCAAATGCAGCCTGCCACTTATTAGTTTCTACTGGAGCATAACGGTGCTCATTAATTGACATACTGTCTATGGCTGCTTCTTCCCTACAAGGATAGATCTGAGTAATTGTGACAAAGACTTGATGGCCTGCAAAGGCTAACATAGTTACTATCCAGTTATTTATAGAAATCAATTGCCCACCCCATTCTAGTTTGACCTATCTCAGCAACTAAAACTTCCAGATAATTTCTGCAGAGTTTTCAAATATCCAACTTAAGACATCACACGTCTTAAGTCCAACCCAATTCCCCAAGCCTACTGGAGGAAGGGCTATCTTATAGATCAGAGATTTCCCAGCCTTCATCTGAGCCCCACTTAAGTTTGGTGTTGTGAGGCTATGGAAATGTTCTGTGCTGAAATACAATTTGCATTCTGGACAACTGTTCCTATTACCGTCCCTAGGAGAGAACTTCCCAGGCCCGGCTCAGCCTCAGGGTGTTTTCCCAAATTCACCAGCCTGCAGATGGAAACCGCCTGTGCATTGTCTCCTTTCACCCTTCCCAGCTGTTCTTCTCCCAAATTTCCCTTTTCTTTCCTTTTAGAATTTCCAAAAGAGCACACTCAGAGTTTTAGACAAACTCTGTTCTCTCTTTCTTCTGTGATGCTCAGTAGAGATGATAAACAGTACTAGTTAGAACATTAAAAAAAATGAATTCTTCATATAAAAGGGTTTATTCCATCCATCCCACCTAGGCGCACATTCGCCTTCCTCTGCCTCCCCTTTGAAATCCAGAGCTTCCTGGAGTCAACTGAAACAAGAGCTCATGGCCTCACCCACAGCACTTGGATCCCATGTAGAAGTCGTAAGTTCTTCTCTGACTCAAGGTTTGGGATCAAGTCAACTCTAAGTACACATATGTATGGCCATTGCTGACTACATGTGATTCATGAGGGTTAATGCAGTTTGTAAGACCCAGATGACTTATAATGCTCAGCATACTTGGAGGCCTCCATCCTTACTGCTATCTAGAGTATTTCTAGGACACATGTCATCATTTGAATAGGTCCCAGCTAAAAGCTGGCTGTGGTCCTTCACAGCGATCAGAGGAGAGGCTGATGGAAAGCACATACTTTTAACTGTTAGCCTAACTGAAAAGAATGTCAGAAAGGAAAGATAGAAATGGAATATGCATATGACTGTGTTAAGACACACCAAAGCTGGAAATTATTTTTGCTTTGATAGTCTCCTAATTTACATGACCCAGGCTAAGGCTGCTGCTTATTAGCATGGGTCATTGAGCTGTCTGTATCTGCAGGGAGATGAATATTCTCCTTTAGAGCAACTTCCAGGCTTTCAGGAATTGTATACGGGGATAGAACCACATGGTTTTGCGATGGCCAAGAGGGCTGGTTGGAGTGCCTCGGATGTGATTTTGGACCCCCAAGGTTAGGGGAGTTACCTCCTCTCTGACCTTTTCCTAGCCGCTGCTTCTGTTTATCATTTTATCTTGTCAGAGTTCACGTGCTAACCATGAAATAAAGAGACCCCCCTTCCCTTTGCTTCCCACTTGGGCCCTGATGAATTTTGGTTGCCTCTTCAGAGGCTCCGAAATCCCTGCTCTAATTTCAATTAGAGCGCTCCCTGTGGCCGTGCAGGCTGGGGCTGCAGAATCAATTCCTAATCCCCACATTAGCACTGATTCATCTCTTTCCTGAGCTCTAGCACCGGCAGCTCTCGGGAGAGGGAGGGAGTGAGAATTGAGCAATCTTTCAGAAGAATAAATATGGTTTGTTTGTATTTGTATTTGTTTCCACGCTGCATTCTGATTGCATCCCATGCCTTGACACCACAATTATTATTAATTTCCCCGTCTGCTCTTCAATTCTTGCTGCCACAAAGACGAGATGATGGATAATGTTAGATGTGGTAATTGGATGAGTTGGGGGAAGGGAGAGAAGAGGGGAGACAGATGTTTCATTATGAGATTTTGCATCTCCATTTGGGCCTCCAGCACAGAGGCCTGAACCGCAGCCGCCATCATGCACCGCAGATGAGGGCTCCCGTTTGGGGCAGGTCTGGCCTAGTTCTGCATCTCTGCTCCACTTCCTCGCCTTGTACTTCTGCGTCTTGGGCAGTCGGATTTCACATCCATTTCTGGTGAACGCTGGAAAGCCAGTAAGATGAAACCTAGAAAGCTGGACCTGGTGGCTTGGAGGGTTGCACCCCCACCCTGCCCTGCTGCCAGACCACATCTGTCCTGTGCCACCTCTCAGCACGTGTGCTTCCACGTGCGAGTGTGGTAGCCCCGGGTGAGTGCCCACTCTCAGAGATGAGGAGGCTGGGCTACACGAGGAAGGAGCTCAACAGACTGTCCTGCGCTGAAGCCGCTGCCTTTGTCCTCCCACCTTGCCCTGAGTGAGGGGTTGGAGCAGCTGTCACAGCTGCACCATCTTCTTCTCTGCATGGCATCCAGCCTCTCTGTTCAATAATCTGTCATCCCCACCAATAATTTTTCTGCCCCCATGGACTCATCCCCAGGGGGTTCACTGTCCCTGCCCCACACAGGCCAGCCTCCTGTCCAACATGATGCAGGCTGGCAGGAGCAGTCCTGGCTCTTGAATACACACCTAAGCATGCAGCCTGGCCCTTCCAGGGAGGCCAGGTGGAGTATTTGCTAGGATGAGATGATAGACCTGCGGACCAGGAAGACCTTATGGGTGCTCATGGAACTCTCATTCATGAGAAAACCAGCAGAGGCTGCCTCACTTCCAATTTCTTCTTCTCTGAACAGTTCTCAGTCCATCAGTGCAGAGCACATGGAAGGAAGAGGCTACCTCAGGCCAGAGACACCGACCCTGTCCTTGAGGCACTCCTCCAGGTTGCAGGAGAGAAGGCTGCAGGCTGGAGAAGGCCTCGAAGTCCAGCCTCTCTGTCTAGGGCTGATGCTGCCTGTGGCGGCCCCAACCAACAGGCCAGTGATGTTGGTGACCCGGAAGTCACGACAAGCCTGCTGCATTCCAGTGGCTTTCGACTTCAGCTGGACTGTAATAGAGTGGGAGGAATGGTGGTCTAAGTCATTTTGGGGAGTTTTGCAGGGGGCATCTCTAAAGCCCCTGCTTCTGTTTAGGAGGAAGCTTTTGTCCATCCACTGAGAACCCTCTAGGAGACAGCAGCAATGGCCTACAATAGGCACATTCAAAGAGCAGGGGCAAAATGTGGTGGTGAAGAAGAAGAATTTGGAAAACAGAGTCCTGTGTGCTCCCAGGGAAGGGGAAGAAGGGAGGGTCTCTGGTGCTTCTGAGCTATAAATTGGCTCAGTCAGGTTAGGTGCTTACATTTATTTTTCTTCTCATCAGCACGGACACCGTGGCTGGTAATGGAGCTGCCGTGCAGTAACTCATGCATGAGATTAGCAACACAGAAGGACAGCCGGGGACTGCTGGCTGTAGGCGGGCATGGGTGAGAGGAACTGGAGGGTGACCAGGTGTGGCTGCTCACTCAGGTGGACTCCCACAGGGGCATGGAGGTGGGGGCTTACATTCCGAATTTCTAGGCAAGGAGGGGACCCTGGAGATCATTACAGTCCAGCTTCCTCGTTGTGCAGATAAGGAGCAGAGGTCCAGTTTGAGGAAGGGACTTGCCCAGGGGTGCACAGCAGGCTGGTGGCAGAGTGTGGGCTAGGCCTGAGTCCTGTCGTCTTGCCTGCAGAGGGATTATGCTGTAGGGAGGAGAGTGCCTGTGATGGCTGCACAGCCAGATGGTGATTCCAGCACCGGCCAGATCTGTGCTGCGTTCATCTCTCTCATCAAACCCTCTCTTCTAATTCCTCCGTGCTCTCTCTGTTCTTGTGGTAATTTCCACCAGCTGGCCCTTCAGAGAAGCGTGTGTGTGTCCAGAAGCATGGAGGCCGCAGGTGTACTAGCTGATCCTGTCCTCCCCATGCAGGACTGGAGAGGCCTTGGAAGCCCAGCTCATGTCCCACCTGTGCACTGCCTGTGCAGAAGCCTGTCCCTACGAACAGGCTCCACTGTCAACCCACTCTGCTTGCCAGATGAAAACTGGGTGAGTCAAGAAAAGGCAGCTTCTACCTACTCACTCCACTTGTTCGTTCCAGGCAATGTCCCCATGTTTACTCACGCACGCATTGGATTAGGAGACCTGGAATCTGAGATGTCCCAGCAAGCTTTAGCTAAGGTCATGGTTACCTCCATGAAACTGCTGCTGTAAGTGCCACAGCTGGAGTTATAACGATTTCTCTCCTTTCCTGCAGGTCCCTGCAGGTAGGCTGCTTTCTTTTGTCTCTTAAGTCACTGCCACTTACTTTGTCCTGCAAAATAACTTCCCAAAGACTACACTCCCATGTGGGCCAGTCTTCCCAGGTCCCACCTTCCCTCCTTGTATTTGCTAACTCCTTTCTTGGTCCTCAGCTTCATTGCTATTCATCCAGTAGATGAGGAAGAAAGACAATGTTTATGCATGGGGTGAGGAAGTGGGGGAGTCATAACCCGAAGTGGCTCGTGGCTTCCACCCACCATCTATTGGCCAGAACTCAGTCAAAGAAGAGCTGCTATTACCCTTGACAGTTCCTTGCAGCTGTCACTTCTCCCTGAGCCCATTCCGCCTGGGACCCTTCTCCCTTTTTTATTTGATGAATCCCCACTCTGACAGCTTCCAAGTCAGGTCTTGGTTTGACCCCAGGGAAGCCTCCCTGAAGTCCTTGTCCTGGGCTGCTTGGCCAACCATGTGCACGTAAACCCTGGACTGCCCTTGGTGCCTTCACACTCTTATGCATGCTCCTCATCCATTTTTCTGATTAGACCACCGGCTTCTCAAGGTCAAGGTCTCAGTTACATCTTTTATTTTCTTTAATTTTAGTTTTTAACACAGCACTTCGTATAATAGATCAGTGGTTCTTAATAGAGATTATAACTTACAATCACTAGTAGGCCTTCTAAAATATCTGTGCTGGGCTCTACCTCTAAATAATTAAATTGAAATCTGTGAATGTAGAGTCTAGATTTTTTATAGCCCAAATATTCATTCAGGGTTATGAATCGTAGTAGATGCCACAGAAATGTTTGTTGAATAAATAAACCTTTTTTTTTCTCCAGAACTTAGGAGTGCAAAGGAGACAGGGCAGGGCAATGGGACTCTTTCTGGGGTCCTCAAACTCTCTTGGACAAGTTATGCCCATTTCACACAGTCTATAGACATCAAAATTGATATTAACCATTTAAAAGAATCTTTCAAATTTGTCCTGGGTGCTTTAAATGGAACAGAACAAAATTTCCTTCTTCTAGTTTCAGAATTAGAAAAAAAAAGGTATACATGCCAAGAAAGAAAAATAACTAACAAATATTTTATCATAAGCACTTATGGACCACCAACTCTATGCCTATATCCAAGTGGGACCGTGAGCAGCATATGACATATAGAGGCTTAGATTTTCGAGCTTAGCCAGGAAACCAAGCATATGCACAAAAGAGAACTGTATAGATGAGTATTTTCTCTGGATATTTTAAAGACACATTACTTAGTACAGATAATTAGAAAAGAAGACAGCATACCATCAGGTGCTAATTATGCAGTGCAGAAAATAATGCAAAAGGAGTGAGAGGAGGGAGAAATTCCTCTGGGCTCATGTCTTAGAGAAGGCTTTGTGGAAGAGCGAGACTGGGGGTGCAGCTGGAAGGGGGTCCCATGCAGGAACTGCTGTGGGCAGAGGGAAGCCTTCCCAGGCCAGAGGACTCTCATGTGCAGATTCAGAAATGGGCATGGTCATCTGGACATTTTGTAAGAGATGGGTATGGCTGGAACAGGTGTTTAGAGGAAGGAACATGAAGTCCAGGTGTTTGTGGATGATAGACCAAATGACAGGGAGGCTCTAGCGGCAGAGGTGAGATCTTTGCTGGAGCCACGAGAACTAGTGCTGGTGTGTGATCTGGAGACCCTGGGGTCCCCCAGGGCTTGGAGAGCTGACTCTGACAAGGGCATGAGTGAAGGAGAGATGTGAGGAGGAGCACACACAGTGGCCTGCAAGGAGACCATTTGGGCTACCAGGGCATGAAGGCATCAGGCTCTGGCCCATGATGGCAGTGGAGGGAGGGGCATGAGGCTGTGAGAGCCTGGCCACCTCCAGTAGAACAGCCGGCAAAGCCTGAGACACCCTCCCGCTCTCCGATGACCCTGGCTCCTCTGGGCTGCCGCCCCCTTCCCTGCACCCTGAGCATCCTCTCCTCACCTGATCAGAGGCCATTTGGACCCTGGATTTGCACCTGGGGCACAGCTTCCTCGAAAAGAAGTGGGGGGAGGGATTGATGCTATTTTATCACCATCAAGGACTTCTGAATGTGTGGAGTTTTCTGAGTTTAACGGGCTGAGAAATGGAAAGGCATTTGTTGGCAGTGCCTGGACTCCCAAACTGCTGTGCTGCCGAGCGCCCCGTGGCCTCCCGGCTGCAGGCCCCACTTTCTCTCTGAGCTTTGCTGTGGCACAGACACACTCTTTGCTCACCCACAGTCCATTGGTGGTCTCAGGCAGGGAGTTCACCTTTGAAGGCATCCTCTTTTTAAAGCTTGGGAAAAGACATTTCCCGTTTCCCGAGCTCAGCACCTCCACAGATGGCTACTTCTTTCTAGAGTGTTCTGAATTAAAACAGGCCAGGAGGAAGCCTTCTGAACCAACTGACATGTGTGTGCTCATTTGTAGGAAGAAGTTAATGATAACTTTTTTGCCATCTTGTAAAGCTATGTGATGATATGGGAAAATGTCCTCTGCATGACAGGTGCTTTGTTTGGAGAGCCACTATCGACATAGACGTGTATTTTAGTCCCTATGAAGACACTGAGGCTGAAGGGCTTCTTGGCTTTCCCAAGACTCCACAACTAGTTATGGTTCTTGGTATGAGCCCAGCTTCTCTGAGATTCCTGAGAGCTCCTGCACCCTTCTCCTGCAGTGCAGACAATACTTAGAATCAGGCCACACAGGTGCTGGTACTGCCTTTGGGTGGGATTTTTATCGCTCAGATGACTGAGGCTGCTACTTTATTTAATAAACTTTCAGCAGGTGTGCAGGGCTGGGGGCAAGGGAATGGCCATCTTCATGGCTTGGCAGTCCTTTGGGACTGTGGAATTGTCAATGTCCTGGGTGATAAAAGCATGCACGACTCTGGTTTCTTTTTCTCTGGGGCCAATTCTCCCAAAACCGTATTTCCAATGGCTCCAGCTCAGCAGAGCTGTCTGTCCAAAAAGCAGAGATATTTCAGGGCCATGGATGCTTTCTGAATCTCTAAGTCCTCCCTTCTTGCCCACAATGTCATCTCAGGACCAATGGTTGAGGACAGGGATTCAGATCATCAGCCCCCAACTATCATAGGCAGAGGAGAATCCCTCAAATTTATGACAGCAGGAGCTCCTCTCAGAGATGGGAGGTTGGGACATAGGAGAAGAAGAAAGAAATGTCTTCTGTAGAAAACTCAACCTCTGCAACTTCCCCGTATGTGCCTTCAAAGAGAGGAGAACTCTTGTGATGATAATGAGTAACAGTGAGTAGTCTGAATTTTTTCATTTTTAGGAGGCTTGGGGAACAGTAACTACTTGGTACCAACAACCCTATTATGAATTAGGCCACAAGTATTATTCCCTGCATGAAGAATAGAGACTACTTTTCTCTAGAGGTGGGAAAAGAAAGAGACTACAAAGCGACAAGTACAACGGAAAGACTTTCATTAAAAAAAAATAACAAAGAAAACACAAGCAAACAAAAGAAGAGTTTATCCAGGAATTAGCAAGTCCACAAGGAGCCTTCTGGAATACCCACCTTCCTGGTGTATTGGTATATTGTATGTTGGTATAAAATATGCAATCTAAGTGAAAGGGAACTGTCTAAAGTTCCCAAACCTCAGCTTCCACGTCCATATGGAAAGCAGGAGCCATTTGCCATCTCTAATGTTTGCTCAGCATTGGCTGCAGGTATCTGCCTGGGGAGGACGGTGTGATAACTCCAACATCCACATGTCCCTCCCACACCAGCAGGCTCGGGGAAGGAGGGCTGAAGAGCCTTTAGGTGTGGGGTTCCCACAGGGATGAGCCTGCAGTAGTGGGCTGGGAAGTGCAAGCTGGGCTGAACCTGTCTCCCGTGCAACCTTCCAGCATCATTTCCATCTGGGACCTTCTCATCAAACATCGCTCCCAGTCTCTAAGCACGTTTATTTCCTCAATGTTTTATAATCAGATAGAGCTCAGCTCACCTGTAAAAGGATTACAGCATCTCCCCTTATCTGCAGTTTTATTTTCCATAGTTTCAGTTACCTGCAGTACAGTATAATAAGATCTTTTGAGAGGGAGATCAAATTCACCTTTATTACAGACTATGTTATAATCATTCTATTTTATTATGAGTTATTGTTGTTAATCTCTTACTATGCCTAATTTATAAATTAAGCTTTATCATAGGTATGTATGTATAAGAAAAAACATATTAACCTATGTGGGGTTCTGTACTATCCACTGTTTCACACACCCAGTGGAAGCTGTGGAACACATCCCCCTTGAGTAAGGGGGGACTACTGTATTCCCTTTTCTCTCTTAAAAACAAAATATTTCCTTTCCTCCCTATCCTTGTCTCTGAAAGGCCACGTGTGGCAATGGCAGGCGTCCCCCAACACACCTTTACCCACTTTAAGTGGAGAGCAGAGTCCCTACACACTGCTGCTTCCTGCGCTTTACAGAGCTAGGAGAGCTAGGGCCATACTCAGGGATTTTGTCAGTCAAGGTAAGGGAGGCAGAGAGGCAGAGAGCTTATATCCATCCCACAAAGC
This sequence comes from Homo sapiens, assembly GCF_000001405.40. Classification (NCBI taxonomy): domain Eukaryota; kingdom Metazoa; phylum Chordata; class Mammalia; order Primates; family Hominidae; genus Homo; species Homo sapiens. Next base: position 131,454,632 of record NC_000011.10, read on the forward strand.
ACACGTTTGCCGGTGCTATAAATTTAAGGAAGTTGTCTTCACAGGCAGTGTGTTTGCATGGAGTGATGGGGAGAGGGGCGGGAGCAGTGGAGAAAGGGGCTTGACTTAGAAATTAATGACAGCTGCATTACATCCTGATCTGTGGACATCCTCCACACCCTGATTTGATATTACGCTGGGGCCACAGAGAGAAGAAAAATCACCTGAATATATAAAGCCTGTATTTGGCATAGTGTAAATAATTTTAAATGAAACTGTCAGGCTTAAGCCCTGAAATGTGCCTCCAGCAAAAGATAAACACACAGAGGAGAAAGGGGTTCTATAGGGAGGGGGGAAGACATCACAATCTTTAATATTTTTAATCAGTCTGTCATCTCCAAACAGGACACATTGTTGCAGATACCCTTGTAGACTATACATTTGCTGATTTTGTGTGCGTGCTGTTCAACGCAAGCATGATAGTTCCATTTCAGAGGCTCAGCAAGACTTAAAATCTGCTTGGCAGCAGCTGGGCCAGTAAAAGCATCAGGTGCTGTCAATGGGTGACTCAGTAATCGACCTGAAATCTGCAACTGTAATGCAACAGCTGCAGCCAGCCCCGTGGGTTCATAAGGCTTGGCCACAGGTTTAGATGCAGGAGGTGTTACGAGTAGACGGCCCAAGCGGAGGCTCACCCCAGAGGCTGTGCAGCTCTCTGAAGGCTGCAGCCCCACCTCCGCACGATGAGGCTGCTGCTGGCATTCCCACTGTCAGACCACTGAGCTCAAGTTCTGGCTTCAAGCGCTAAAACCTTCCTGAGGGCCTGACCACAAAGGAGTAGAACGATGAATCAGTAAGTTTTATCATTTTCTCAAAGGAATTGTTACATAGAAGACAATGGGTCCACTGAGGTAGGGGGAGAGGCTGAGAAGAATGGAGGGAGGGTCTCGAAAAGCTTAGGGAGAAAGGTTTAGCAGTGGCGTTCAAAGTCAAATAGAGATTTGCTAAAGTCCAGGCTCAAATAGAGGTCTGAGCCCAGGGCTGGACAGAGGAATTGTATTATACGAGGGGTCTGGATGTGATCCAACAGGTCTAAGTTCTGAAGCAAAGCAGCTCAAGGCTGGTGGACATGCTGGGAGTGGTGGAGGCCTTGCAAGGAGGACTGTCAGCAAGGCAGCGGGCATACCTCAACTTGGCACGTCACCTCTGTTGAAGTCGAATAAATATAGAGATGAATGTCTTAATTTGAAACATTTTATCTGGGAAACAAGAATTGCGTTTTGAGGCCGACATACAGTGTGGATGGTCTTTGGTATGTCTGATGAACAAAGAGAAAGTTGGAAGTTTTATAAAAAGGAGAAATGTTATTCATTGTTCTGAAAGAAAGTTCATTGGCACTAGCAAAGTCTTGACCCATTTGTGCCTAGGTTGCAAATTTTGTGTGTGTGAAAAATAAGACCTTGGCGGTGACCTTGAGCAGTAGGATATAAATAACTACTAGCTTAGCGTTCCAATAGTGGAGCACTAGGCATAAGTTGATTAAGGAGCTGGCAAGCTCTGACTGGTGAGTGACAATGGTAGGTAAAACTGGTCTCAGAGTTTGTTTCAGTAGCAGCAGGTTGTTTCAGTCGCTGTTAGATAAAACTGGTTTTCAATTACACTAGGCAGTTCCAGAAACCAGGCTAGCAGAGAATTATATTTCTGAAGCAATGTTATGTGTCCTGAGTGCTTTTTCCCTTGGCCTCTTGATTCTGTTTTGGTTGAGTATGACAGGAATGACCCAATTTGTATAATCAACATTCACACCTTCTCTGCTTCAGAACTGAGCTGGGACTGCCCTCCCTCCTTCGTTCTCATCAAGCCAGCTAAAGTCGAGTGCCCCAGCATGGCTCCCAAAACAGACAGGCCCAGAAAGCCAGTGTGGCTCTTTGCCTCAGGGAGGGGTGCTGCAGGGTAAGCAGCTTGCAAAGAGGGGGTTCAGCTCAGCTCTAAGAGAAATGGGACTGAGAAGGGAAAGGGGAGCCCGAAAGGAAACCTTGATATCATGAATAATGTTAATTTGGAGCCAAAGAACCTCCTTGCCGATAGAGAAAATCCTGTCTACTCGTAAGGGCTTGTGCATGCCTACATTTTGAGTTGGGGCTAGAGTTGATGACACTAGCATGTTCCTTTGAGGTTTACAATTCTATTTTTTCTCTTATATGGACGGATCTCTGCTTCAGCTAAATTGGATTATTTGCTGGACCTAAGCTTCCTGTGCTTTCCTATCTCTATGATTTTCATGCTTTTCTGACTCTTGAAATGTCTCCTCAGTTCACGCAACACCATGTGTGAGGTCCTATGCTGGATGACGGAGGTCCAGCATCATATAAGATGCTTCAGTGTGCTCAAGGGGTGCAATGTTTATTTCAGGGAAATGGACTTGTAACATATTACAAATCAATAATTCAATGAATATCTATCAAGCATACTTTCTGTGCCAGGAGCTGTACTTGGTGCTAGGGATATGGTGTTGAACCATGAGAGAGTTGCTCTCCTCCAGGATCCAAGTGACAACAGAAGGCAAAACTAACTAGCAAACATATAACATGAAGAAAAACAAAGAAGACTAAGTCCAAGAGAGTGTGTCCTGTATCTTTAGATAGGGTGGATGGGAGTAGCTTCTCAGATGCAGTGCCATTTAAGCAGAGACATGAAGTGAGAGCACACAGATGGCCAGAAAGGAGGCCCCCTGCATGCAGTAGAGAGGTGAGCACAAGCCGAGAAGCCACAGGAACCCAAAAGAGGGGTGGGGGAAGGGAGGAGAGCAGCAGGTCAGAGAGAGGCTGGCAGAGAGAGACTTTGGCCAGCCACGAAGAAGCATTTGTATCTTCCTCTGAGGAAGATGGGAAGCCACTGGGGGTTATTCCATTTGCCGAAAGGAAGATGATTAAGGGAAGAGGAAGTATGCCAGAAATGATACTGCGGCATGGTAAGTTTACATACAGTGCCTGTGAGGTAGCAAAACGGATACGTTAAGTAGGTGTTTGTGTGTGAAATCCGGAGTTCAGGAAGAGATTTGGACCAAAAATTTTGGAATCATATGTGCAATGCACTAAATGTTTTTGTCCTCCCCCCCCAAATTTATGTGTTAAAATTTTAACTCATAATTTGATAGTATTACAAGGTAGTGTCTGTGAGCAGTGATTAGTTTATGAAGATGGAGACCTCATGGATGGGACCACTGTCTTTATAAAGGTGGCCCCCGAGAGCTCTCTTTTTGGCCAATGAGAAGGCAGTGATCTGCAACCCAGAAGAGAGCCCTCACAGAAGCCAGACATGCTGACACCATCAGCTCTGACTTCCAGCCTCCAGAACTGTGAGAAATGCATTTCTGTTGTTCATAAGCCACTCACTCCACAGTATTCTGTTATAGAAGCCCAAATGGACTGAGGGTATGCAATGCATGCATTTGAGACTGGATCACTAGGGGATGAGTGTGAGTAGAGAGGGAAGAAGTTTGATTACTGAGCCTGGAGTTACTCCAATACTCAGCAGAGAAGGAAGAGCCTGGAGGCAGGAGGATGAAAAGAAGAGAGTGGGTTCTTGGTTTACAGGTGCCTTATGCAGGAGAGCAATCAACAGTACAAGTGCTGCTGGCAGGTGGAGTGAGCTGAGAACTAAGAAGAGACTGCTGGGTTTGGCTATGCCGAGATCACCTGTGACCTGACAAAAGCCTTCCTGATGCAGTGATGGAGACACACAGATGTGCACATTTGGAGGGGAAAGCCCATAGTCGAAGCATTTATAGGGCACAGAGGAGAGTGGTCAAGAACACCTGCGGAGCTCCTTCCCCAGCCTCTGCCTACCAAAATCCCACCATCACAAAATTCATCTGTTCTCATTTACCTTCCCTCAGCCTCTCTCCCTACCCAACTGGACTGATTTTCTTTCTCCTTCTAACACCCAGCAGGATTTTCATGACGTGTGTTACTGTCTGTCACTTAGGATAGGGGCTCTGGGTGATGTGTTACTCACATTTGTGTCTTATCTCTAGCACCTAGCACAAGGCCTTCGGCAGAATAAACACTACAGAAAACATTTGCTGAATTAAATTTTGAGAGTAGTTACCAATCTCAGGCCACCCATTCCCAGGGCTGTCTAAACTGGGTTGTCAAATGCTGGAGCAATGGTTTGCAAACTTAGTTCACATCAAGTCACCTGGAGGGCTTATTCAAACAGTTTTCTGGGTTCCACTCAAGAGCTTGTGTTTCCGTAGGTTTGTAGTCCAAGCATTTACATTTCTAACAAGGTCCTAATTGATACTGAGACTTCTAGTTCAGGAGTTGCACTTGGATACCCACTGCCCTAGGGCAAAAACATGATTTCATTCAATCATGTCCATTACTTGGCTTCCCTGGAGAAGCTAGCTCTTGTTTCTTTGTACATAAAGGCATCTGGCCAGATTGCACAGGATAATGTGAATACCACCTCTCCATGCAGTTAAAATGCCTTCATGGATCTGTGCATAAGCCTCCCACATGGGGGTGCAGACATCTACGCCACTCTCAGAAAGTAGATCAGACAGCTGCCATTCAGGACCTACTGCGTCCAGGGGCCACAGGCCTCTTGCTCTCACCAGCAAGGTGCTGAATAAACAGGTGCCCATTGTCCTCACCTGCTTCTCTACAGTTGTATCACCCAGGTTCAGAAAGGGCTTGGTGTCTTCCAAAAATATTTTTAAACTATCTTATAGATGTGTTCATTGCACATCACTGAAAGTCTAAATTCTATGTTCATCTATAGGATTGATGAGAATAAGAAGTAATACGATAATACAGTATTATCAGTATTTATTATGAATGTTCAGAATTTCAACTTACACATTGCCAGCTTTTAGAAAGAAAGACTATAGAAAAAAAAGAATTAATAGGATGATTATGAGTGCTTAGAAAGGAAAACCGCATTCACTGGAAACAAGCATTGATTCACTATGAGTAAGTCCTATTAACCTAACTCATTTCCTTTTTCTACCTAGTTACTTGTGAAGAAATTTAGTAAATTTCATGTTTTAAATCTAAGCACGGTCCTGGGTGGTGGGTGAATTTGTACCTAGTTGAATGACAGTCCTGATAGTGTTGAGTAGTGGGTCTGTGTCAACCTGGAGGAAGGCCTTAGTCTTCAACTCTGTCCTGTTTAACCTATTTATCAGCATAAGATAGAGCTACTGAAGACATGCAGATCATACTTTCACCTGATTCAAGGCTGGGGTGGATTAGTTATTAGCATGACAGAATTGGATTTCAAAGGATGTTGACAAGCTTAGGAAGTGGGCCAGGTTTTGTATTTTTTTAAAAAAATAAAACAATTGTCTCAAAGCAGTAAAAGAAAATAAGGCTCCGTGGCAGAACTTAAAAAAAATGCTTAGGAATTTTAGTTGCCAGAAAGTATGATGTGTCGTTAGTGTGTGTAATTTCCCGAAAAGTTGAGATATGGGACTGTATTAACAGACCAACAGTGTCCAGAACAAACTTTATTTCCAGCATTATAAGCAGTCAGGGATTCATAGACAGCGTAATGCCCTGCATGGCCCAGATGATGAATAGACTAGGTCATGTCTTCTGATGAGGAATAGAAGGAACAGAGGGAGCCTAGCCTTCAGTCTGGAGAGAAGAATGAAGATTTCAAATATTTTGAAATCTCTCACTTGGTTCTCATTTATTTTGAATGGCCCCAAAGGCCAAAAGTAAGATCAATAAATGAAGTAATAGGATTACAGATTTTGGCTTAGTATACAAGTAAAATTTTTAGTATTCGGAATTATCTATAGATGACATAATGACAACAATAATGATGATGATGAAGAAAGCAAAACCTGTAGCAACTCATGCAGTTTCATAAAGCACTTCTTAATCCAAATACTATGCTCGATTCATCACACCAGGAGAGTGCTTTCTTTCTTTTTTCTTTTTTTTCCTTCTGAGATGGAGTCTCGCTCTGTCGCCCAGACTAGAGTGCAGTGGCGCGATCTCAGCTCACTGCAACCTCTGCCTCCCGGGTTCAAGCGATTCTCCTGCCTCAACCTCCTGAGTAGCTGGGATTACAGGCACCCACCACCACGCCTGGCTAATTCTTTGTATTTTTAATAGAGACGGGGTTTCACCATGTTGGCCAGGCTGGTCTCAAACTCCTGACCTCAAATGATCCGCCCGCTTGGGCCTCCCAAAGTGCTGGAATTACAGGCGTGAACCACCGCGCCCTGCCAAGAGAGTGCTTTTGATGTCACTGGGGAAATTCAGCCCTTGGCTGAGCAACAGTGTTGCAGAGGATATTCAAGTATTGATAGAAAGTTGAACAAGGTGACCTTATATTATGAAAATACTGTGATTCTGAGCTTTCTTAAGCTTGTGCACAGTCAGAACAATCAGTACAAAATATTTGTATTCTTCAAATAGTTTAGATCATTTCCTCTGGATGTTTTCAAGTATAAGGGAAATTGTGAAGATGAGGGTATCGGTTGCAAAAGCTACCTTGCTCTACATCTGAGAGAGGGATTGCCTGTGAACCAGAATCTACGGGTATGCCTGTGGGCAATCACTGTTACTTTATAGCCAATCTTCTGACAATAAGACTTGGGTTGGCCAGTGCATTATAATCCCAACTCCCTTATTGTTGCAAAGTAGAATGTCTACTACTCAGCAGATTGGGTGCCATAGAGATACAGAAATCTCAGAAAAGCATCTCATGAATTCTTGTAACTTCCATGTCTGTATAGTGACTGATACCTACCGATATTTAACAATTTTGAGTTGGTGAAAAGAAAATTAAAAGACAGCTAAAGAAAAGTATCTGTGGAAATGACATTAAGAGATGGGAGAGACCTATGAACATGCAGAAGCTAAAGAAGTTGAACTCAGAGAAAAGAGATTAGAAGGGTGCATACCAGGGGTAGCGGGGTGGAGGAAATGGGGAGATGATGGGCAAAGGATACAAACTTGTAGCTGTAAGAGGAATAAGTTATGAAGACAAATGCAGAGAACAGTAACTATGGTTAATAATAATGCATTGTATATTTGACATTTTTGAGGAGAGCAGATCTTAAGTATTTTTACCACAAAAAAAGATAACTCTGAGGCAATGGGTATATTATCTACCTTGATTATGATAATAATTTCACAATGTGTATGCAAACCAAAATGTCACATTGTACACTTTGAATATATATAATTTTTCTTTGTCAATTATACCTCAATAAAGCTGAAAAAAGAGAGATGTGGGAGATACAAAGCAGGGACATTCAAATTAAACATGCCTTTATCTGAAATCCCAGCAAGACCAAGAGAAACAAAAACATAGGTTTATGCACACACAAAACTGCATGCAAATTTTTGCAACAGCTTTATTCGTACTTTTCAAAAACTGGAAACAACCCAAATGTCTCTCAACTAGTGAGTGGGTAAAAAAAAACTGAAGAACACCACACAGCAAAATACTACTCAGCAATAAAGAAGAAAGAGTTGCTGATATTGTTACATGTTTTGTGGCTGAGCCTTAAATGCAGATCCAAGAGGCTGAATACTGTATTATTCCATTCACAGAACATTCTGGAAAAGGCAAAACTATTGTGACAGAAAACAGATCGGGTCTGGGGTTGTGGGATGAATTGACTATAAATGGGCACAAGAGAATTTTTTGGATGATGGAAATGTCTTATATCTTGATTATGGAGGTGGCTACATAACTATATGTTTGTTCAAACACATAAAACTATGCACTCAAAATGGTGACTTTTACTGGATGTCAATCATACATCCGTTTTAAAAAACAAACAGTGACCCAACATTTAAAAATACAAAAATGACAAAATCAAGAGGCTAGTGAGGGCTGGGGTCAGCCTTATAAGAAGGAAGGATGCAAATGGCACGTTGAAGTTAGTGAATTCGGTTCAGCAGAGAAGAAAGGTTGAAGATTGTCAGCTAAATGCTGCTTTTCTTTGTCCTGAGTTCCCTCTTCCTTGGTTGAGAGTGGCCACTGTTTCAGTTGAGGGGATCTGATTCTGTTTCAGTGGTTTCCTTTCATCCTGCATGGATCCTGGCAAACTCCAACATGTCCTGCCCTCTTCCTAGCATTGTACAGCAACTTCCAGGAAGGGCCTGGCAGCAAAACTGCCTTCTCCCTAGAGCGGGCCCACCTAGGGTGGTCCACCACCTTCTCCCTAGAGCAGGCCCACCTAGGGTGGTCCACCACCTTCTCACTAGAGTAGGCCCACCTAGGGTGGTCCACCATGGCTTGTGCCTCCCAGCTGAAAGGTGACAAACAAAAGGCTAACCTGGAACTAGGAAGGGTCACTTATCTACTCATGAAAAAAAAAAAAAGAAGATATAGGTAAGAATAGGTTATTTGGAAGATTCAAATACAACCTCTCCACATCTTCTTTGCATGCAGTGCAGCAATTGCCGGCCCTTTAGAGAGCTGCCCTCTGGCCCAGGTCTGCCCTGAGGTCAGTGACTTTACCTCTTGGACCTTCAGCTTTCTCTTCTGGAAAAAGATTATAAAAAGGTTACAGGAGCAACATTCCATCCTATTGCCCTCCTGTCCCATGGTGGAAAGCAGCCGGAGATTGTAGGATCTGAGCACAAGCCTTGCTCTCCATCCACAGCTCCTGGTGCTGCCTTAAACGACAACAGCAGGTGCACATGGCAGGATCCTGGAAGCAGGGGCACGTGCATCACCAGGAGGTCCTAGACCACAGCAGAGAGGCATGGGTGAGGGTAGCACCCAGCTCTGCCCCCCAGTGCGTGACCTGGGCACAGCTGAGCCAAACGCTTGACTGCCATTTTCACAGCTGAGAGGTGCAGCTTGTCATCTGTACCTTGCTGTGTGGCCGCTGGGGCCCCAGGCTTGGGGATTAGCATATCAGCCAGGCACATGGTGAATATTTAGTCAATGACAGCTGCTAGTATTATTATTTAATGTATTTGTATTAAATATCCTATTACATACTTATTAATACATTTATCAAAAATAAATCTATTGAATTTATTATGCATTATTATTACTGTTATCGTGAACTAGCTTTACATTGTCCTACCTTTATAAACCTGGCCCCTGCAAATACTCTGCTTCCTGACGCTTCTTCATTGCTGAAATAGTCCATGTGGAATCCATGCTGGGGCATCGGCGCCTCTCAGACTCAGCCCGAAGCCGCAGTGCCAGGCTGCATGCTAATCAGGCGGTGGCTCCAGGAGAACGGGCCCAGGAAGGAGAGAGGATGGGGCCTGGAGGCGGCAGCCTGCCCTGGCAGCTTCTGGCTCCCAGAGATTGGTTTATCACCAGGTTTCTGATGAATGTGTGAGAAACGGGACTGGCGATAAAGCAGCACGAGCCATAATTAAAGTAACAGCTCTTGTTTCTTAAACCCTGTTTATGTGGTGCTTGGCTTTCTAGGCAGTTTCCCCGTCTCCCACTTGAGGACCGCGAGTTTCCTCTCTCTGGAGATTGTGGATGAGGGGCTGCTGAGGGAGGAGGGTGCAGAGGGGCCAGCAGGAAGAGCGGTGGACGTGGCTGCAGGAAGCTGGCCCCTTGGTTCTTCATGAAAGTGTCAGGCAAAGCAAGTCCCTGGAGACCAAGCACCATATGGAAACTTTCTGGGAATGCGGCAGGGAGTTGCAAACACACCATGGAGCCCTGGAACTTTAGAAGACCGGAGAATGATCTGTCAGGACACCTGGCCCCACCCTCACTACACCCGCAGCAACGCAGGGAAAGCTGGGGGGGGGGCAGCAACAAGGGAAAGGGGGCCCCGTCATACATTCATGACTGAACCGCTCTCTGGCAGCCGTCTCTAACCTGGGTGGTACATTCACAGGTTATAAATTAACGGAGGCTCCTCAACAGATTTGCCTCCCTAACAGGATTCCCACCCTCTCTGTTTCCTTCTCTCTTCCTGGCTCCCTCCTCTTCCTTTTCACTCTCCTTTTCCTTACTGCCCCCTCCCCAACTCCCAATTTGGCAAATATTCTACATACTCAGGCAGTCTGACACCTCGAACAAGCTCACAAATCAGAGATGTCTTCCGCCCCAGTCCTGGGAACCAGCAGTGCCCCGAGGGGCCAGGACGCCCTTCTGCCGGCTGAGAACCACATTCTGTGGAATTCTGGCTGATTTCCATCTGTCAGTGTCCAAGCGGGTCTGCGAGGGATCTAGGAGAGCCACAAGCAATGCTTAGAAAGTTGGTCGGATCCTCCAGGTACTTTTCCTAAAATCCCCAAACCTCTGAATGTGCCGGTCTGGGTTGATAGCTCTGCTGGACAAGACCCCCTGTTTTCATTTTGACTCCATGTTTCTAGAACTGTGATTTAGGAGTGGAGGCCATTAAAGCCTTTGGAAAAATCACACATGTAAACACACACGTTTTACACGTATACACATGTATACTGCACTGAGTTTAGCTGTTTCCCAATTCTCCCCAATGGTGGATAAATTCCAAGAATGGATGACCCCAGAATGATTTATATTTGGCTTTGCTGTATGTTAGGCAATTAATGCACAGTGGCATGACCCTCCCATTTGGGCTTTGCTGGTGACAAATGAGTTTGCATTTCTTGAATACTAACCAGCTGGGTGGCGAGGTGGAGCTGCTTAGGGATAAGCTTTGCACAGATGAGCCGCCCCATGGGTGACCTGCGGGTGCCTCCGTCCTCTAGGATGGTTGGCCCCACACACGTACCATAGCCCATTGCTTCTCTGCAGCCCAGACTGGAAAAGGGAGCTGTAAACTCTGAATCACACTACAATCTGAGAAAAATCCAGGTTTCTTTTTTTTTAAACTAGAAGTACTAGACTGGTGAAGGCAGGAGGCTCCATGGCCCACTGGGAGAAGGTCATTCCTATGACTGCCCAGGTTGCCAGCTTACTATGTCTTCTCTTCCAACCATTAAAGTTCTTGTCATACCTGGGGTCTTTCACCCCAGGCCCTGAGGCCTAAGCCCCTGGGATCTGTGTACTCCTCTGAGGTATCCTGCGACCTGTGATTTTACAGAGCAGAGCACAAACTTGGATTGAAAGTCAATAAAGTATTGAATTCCACAGCGAACAGTCTTTTCTTTTGTCAGAATTCCAAATTGGGCCATTGTTAGCACAGACAGACAGGACTAGATACTCCCCTGAATGCACCAGAGCCATTCCCAAAGCTCGGTTCTGCAGGGCCATGTGGCAGGAATTATACCTAGCTTCATAGAAAAGGTCTGTGGTTGTCCCTTGGCTGTGCCCTGGAGCCGTGAGACCCCTCTCTGTCCTCCAAAGCCACAGCAGGGTAACCTGATACTTGCTAATGACCACCAGATGGCTGATGACCACAAGGGGGCATGGCCCTTTGAGCGCCCCTTCAGGGTAGAAGCTATCACTCTGCAGGAGTGTCAGGCAAAGCAGGATGTGTGTCTATGAGGAACCTACAAGCTTTTGCCCAAAGCCATCAGCCTTCAGCAGGGAGAAGAGCAGCATGTGAGCAGGTGCGTGATCTATTCTGGATCCTCTCAGAGCCTGCCCGACCCTGACAGCCAAGGATTGTGCCCGTCGAAGGAGCCCACAAGATAAATCAAGGGGCAGAGAGAAGAAAACAGCAAAGAGGAGTGGGAAGACGGAGAAGGAGATGTTAACCGAGAGATGAGCGGAGGAATTCAAGCTACAAATGCAGCCCAGATTTATTGACTTCTTCTTAAGGGTCAGGCCTCGTGCAAAGTGCATTTTATTTAATCCTTACCACAATCTTATTACAACAGGTGCTATTATTATCTCCATCTTAGAGCTAAGGAAACTTGGACTGTAAGCATTTAAGTAACCTGATCTAAGATGCACAAACTTGCATAAGGCTTAAGCAGTTGTGGAGGTTTGGGAAAAGTGACAACTAAGGTCAGCTCTTGGAACTAACCCCTCCCTGGGGTTGTGCAGGCTGTGTGCTAGCCCTTCCTCAGTTTCTCTTTGAAATGAGAATCATTCTGCTAATCTCTCTCCCTAGCATGTTATGCCGCACAAGTTATATGTATTAATTTGCGGCATCACTAGCCTCTCAGTAATTATCTCCATGAATTCCCTCCTTTCCATTGAAATTAGGTAGCTGGGTATATCATGGTTCCAAATCACTACAGTTGTTGATAGAGCAAATAGAATCAAGTATATAACTACTATACTTGGAAAGGAGACAGCTTTTTTGAAATCAAAATCACAATTTTTTTCTCTTCTTTTAATTTATTTTTATTGTGTTGGAAATTTGCAGACTTATTCCTCACTCGGTCACACTTTCACAACTGCAAGGACAAGGGGAATGAAATTACTGGCCTGCTTTCCAGCTCACTGCACACTCACTGACACACACGTGTGCACACATGTGCATACACGTACACACACGCACATGCAAACACACCATACAGGCTCCCAATCCAATCCTTAGTTTTCTGGCGTACAGGGACTCTGAAGAATTGCTTCAGTAGTTTGAGAATGATGAATGACAATGTTTTTAAAATATATATTTACTGTTGGTAAAGGAAAGCTAAGGAAGGGAGAGAGTAGACGAGAAAAGAAGAGAATGTAAGAGGAACTAAAGACAAAAAGGTGGGGACAGATGGGCCAAGAGGGGTAAGAAGGAGAGGGATCCCAGGAGGAAATGAATTGTAACTCAGAGAAGCCCTTGCTCCTGACAATCATGCCCTTGCCTGTCTGCATTTCCACGGGAGATGAGTAAATTTCTCTCATTCCCATAACTCATCAGTAGTGGTCAGGAGGGAGCCCACCTCCCACCAGGAGGGCTCTGGACTTCATCAGCCCAGTTACCCTGCCTCCAGACATTGGTTTTACACAAACTAAAAAATTCAACTGCACTTCAGAACTCTATTATCTGGCCAAGTGGAGAGCTGGCCATGATGAAAGCTACCCCAGACATTCTGGTAGTGATTCTTCAAGGTAGAAACCTGCTCTGGCTATGTATCTGCTTATGTTCACAGCCCTGAGATACCTGAGTGTTGGACTAAACCAGTGTTACTCAAACTGCAGGCTGCAATCCATGAGAGGTTATTAAATAATTTAGTGGCCTCCACTTATGATTTTTAAAAAAATAAAATAGAATTACTGAAATGCTCAACATATAGAAAGGATATTTTATGAACAGTTTATTTTGGTGGAGTGTGTGCTGTGTGGGTCACAGTCTAGACAGGCTAAAAGCCACAGGATTGAATGACCTGGGAAGTTTCCAGAGAGTCTGTGACCTCTGAGTGAGCTGTTCCCCCAGCCACTTAAATCTTGAAAATATGGGCCAGGATGTCTTCTGATAACAAGCTCCCTCATGTTTCCTCTGTCTATGGGATTCTGTATTTAAGAAGATTCTAACACATCGTGGGCATCCGAAACGTTCCAAAACTTCTTGAGTCACCTCTTTGGACAGCTCCCGAAGAGTGCAGTGGGGGAAAGGGATGACGTAGGGTCAGTGTGAACTGATCTCACAGGAAGGGCATTTAGTACGGTGGCTTCCACACTGCAGAGCCCCCTTGGCTGGCAGGTGCACAGCCTGCCCACTCGCACTTTGCCTGCCCCCCTTCCTGTCTGTCTGCTCCAGCCCATCTGATTGACTGGCTGGCTCAGGCCACCTAATGAGAGGCAACACCCCATATGACAAAGCCCATGCTGTGTAATGGGTTGATTGACATCCTCAGGACGTGATTCCGCATGCAGCCTCACTTGCAGATAATGTGAATGGTTGAGGAATTAAAATGTTGCTCGGTGCTTAATGAATGCAGCATGAGCCTCATGTTAGCACATGCCAGCTGCATCTCTGAGAACCAGGAAGCAGCAACAATTTCTAAATTATTTATCAATTCCCTTACCTCCACCCCAAAAGAAAGTCAGCTTATGCATTTATTTATTTCATGGGCCGATATGCAGAGTAATTGCTTTGGTTTTTTTGTGAGTTTTTTTTCTATAGATTTTATTTTTCTGATGCTACAGTGAAAAAAGAGAGAAAATATCATGTCAATGTCATTTGAATCATAATAGCTACAAATTCACTCTCCTGAATAAATAGAGAAGCTTATTTATCAAACACAGACAAGATGTCTGTCGAGTTGTTAACAGAGGAAGAGAGATTTGAGTGGGCAGGAGCAATTGCAAAAGTTTGCATATCTTCAAAACTCCCTAGGGAGGTGCAAGCAGCTTTTTCCCCAGCTAGGAACTTTCTGTTTTGACAGCTGATTGGCCAGCAAAATTGGCTGTTCCACCTTCACAGGGTGAAAAGGGGCAGGTGGTTTGGGCATCCTAGCTGAGCCTGGACCTGGCAGGTACGAGAGTGCTTGTCCCCATGCAGATTCTTGTCCATTTAAGGCAGAACAATTGGATGAAATACCAAGGCAATAAGCAGATGGAAAGCGTTGGTTGTTCTTACCCATGGCCTGTGGCTCTAGCTTTTTTATTCTGCTTTATTTTTTCATCTTATCCTGGCAGAGCTGGCTGCTGCTCTCTGTTGCAAATCCAAGCTCCGTTTCATCCTTTCCCTGGGTTTCCCCACCCACAACCAGCGCCTCTGCATCTCCCCTCCCCACCCACTGCCACTGTGAGGCCACCTCTGCTAACGTGTGTGGGCTCTGTGAATGCTTCTGTAAGAAGCAGCACAATGTAACTACAATGGCTACTATCTTTGGAGTAGGGCATCTTCTAAGGGTTTTACATATATTATCTCACTTAATTCTCAGGATACATATATTATCTCATTTTATTCTTATATCTTCCTCAGCTATGAGGAAGATAAACTGTTTTTATGACACTTGGGTATAAATGAGAAAACCACATTCCAGGAAGGCTGATGACTTGCCCAAGGTCATTCCCAGGATTTGAGCTCAAAGTCTTGTCCACTACATTATACTGCCATCACAGATAGACAGATAACTGACTGCAGATCAGGAGACCTGGAGGCCATCCCTGACAGCTGAGTTGCCTTGGGCGCTGCCTATACCTCTCTGGGAGTCAGTTGCTAGGCAGCTGATAGGCTCAGTGTCATAATGATAGGGTGGGTTTAGGACAAGATTGCCTGGGGCTAAACCCATGTACTACCACTGAGCTATCTTGGGTAGGTTACTTGAGCTTAGTTTTCTCATCTATAAAGTAGAAAAATGATCATAGTACCTCCCTCACTGGAATGATTTTGATGATTAAATAAGTTCCTACATGTAGAATAATGAGAGCCAAGCTTGGAGCATCGTAAGCAGTCCATGTTCATTATCACTATATAGATTTTGTCTGTGTGTCCATCTTTATAGCATGAGGGGATTCAATGCAATGATATTCTAAAGTCTAATTTGGTTTGGAAATCCTATGAATCTGGTCTGCATTTACATTTCCTTAGAGCTCTGTAGCTCTTTATGGTATTATTCCAATGAGAACAAAATTAGAGGTGAAAGCTGGAGTGACTGAGCCATGGAATAGCTTGCACCTGTGTGTCTCATCTACATGGACACTGCCCGTCCTCTTCTGTGACTCATTTCATATGATAGTATGACCCTCACGTTATCTGCCATGGGCAGGACATGGTTACTTTCTCTGTTTTAAAGACCTGTTCTGCTATTAGCCCGGGGTTAGAAAGTTAGTGGGAAAGTAGGACTCTAATCCATATGTACCGCTTCCAAGAGAGTTCTCAGTTGTCTGAAAGGCAAAGGGATTTGAGCCTTCTGAGTTCAACTCCCAGCAAGGAGGTGCCCTAGAAAAGAAGCTTTTGTCTAACTGTATTAGCCATTTTTCACTCCAAAATAAAAGACTGGGCAAAGCATTCTGGCTGTATTTCACCAGCTCATTTTTCTCTAAACACCAACATTTACCAGCTTTCCTTTTTCTGATGAGAGAGTAATTAATCTTGTCTCCTCTAGACCCTCACACTGGCACACGTTGCTACTGTCTTGAAGGCAGATGGTTCTCTGGGAGAGGAAAGTGAGATAGTCCAGAGCAGCAGGAAGGCTTGAAAGTTCAAATCCTGGCCAATGGGGACCAGCACAAGTTGCCCCAAAGGCTCCCCGAGTTACTTCGAGGCTCTCCTCTGGGAGCCAGCTTTGCACCTGGACATGCTCTCTTGGCTCACAGGCACATGAGCAGGTCAGACCGTGAAAGCAGCCCTGGTCTTCATTTGCATGCAGTGGGACTATCAAAGGTCCTGAGGGGAAGGGAGAGGTGAGAGACTCCTGAACTTAAAAGGGAAAGCAGCCAGCTTCTGGGAGCTTTTGTCAAGCCAGAGGCAGAGAAGTGATGCCTATGAACACTTGCATTTCCACGCTCCAAGCCTTTATTATCTAGACCATGTAATCCATTTCTGAGCTACACTGTGCTCGCCGAGTAGAAATTTCATCTTTCTCAGGAGATCATAAGCTCAAACTTGACAGGAAACCTTCCTGCCATACATTTTTACAGCCTCTGCAGCCTAACATCAAGCTGGGAACATATTAGATGCTCAGTGAATTCCTGAACAATCAAATGCGATTGACCAAACTGAAGCTCACAGACATGTTATTCATACATGAGTATTGTCAGCTCTTACTAACTCAGACTGGGGAGGGCAGCCTCAACCCAGATAACTCCACAAGAATGTCTAATCCCCAAGATAATTCTATCTGTGATTTCTCTAAACACAATGCACAGTTCTGTTTACCTATTTGCCTTCCCAAGGAAGTTTTCCTTGGTTAATCCAATCGCTCATTCAACCAGTTTTTACGGAGTGCTCTCTGTCAGGCACTGTCCTAGGAGATTCAAGGGTGATGAAGGCAGCCCTCATCTCTGCCCACTTGGGATCTATCACGTATGGGGAAAAGACAGATAGGACACCATCATCACATGAGTTATTTTGTTGTAATAGTTACATGTGCTACTGAGGGATGGTGAGTGTTTTAAGAGTGTGTAACGGAAAGCCCACTTAGAGCTGCCTGAGAGGCAGGGTGGCCGTGAGGGAATTAGTCTTATATTTATATTAAAACTTAGGGAATGAGTGTGAGAATTCCAGGGGCATTGGAGGTTGAGGTAACAAGGTTAAGATGAGTTCTCATTTCTGATTATGAGAATATCTGCACAGAAGCATGCCGGTAAATTCACTCTGTCCAAAAGGCAAATGCTTACTCCAGGGTCTCCAGCATAGCCTGCCTTGTTCATGAATGAGAGGGTGGAAGAGCTGCTCCTGGAGGTTCTGTCTGGGGACTGGGGTTGTAGGGATTTACTCCGATCACCAGCTGCTTGTCTTTCCACCCTGAGTGTTCTGTGGAGTCAGTCTGGAAATGAGCTCTTCTTGCCAATGACTCAAAGTAGGAAAAATAAAAATTTGCTTATGGGAGAGATTCCAGTGGGAGCATGGATATGCTATCTGGTGCATAATGGCTGTGAATTCCAACCAGCCTCCTGAAACCAAGACGTTTCAATTAACAGGAGGCACTTCAAACCTGAACATCTCTCTTTCCTGGCTTTCCAGTCAGAATGCTGTTGTATAAATAACAATAAGCTGGCCCCCTCAGAGGCTGTAATTGAGTCTCTTCTTTCTGCTGGCATCAGCGGGATTCCCTTGAGTGATTTACTGTGTGGCTATTTAATTGGGTGACACATGAGGAAGTCAGCCCTGCTTTGTTTAATTACACTGGGTATCCCCCCTGCATGGTGTCAGCCCCCACTCTCTGGAAGGGCTCTCCGGTACCACTCTTGCCCAGGAAATGATTGCAAAGGTGTTTGGGAAGACCAGGGACAGAGAGAAATGGCTAGATGTTTGAAAAAGGAAGGGAATGTGGATAGAAAAGAAGACTGATCCCATGAACAGAATAGTTACCTGGTTTACAGATTTAACTTGTTCTGAACCTAAATAACATTGAGTGTCTGTGTGAGTATGTGTGTGAATGTGTGTGTGTGAGTGTGTATGTGTGTTGGATGTGGCTGTTAAAGGAGGGGAAAGAGCGTTAGAAAGTGCACATAATCACAAAATACAAGTTAGCAAATGTTAGGTGCCTTAAGAAAGACACAGTTATTTTTCCAAACAATTTCAGCACTACTTTCTTCCTGGGTAAAGGCAATGAGGAGAAGGGGGTAAGTGTAAAAAAGCTGATGGGTGTTTGACAATGAATAAATGTAATTTTATACCTTATAATAGCCCTCTGAGGTAGTATTTAGCATACCCACTTGATAGATAAAGAAACTGAGGCTGAAAGACACAGCTAGTAAGAGGTAGACATTCAATCCAGCCTCATGCCTGTCTGACTCCGAAGCCCACATTACTTCCACTACCCCCCAGAGATTGAGTCATCCCTTGATCTTTCTTCAAGCTGCTTGTATACCACATTGACTAATTACTCCGTGAAATATTAATTGATTTTCCACGGTGTACATAGAATAGGTTTTGGTCTCGTAAGAATATGAGGATCAATAATAATACTAATAACAATGAAAATAATAGCCAATATTTCCAGGGTGGTTACTATTTTCTAGGCTTTGTTCAGAATATTTTATAAATATTGACTCATTTAATAAGATACTTGCACTTAGATAACTGGACTTCAAACACATCCCACCAGGCCCTTGAACAGTGAGCCTCTCACCCCTCATTATTTGGGGCTTGGTAGCAGGCAGGAGCAGAGAGGAGGCTGTAATCCACTATGGAGCCCAAGGCAGGCAGGGGTACCTTGGGCTGTGGCATGGCAGCTCCATGTCCAAACACAAATCTCCCATGCTTTGACAACTGCTCCAAGAGGGTTTCCTAAGGGAGTCCATGAGCAGAATGTATGGATCCTGATGGGGAGGGAGAGCCTGTGAATCAATAGGTGAAGGCGTATTCATCAGACACAAACTCATGCATTTTTTTAAGCTCATTCATAGGGGCTCAATTTTCCTCTGCTCCTGGCAATACCACACGTAAAGATAGCTTTTCTCCTCTCAGCAAAGAGGCAGGGATAAGCAGGCTTTCAATAATATTAGAAGAACTAGAGAGTGGACATTACTTAGAATTTCCTAGCTGCAAGGTTTTTGAGAAGCTTGGAAGCATAACTGAGCTAGGAGAGGGAAAATGGAAGCCAATGAGGCGTGGCCATCCCAGGTATAACAGCTCCATGGTGGAGAGGGAGGGGCTCACTCTCTCTCCTGTTCCCTCTGTTTATTTCAAACAGAACCACTCTCCCAGCCAAATCACATGGACAGCTCCAGCCTTCCTTCTCTCAGAGGATGAGGTAGCCCTCTCCCTGCTAAGAGCTGATTCTGCCCCATCTATTCCTTCCATCTCTGGCGTCTTCAATCTCTCCTTCCTTTTGACTACCTTTTCTTGATCTACTTTTCTTTTTCAAACTATTGAGTTTTCCCTTAAAATTAAGAATAAAAATAAACCCTGAACATGTCTTCTTCTGACAATGGTCTTATCTTTCTCCTTCCATTCTCATCCAACTTTCTTTAAAAAGTAGTTCACACCCCCACTGTCTTCACCTCATTCTCTCATTTTCACTCCTCAGTCAACTGCAATCTGGCCCCTAGTCTTACTTTTTCATTGAAATTACTCTTATTCAAGTCAGAAATAATGACCTCCTGTCCAGCAAAAACTACAAAACGCTTTCAGCATGCTCTGATCTTTCTCTGAACATATCCACATCTCTCACCTTTGTAACAGTTGACACAGTTAACCCACCTCCTCCATCTGGAAACTCTTCTTCCTCAGCTCCTGTGGCCCATTCCCCTTTCCCAGTTTTCCTCTTACAGGGTTGGTTTCTTTGGGCTCTAACTGTAGCTCACCTCTTGCTCTACATCTTCTCCTTGGCAATTTCATTTACACTCATGTCTTAAAGTCTCATTTACATACTAGTAATTCCCCAATCTTGATCTCCAGTCCATGAGTTCCACCCCTACATGCCCACCTGTCTGCCAAACAGAGTCACCTGGATGGTTCCCAGGTACCATATGCCTCAGGCTCTTTATATCCAGCATCTCATTCATCATCTATAGCTCCTGCTCTGCTTTCTTCTGAATTCTCTTTCTTGATTTGTAGCATCTCCATCTGCTCAGCTGCCTAGCCAGGAACCTGGACTTTTCAACATTCATCTCTTCCCGTGCTCCATTCTCCAGTCTTGAAATTTTTATTTCAAATATAGGCCCATCTTATCATTCCTGATATCACTCTCTTAGTTATAGGGTATCATTATATCCTTCTTGGACTATCGCAATAGCCCCTATTCTCCTTACGCCACCCAAACCTATCCTCCATACTGCTCCCAAAGCAATGTTTCCAAAATGTGGAGCGGGCCATATTAGTACCCATATTTGACCAGACAAAGTCCAAGCTGCTTTATGTCACAACGAAAGGCTTAATATATGTGATGCTGGGCTTTCTCTCTAGCCTCATTGCCTGCCCTTGCTCTTTAAGGAATAACAATGTCATGCCACTTGTAATTACCCCAAACAATCAAGGCCAAATGTTTTCTAGCTGTCTGCTCAGAGTGTTCCTTCTGCCTGAAACATCTCTCTTCCTCTTTCCTCCACCATCTCATTGACTACATCATCTCTGTAGTCTGTTCTCCCAGTTGGCTGGGCCCGGTTGGTTATAGATATGAGGAAGTAACTTTTGCAAACCAAGCCCAACCTTTTAAGCAGACAGAGTAGATATCTGCCCACATGGTTTGAATGGTGGGGCTTGAGGAAGCTGATAACTAATTATCTTTTATTATTTAAAATTATTTCATTATAGGGTTATTCCTCTGATTTTCTTTGCATTTTTGTTCTTGGAGAGGTTTCTATATATTTTTCTGAGAAGAGTTTAATCCCCTAAACCTTTGTGAGCTCCCACACATGAGAAGGGGGCCATGACAGGTACAGAGGGTGTACCTGTCCCTCTCGGCAAAATGGGACATGAAATAAAAAATTGCCCTGAGGAGGAGGAGGAGGAGGATTGAAATGCAGGGAGCTGATAAACTGCTACATATCACAGTCAACATCACACATCTTGCTTGGGTAAATCATGTGGGATGATCTAGTAAGTTAGGATTCAAGTTAATATTTAGATCACTTAAAATGAGGAAATATAAATATTTTTCCTGAATAATGTAGAATTATCACCCACGAAGCCCTACATTCATTTTCTTAAAGGAAAAAACTGCCAAAGATAGATTGTTTGTTTAATGGGATTTTATGAGATGAGCCAAAGTATAACTGGGCTTTAGAAATGAAAGACAAAGATAATGAACTCAATACCTTACAGGTCATGGGAGACACAGTGAGGAAAAAATGATGTTACTGTGAAAAGATTGGGAAGAGAAAAAAAGAGGCAGGAAGATAAAGACACATTCAAAATATGTATTGACCACCTATTATGCAGACACTGAGATATGGGCATAATCCTTGCCTTGGGTATTTACCTGGAACTTGGCAGGTACTCAGGATAAATATTTGTGGAAGGAAGGAAGGAGTGAAGGAAGGAAAAAAGGAAGAAAGGAAGGAGGCAGGGAGGGAAGAAATGAGGAAAGGAGGGAGGAAAGCCTGTGTATTCTTCTTAGTCTGTGCAAGGTGGGTGAAGTTAACTAAATCTATACTTACTCTTTAGCTTTTCACCCATTTTATGTTCTTGCCTAGGGTATGTTCTTCTAGAAAATTCATAATCCATTCTCCACTAAGGTTAGGGAGCACTCTTCCATGCTATCTACAGACTACATATCAACTCACCGTGTTAAATGTGATGAGTTATTTAATAGACAAGTGAGTGGCAGGGTTGGGGTCTAAAACCAGGTAGCAGCAGGACCCCAGCTAATCATGTACCTGGGCCCTGTGGCCATGCTTAGGATTGGAGAAGGTCTCCCTGCTCGTCTAGACTGCTAGCTAGGCCAGCCATCTGTTACTTGTCTGGAAGGGGGAAGAGAGGTGGCATGGTGCTCAGGGCTGTGGCAGATCCAGTCTTGGTTTCCTAATCAGTCTATTATTTACAGGCTCCAAAGTAATGGGAGGAGGGGCAGGCTTATAACCTGTGATGAGAGGGGTTTATGTGTGTTCTGGGCCAGTTTTGTAAGACAGCTGCCCCTATAAAGGATTTATCAAGACAATAAAAGAAAAAGGAGAGAGCCTAAAGACACTCTAGTGAAAATAGCCTTTTTATGGTATGAGAGTTTAAGAGGGAACACTTTGAAAAGAAGCCACACTTCCCCTGCCCACCCCACCCACCCCTTCTCCTACTCAGCCCACATAGGCGGAAAAGCTCTCTAATCTTTATCTCAGGGGCTAAATACTATAAGCATTTAAAGTTTATTTTTGTCTTATGATGACGTCCAGCCTTCACCACCATACCCCGGATAAGTTTTCCTTTAATTAGGAATGTCTTTCCTCTTTGGGCTATTCTTGTGGATGAAAGTGAGGAACTTAGGGGGCACTTGCTATGCATACCCCGCACCCCGTGTTTTAACAGAGTGATAATAGATTCAGCTCGATAGGCATGTCTTAGGCCTCAGTGATGGTTTGACCCAGACTCTGGGAGGGTAGCACAGCTTGGAGGAGAAAGGGTAATGCTTGGAGGAGAAAGGCGAATGCAGAACCCCAGATGATCCAAGATGATCCATGTAAGAATCACATCTATTTGTATCAGTGTGATCACAAGCAGCAATTATAAGAATCCTAGTCATAACAAATCTCCATCTCAGAGATGAAAAAAAACAGATTTATGAAGTCAGAATACAGCGGAAGCAGTGAAGAAACCCATCCAGATTCCACAGCTATCAAGGAACAGTGCAGGGACCCTAACTCACGTCTCCCAACTCCAAGTCTTGTCCATTCTCTTCTACCCCACTTCTGCATTTGGGTTGATGTTGCCATTCTCGGTGGCCAGAGCATCTAATATGAACCAGGTCCTCTTCTAGTGAATGTGGCTGACCACTGAGTGGGAGGGAGAGGAGGAGAGAGTACAGAGGAGAGGGTTCATTGTGATTCCAGGACACAGAGGATGCGCCCTCTGCTTCCTATATCAGCTTGAATGTTGGTGTCCAGTAAATCATATCCACCCTGTTCTCCTTACTCTCTTCTACCTCCCTGAATAATCTCTTACAACCTCTTTGACTTCATAAAACCATTTACTGATGAGTCTCAAAATACTATTTCCCAGAGAGATATATTTTCTAGATATCTATTCCCAGATGTATCAAAACTCCCTAAAATGCATGTGATAAAACTGCATGTATCAGTCTACTCCCTGCTCTCCATCCTGTTCCTTGTCCATCAGAAGTCCAACTTTATAGCCTGTGGGTCATACTAGATTTCTTCCCTATCCTTACCTACAACGTTTAGCAGGCCACCAGGTTCTGACAATTGCTGTTCCTTAGGACAGTGGAACCTGCTCTCTACCTTCCTTCCATTCCCTTGGGTTACACACAGTGACTTTCTGGCCCACGCTGCACTAGAGACCCAAAGCTGACCTTTCTGCTTCCACTTATTTCTTCTCTCACTGCTTTCATAATAATTCTTCTTAAAGAAACAAATTCAATCAGATCACTCCCCTTTGTAAAATAATCTTTCAGGGCAAGTATTTTGACTTTTCATGGCCCGGTCAGTATCTGCCATTCACATTTCATTTCTTGTGGCACCTAACTTTTCAGCCTTACAGTTTCCTTCATGGAAACTTCCTTTATCTTGTTTTTGAACTCAAAATTTTGCATATCGTGCTTTCACTGCCTTGATTAATTTGCCTTTCTCTTTGTTACGTGGCTACTTCAAATTTGGGAATTACCCCCTACAGGGCACACATCAGGAATTAACTCTTCTAGAGAGCATTTATGGACACCTTGCCTAAGAGGTAGGTAGCATACCAGGGTACCATGCGCATATTTCTGTCATAGTGGTTATTACATTGTAGTGTAATTCTACATTCAGCCAGCTTTATCTGCCTCATCCACATAACTAGGAGACTCTTGTTTTCTACATCTTGTATGTCTAGTATCTAGAGAAATGCCTGAGGGTAGGAGTGTTTAGCAACACCATTGCTAAATGAATGAAGGCAAGCTTCATATGGACTAGTAGCCTCTGTGGTTATCCAAGCACATTCATAATCAGAGACTCTGACCACGGTGGTTATAATTGTTAAAAGTGATGTTCCCATTGAATTTCTTCACCACACAGCTCTATAGGAAGAGACTCAAAACTCTGATGTTCCTACCCAGAAATGGTTACATTTCGAAGATGTCTAGTTTTATCCAATGAAGTTGTTTTAAAATTGAAACTAGGCATCTCAGCTCTGTGAAAGCAGCAAAGTGCTTCTTCGCATAGCCCAGCACCTACATTTCAATCCAGTCTGGTTCTTTACTTGGTCCTGCCCTATGCCTGTGTTGGGTGTTGGGAATAAAATGTGGGTTCCACGCAGCTCCAGGACTTGAGGAGCTTGGTGAACACTCACTCGCCCAGGGCAGCACTGATTCCTAGTGCCCCGCACGCCACCTTGCAAAGCCAGGGGCTTAATAAAGCCTTGTTTATGAGCATTCTGGCCATGATGACTCAATTATCCAATTATTCATAATTCACTTAAATAACCACTAAACTTGTTTTGAGTACCTGCTATATGCCTTTTGTATAGAGATAAATTAGAGACATTCTCTCTGCCCTTGTGAAGCATTTTAGGGCTTGGAGACAGAGAAAAATGTACAACAGGCAATTATAATACAATGGAAAATGTGCTAATAGAAGTCTCCATACAGGGCAGGTTTTCCAGACTGAAGGAAGAGAGAAGAATATTCCAGACAGACAGAACCACATGTATAAAATTTGAGAAGGGTGGGAGAGAGCATGAGAGGTTCGAAGAACTGTTAGAGAGCAGCTGGGATTCATCACAACATGAGAGCAGATGGGTTATTTGGGGAGCCCGGAAGAAGGAATGGTGAGAAAGGAGATTGCAGAGGCAAACTAAGGGTCGCCTAAGGTGGAAGGAAGAGAAAAAGGAGGCTGCAGCCAGACTAAAATTTGGAACTCCTCACCTTGGGCCCTAGAGAGCACCATATGGCTCTGGAACAGCCAGAAAAGTGGGCTCTGCAATTTTCCAGGAAAAGAATGGTTCTGGAAATCTGTGGACCAAATAGAGAACTGTTGAATTAATGTAAGAAAGGGACGATGAGGAAATGATCTGGGGCTGTGGCAGCAGGGATGGAGGGAAGGGAGTGATTCTAAGGTCATTGGGAGGTAAAGGTGCAGGTGATATGCAATTGTGTGTGAGAACGTCAGCACAGAAAGCAAGTCAGGCACTCAGCTGCATGCTGAATTAAAGCAGGTGTGAAAGCTTGAGAAGAAATATTAACATTTTGATAAATTTTTTTTTAAAAAAATCAAAATCAATGTTAAAAAAGTATTAACAAAATATCAAAATTTCAAATAGAGGCAGGATCAGTATTACTGATTTTTCCTTTGGCCTGTGGCTCTGCTATGGCTTGACCTGGTACTCTACTGATCCTAGCTTTATTTAAACTTTTGATCTGTCATTCATCATAGGTTTTTTGCATTGATTTCATTTTGAAAAAAATACTGCATTCAATTATTGTTTATCTTGATTACTTTTTTTTTTTTTTTTTGCACTTTCTTAAATTTCGTACTGAGTCAAGTGCTTCAACCTACTCCTGGCCTTGGAACAGAGTAGTAGCAAGAGAGAGGGTGATTTATCAGGAATGATTGCAAGGGTAATGTCAAGCAGGATGCATTGATGTACCAGCACAATGCCTTATGCCACTGAAGGACAACTCTGTCTGTTCCTTAAAGTGACTTTTCTTGGATAGCAGGATACTACCTTTCCTCTACCCACCAAAAGCTGTCGCTTGATACTAGGCATTTTCACCAAATGAAGACATCATACAGACCCCCCACCTCCACCTTGACTTCCTCCCTCTGAGCAAACTGAGTTTGGGTCTCCCATGACGAAACTCACGTGCAGCTTGTGTACAACTTCCCTAAATGCCACAAATGCTTCAGAACAAGTGTGGAAATTGGTTTCTAAGCTCCAGCAGTTTCTAAAATAGGGGTGGTTTAAAATAAAGCAGTATGATAAAAGGGATTCCTATAGAGCAGATTGTGGGAAATAGCAGTGAGCCTCCAAAACAGAAAACCTGGGGAAAAAGTCAGAAAGGGCATCTAGCCATTCCTGAGTAAGGGGGCGTGGGAGGTAACCGTGGTCTTCCAGGAAGAGTGGCCAGCTCTGTCTCCATTAACTTCAGTCTGGGTGGTGGGGGTGGGGGAAACTCATTTCTTTCCATCCCCTGAAGCTTCTTTTCACTTTATATCCTGGCTTGATGCAGATGTAATATATTCTGTCGGTGAAAAATTTGGGCTGAAAAATATTGTGGCCTTTGAAAATTGAGGAGGGAATTGGGTGGGGGTTTTCCAAATTAATGGCAATGTGCAGATGAATCCACTGGGCACAGTGGGGTAGAAGTAGGGAGGGTGGTAGAAGTGTATTTCTAGACCGATGACTGCATATAAAGCAATGCTTGAGTGAAGAAAACAGTAGAGTAGGTAGAAATGGACATCGATATAGAGAATTTGATACTGATGGATTGTGAATGGAAATTTGAGCTTCAATTTCCTTAGATGAGTGGGAGAGAAGGTTGTCTTGTAAGAATATGGGCTTGAGGTGAATATTTAGCAGAATATTGAAGGTCAAGAGAAGTAGAGATTGAATTAGCCAAAGATATCGAACGCACTTGGAAAAGTCCTAGAAGATCCCCTGAACGTGGAGACGGTGAAAGTGTGTGGCTCCCATCTCCACAATTACATGATTTGTGTCTCTGGCTGTGCTCAGCTTTCTGGGCAAAGGCTTGGAGAAGGTGAGTCATAGGACTGACCCCAGTTTGGGAAGACGCAAGGCCTGTGAAGTGTGGAGGGTACTGGATGGTGGAGAAGAAGGGGGAGAACTTCAGATGTGGTTAATGTCAGGGCAGTGTCTGATGTGGCCAGCAATGGCAAACATGAGCCGTGCTGCTAAGCCTCAAGCTTCCAAGTATTATGCAACCTTTTCATAACACTAGAAAGAGCTGAGGGAGCTGTGTGGTTGCAGGGCCCTGTTGCAGGGAAGCACCCTAGGTCAGCATAGGCAGCCACACAGCCAGTGCTTTCTAGCAACTAGGGCCTCTTTGGTCCTCTTGGCCTCCCCTTACCATCACTATGAGCTCTGCATTGTTAACAGTACAATCTCTGCTTTTGAAATGTAGCCACACAGCCCCACCTTAGGTTAAAAAAAATTAAAAAATAAAAAATCCTTATTTACTTCTCTGGGACACATTTAGGAACAGGCCTGTTATAGAAGACATTGCCTTTGTAGCATGTTAAGTTCCCACTAGTCCTCCTACTCATAATGAAAATGCTCATATATGGGAACCAATGATGAGGGCATAATCCTCAGGTTGATAATTAAGATAGATGCCGCTAACATTTCTTAAACCATGCTGCATACAGCTGTCAGGGCAGGAGGGAATTTGAGAAGGCGGTATATAATTAACCTAGTTGGAATTGGGCCAAGGGACCCAAGGTTAATGGCCCTGGGAATGGGAGCATTAATGACCATTAATGGTCAAGCCCTTTTTCATGTCGTACTCATTAGAGCTACCTTTTATATTCTGTAAGATCATGGCCTTTGGCCTCAGGACCAAGGGTAATGGAGAGTTGCCACTCCCCCAGACAATGTGTTCTGCATTCTGACAGCTTCTGTCCAGCTCTTGATTCCCCCCACCCATCACAATCTTCAGGTGTAGTGTATAGCAGATCTCAACACACTCCAGCCATCTGCTGAGCCCTGCTGATGAGAGCTGAGACATATACATCATGCATATTCATGGGCAAAAATTGTTTCAGGTTTTTATTCAACAGATCGACAAAAGCGTGACATCCTCTTGCTTTTACCTGTTTGGCTCTGGTGTTCCTTTCTCTATACAGTCCCTGGGTGAGCTGGAATAGAATCTTTAACCACTCTGGGATGTGTCCTCCCTCCATCATATTTGATGGCCACAGGAATCATTAACGTGAATCTTCACAGGCTTGCACGCTGCCTTGATTGACAAAGAAACTGCTATTTTTGTCCACTCTGTTTATCCTTTCCCTATACCTCCAAAAGAGATTTAACCTCCAAAAGAGATTTCTACCTCATAAGCTAATCTTCTGTGATAAGCTTTTATGATGCAAATTTGGGAGAGTGGATAGACAGAGACAGAACTAGAGTAAAGGAGATGAGGGTACAGATGCATGGGAGAGAAGAAAAGGCAGAAACAGAGCAAAAGAGAATGAGAAAGTAAAATTCACTATGGGTGTGATTTGTGTGGGGGAGTCGAGCATGGGTCCTGGGAAAAAGGAAGCTTCAGGCAGCTGTGTTGTATGTGAGAGAAGAAGCACACGCAGAGGAAAGTTAATTTTAAGAAGTCTAGCTGATGGTTATCAAGCAGATCTCTTTTAATCTTCTTAGAGGGCTACAGGTAAACACTGGTATTAGTTTTAATTGCATCAGGTTGTTGAAGCATTTTCCTTTGCATGGAAACCCTCAACACTGGGTCATATGGGGTTCTGGGATGACATGAGTTTCCACATTTAACTGGAAGGCTGAAGTCAAAGCTTCGAGAGAAGCTCAAACAGGGAGAGTGGCTTTGCCTCCTCCTTCACCTTAGTATTGGAAATACATTCTGTGGTTCCAACTTTCCTAATGAGTTTTAAAAACTGGAGTGTGTTGAATATTGCCAAAGACCAAGAAGTCCCCTACTCTCTGTGGTGAGAAGACTGTCAGGGTTACACATTCGTTTCAATCCTCACATCAAGTCTCAAGAGTGGGCATTACAAACCCATTTGTAAACGTGCAAACTGAGGCCTAGTGCCATAGAGCGACTTACTCCTTTGTGGTCATGAAGTTAATAAGAAGCAGCTCCACTCGGAGTAGGAGTCTGAATTTTTATAATAAAAGGAATGGTGAAGAAAGGAGAGACACTGAAAGTGGAAATTAAGTTCTTAAGGAGAGGCGGGAATTCAATGAAAGCTACAGGGCTCTTCTCCAGCTCCCCTTGCCAGGCTCATCTGGAGGATTCTCTAACACTCAGTGACTTTGAGTCTTTGTTGGGGGAGTGAGAAAACCAGCAGCAGCGAAGAAGAGCCGCTGTCCCTCCGCTGCGTTTCACCCTGCGTGAAAGCCTCAGCTGGCTGCTGGCCTCTGCCCCTGCCTAGGCTCTTTCTTTGGACCCAACAAAAGGGCAGTGGGGGAAGCAGAGCCTGTCTTCTGCCCTTGGCAATTAAGGTCCAGGTAGAGGCAGGACAAGGAAGACTTCTGCCTGGCGCTGCCGGCCTTGGCATTTCCTCCACGAACCTGCAAGAGAATTCATGCCATTGAATCACCCATAATCAGATGCAGTGACTATCATTTTTTTGTGTGTGAACATCTCACTGGCTGAACACAAACATCTCAATAGCCATGGCGCCCTAATTTTCTTTGTCGGAGACAACAAAACCAAAGGTAATGAGCAGGAGGAGGGACTGAGTCCCAGGGGGCACATTGTCTGGAGGAGTCTCCTGGGCTTAAATACATCTAAAGTAGATCCAAAAGAAAGCAGTGATTACAGGCTAATTTTCTGCCTGCATTATGTTAAGTGTCCTGTCTCTACACAAATGGCAATTGCTTTATGCCAGAAATCTTTTACTGAATTCCTCTTATTGGTAAATTTTGTATTAAAAAAAGAGAGAGAGACAGACTAAAGAAAGGTTTTTTTCAATTTAAAGGTGAGACTATGAGGATGCCAGTAAAAGATACAAGACTGGCACATCCCCAAGAGTTGATTTTCCTTTTCAAATGCAAGTATTGGAGAAGGCAAAATGGTCCTTCCTTTGAATTTGCCAGTTAAAGGGTGGAGGCTCCCAACTTGAGCTGGAGGAGGACACAGCGCTGCTTCGGGCAGCACACAGGGTTCTTTGCTGAGACAGCTGAGGGGGCTGAGGCAAGGGGCAGAGGTGAAGAGAGGCTGATGCATTTGGCCCTTCCTTAGTCATCAGATGGCCATCCACAGGAGAGTGAGACGGACACCTGAGACCCTCTTCCTCCTGCGTAGACACTGCCCCTTTCCCAGGAGCAATGAGAGTCAGCCCAGCCATGTCACTGACTGCCTCTTCCTCTTCCAGTCTGGGTCTGAAGTCCTAAAGACATTTTTTTGCATGCTCTTCCTTCATTCACTCCTCATTCGTGCTGTGAATACCTCCTAAGCATCTTCTATGTTGCAGACAGTGGGCCACACCCTGAGAATTCAAAATATAATTATAAGAAGGAAGTGGAAATTATGATAGTCAAACAGAAATGGAACATAAGCATTGAAATCAGAGAGATCTGAATGGAAAATTCCACCAAACCCCTCCTTGCCTTGAATAAATACCAAGATTTTATACTTGAAAAATGGAGTGGGAGGAGGGGACTGCTGACTCCTGCCTCAGAGAGTTGTGGAAAGGATTAAATAATATCTTTAAAGCAATTAGCATAGAGTCTGTAGTATTCAATGCCCAATAACCACTTGTTGTTTCTGCCCTTATTTGAAATTCTCAGTTGGTACCAGAGCCTTCCCCTATCCCAGAGATGCATCTGACTCACAACCACCAGGGCATCAGGCCCTCCAGGCCAAGAGGCACGTACCTTCCCTAAGTAAAATGCAAACCTATGGTCCTCTTGACAGGAGGCTGGGAGGAAGGATGAAGGATGAAGGCTGTGACATGGCCACCTGGTGGGGCAGGGGAAATTTGGGATCAGTTCCAAGTGAAGGCAATGGAGATGCGAGAGAGGCCCTTCTGTGCCAGCTACCACAGCAGGCATTTTGTATAGATTATTTTGCAGGTGTGTGTGAGGGGTGGGACTCCCCATCCAATCTAATCTCAACAACTCCAGGTGAATGTTCGAGGTGAGGTCAAAAGACAAATACAAAAGTGCAATGTCCCAGAGCCCCTGAAAAAGCTAAGCCTTGGTCTTTGGCCACCAAGGCATGTCTATTTCTGAGGATGTGTGGCAGGACCATTCATTCCAAAAAGAAATGAAGATTTATGTTACATCTGAGAATAAGTAGTAAATTAGCAATAAGTCAACTTTTCATCCAATATCCCCTGCAGACAGGGTATTGATACCAGGAAGGATCAGATTATTCTCCAACCATCCCGAATGGGAAACTGGGACTTAATTTATGCTTGTCTGTATGTGCCACATGCCAGTGCTGAAATGGGTATTGTGATTTTCTTGACTGGTTACCTCCAGTGTTGAATGCAGCCTCAAGGACATGACTGTGAGGAAGAGAAGGAGGATATTGGTCTTCATTTCTCGAGATCCTAGGCAGGGAATGCAGTCCACACTTCACCTATGATGAGCTATGTGACCTTGGGCAAATTATTTCTTTGAGCATGCTATAGCCTCTATAAAATGGGGATTGTGACATCTGACAGAGTTGTCGTGAGGTTCAATTTAGATAACACAATTTAAATACCAAGCAGAGGAACCGCCATTTACTGGACACTCAGTTGATATTAGTTCTCTGACACAGAATACAGAATGAAGGACACTTGGCAAGGGTTTAGTGTTTGATGATGATGATAATGATAATAGCAGCATTACTGTGGGTGTTCAGAAAAGAAGACAAACACGGGACTCTATTGCCTCCAGAACTTGGCAGGGAGTTGAGTGCTAGAAGTGGAAATGGGGGTGGTTGTAGCTTTGCTGATTCATGCTACCAGAAAGGCACTGAAGTCCCAGTTCCAGGCAGCAGAGTCATCTACGGCATGCAGGACACCACGTTGTACAAGAATGTAGGTTCATTGTGCTGCTTGGTCACTCAGCTCAATCTTCTCCATCTCAGGTTACCCAGGGCCAACTTTCAATTCATCTCCTTTCCCAGCAGTGAGGATGCTCTTCAATGGGGATGTCTCTCAGCTCCCTGACCTACAGCCACCTAGCATCACCTCTTATGAACCCTTTGGAGCCTGGCAGAAATTGATTCCCAGATTGAGTTTTTCTGGTCAGGAATAAGCAGGGATGTGAAATAACTGAACTCCATACAATTCCGCCTTTTGGATCCACTGGACTTTGGAGCAAGTTTCCTAAGACACTGGATTATCTCATGGTCAAGGTGAACATCTCCCATCACCCTGGCAGCCTGTCACCTTCTTCCTTTCCTTCTTTTCCTTTCTAACCACATTCTTCTCCAGCTTCTCTTTCTCCTTTATCTGCTCATTTCTCTCTCATTTAGTCTTGCTCAAAATTGCTCTCAAAGATTCTTTTTCCTGCCATCCCTCTTAGGAAGCAGACGAATAGCGGGATGCCAGCCCTGGATGGACCATAAATAATGCATAATGCCCAGAAAGAGCCAGAGTGGCCCTCTGATTACAAAGAGAATATCTTTTGATAACACATTATCCTATTTACTCTTTGTAATGCCACCAGTTCTTCATTCAGTAGCACCACGCACCCACTTGCTCACCAATTTGAAACCCCAGCAAAAAAAACAGTGTTCCTGCTGCTGTCTGATCCTGGCTCCACCACCAGGAGGGCCTGTCAGACATCCTCTTCTGATGCCTATGCTGCCATCCCTGGGCCCCTGGAAGCCTGCCAGAAAGGTGGTCAGTCTCTTCTCCATTCAAAGCATATGTTTATCTTAAACTCTTGTTATAGCCTCGTGTTTTGATTCTTGCTGAACTCTGGAGAATATAAAGGCCTCTAACTCAGCCCCCTGATGTATACAAACATAGTACTGAATAAGTTCCATATTCAGGACCCAGGGCTTAATGAATACTGGATGCCCCAAACATAACCCTGCAGATTATTATTATTTCCAGTTTCAATGAAGGAAATTATGACTCAGATAAGCTAATTGATTGGTTAAAGGTTACCAAGCTAGTAAATTATAAACCCCCAATTGAAATCCAGTAGCCATGACTTCCTGTTCTGTTATCATTCTTTCTTTCTATGGGTTAGGATTTAGAATTTGGAGACAAGGATAGGTGAGTATATTAGCCAGGGTAACAATAGAAAACAGAATTTTATTTTATTCAAGTGAAGATATGGTATTGAGGAGACAGTTTACAGAGGTTACAGATAGGGTAAAGAACACCTAAAAGGAATGTGGAGACACTCAGTGGTTTGTAAACAAGAAAGCTCTTGCTACCCCTAGGCTTAAAGAAAAAGGGGGAAGGGATAATGTTTTGGAGCTGAGGGGAAGGCTGGAGCCATGGAGGAAGGTCCGCCTGCCGGATCTCTAGCTTGGAAGGCTTAAACACTGACAGGTGCAGCTCTGGAGAAGGGACGGAATGGGGAAGAGGACCACTTTCTTTGTTCAGGCATTTGCCAAGTTCAACTAGAAATAGCCAGTGAGGGAGAAGGTGATAGAGTTGGTGGGGTCTACATTTCCTGGCACAGACCAGAGCTGGTAGTGGGGAAGAGTTTGGAAAGCAGTCAACACATAGCACCAGTGCCTGGTCCTTCTTCACAGGGCTGTGGGTAAAAGAGCCACTGCCTTCCTACCCAGACTCTATACCTACAGGGGGAATCACCATGAATCCAAGAAAACTCAGGCTTCAGGGGCTTTTCCCATTATGTATTGCTTCAAAATACTCCACCCCAAAACTTGGGGGGTTCAAACAAGAATGACTTATGATTTCTTATGTTTCTGTAGGTTGGCCGGGTGGTCTTTCTGCTTTTTCGTGGTGTCAGCTGGAGTCACTCACACAGCTGCATTCAGCTCGGAGCTCAGCTGGGTCTGAAACATACAAGCCAGCCCCACTCACACTCTAGGCTTTTCAGTTCTCTGGCACAGAACCCTGATCTCTGCACATGATCTTGTGTCATTTTATTTCCTAGCCTGAACTTTTTTTTATGGTGGCTGGCTTCCAGAAGGGCAAAAGCCGTCAGGCCTCAAAAGACCTATGTCACTGCCTGACACAGCATTGCCTCTGCCTCATTTTATTGGTCAGAGAAACTTGCAGCCCAGCCCAGATTCAAGAAAAAGGGATATAGTTTCCACTTCACGATGGCAAGTGCAGCATGTGCATACAGGGTGGGAGGAATTCTTGGAGGCCTTTTTTTGGCCAGTCCACCACAGTCTGCCTTCTCACTATAGCAATTCATGCCCTTCTTATGTGGAAAATATATTCCCCCTCACACATCCAGAATTTTCATCCCATTATTACATCAAACCAAAATCCAATAATCTGTATTGGGCTGAGATGTGACTGTGGCACTTCTTGGGCTAAAGAACTGTGAGCTGAAAATACAAGGTAAATCCCACTATATCCAGCATATGATGGTGATATAATGCTAATACAAGCGCAGGATATTTGCAATAAACACTGGAATTTAAAAAGGCAAAGAACAGGAAGCACATCACAGTTACTGGCCCATAACAATTCTAAAATCCAGGAAGGCATTCATTCACTGTGCATTAAGCCTTCCTGGGAGCAAAGAATTTTCTGTGATTAGCATCAAGCTCTGCCTCTGTGAGGGTTCTTGATTCAAGCCAGAGATCCAGCAGGTGGACCTTCCTCCGTGGCTCCAGCTCTCCCCTTGGTTCCAAACATTATCTCTTCTCCCTTTTTCTTTAACTGTCATTTTCAACTTTTGGTTGATTCCACCTTCTGGCCTCTTTGCTATGCCCTCAGATTCATTCTTCCTTTTTCATAAGAAATGGCCCATGTTTGCAGCTGAATAACTTTCTCAGCTTGCTTTTTTCCCCGTAGAAAGCTTGTGACTCAAATGCCTCTTTTCACTTTGAACTTCCTTATCCCTTTATTCAACCCGGTAGTTCTCCCATCATGATAATTCTCTTTAAAATATTATGTGCCATTCATTGACCTCACCAAGGGTTCACTCTGTGCTCCATGCCCTAGCATAATTCTTTCAGCAACTAACCTCTCGCTACTTTGCGTGTGTAAAGCAACATCGCTATGATTTCCAGGACTTCTTTTGTCTGACTTGGAAGGTCTAGGAAACATTGCCTTGAATCTTCTAGAATTCTTAAGAAGGTATCCTTCAGCCACAGCTTTGATTTGATCTTTACCCGAAGGCCCATATTTTGTGAATCTTTGCCACCTGGAAAACTATGCTGGGGGCCCTTACGTTTTCTTCATTTTTTCTTGAAAATTGGCCAATTCTTTGGCTCCTCTCTCCTTTGCAATGCCTCAACATACATTACTAAAAGAAGCCACTTAGCATTTTCAATTTTACCTGGCCTTAGCCAAGTTCACAATGTATTCACTTACCTCTCCATTCTCCGAGCCTCTCCTCTTTACTCTCTGCCTTAGTCTTTTTCTGTTGCTATAAAGGAATATCTGAGGCTGGGTAATTTACAGAGAAAAAAGGCTTATTTGGCTTATGGTTCTGCAACATAAACAAGAAGCATGGCCCCAGCATCTGCTTCTGCTGAGAGCATCAGGCTGCTTCCACTCATGGTAGAAGATGAAAGGGAGCTGGTGTGCAGAGATTGCATGGCGAGAGAGGAAGCAAGGGTTGGGGGAGGTGCCAGTCTCTTTCTAACAACAAGTTCTCACAGAAACTAATAGTGAGGATTCACTCACTACCGGGAGAATGACACCAAGTCATTCATGAGGGAACCATCCCTATGAACCAAACACCTCCTACCAGGCCCCACTTCTAACCCTGGAAATCAAATGTCAACATGAGGCGTGGTGGGGCCAAACAAACCATATCCAGACCAGAGCTCCCCCTAACCTGCTACATGAGCTCAAAGCCAATACCACAAGTCTTAGACTTTTGTCATGACAGCATGACACATCTAATAAAATTTCATTGTCTGTTGTTTTCATTATCTATTGCTGGGCAGAAAATCTTCCAAAAACTTAGTGGCTGAAAACAACAACAAGTATTTCCTTGCTCATGATTTTGCAATTTGTGCAAGGCTCAGCAGGGTTGACCCAATGCTGCTCCACATGGTGACAGTTGGAGTCATTTCCATGGCTGAATTCAGCTGGGTGCGCCTCTGAAGTTGAAGCATCCAGAAAGGCCTTATCTGCTTATGTTTTGGGATGGTCTAGTGCAAAAAGAGCTAAGAGAAACAGGGCCTGTCACTTGAACTGTCTGCTTGCAAGATTGTGGAAGAGGCACTAAGAAGATAGTCACCTGGTCATGTTTTGTAAACTACTAAAGTGAGACATTTTAACTGCAATCAATCAGGACTTCCATTGCTTTTAACCTGACATAACATTCATCATATTGCAGGTGGCATTGCGATGGCAAAAAGCATTTTTGGGATTCACCTGAGAGAAATTTGAGTTGGGATGCCTTGAGTTTGCATTTAATCAAATGTACTTTATGTACCACACATCCTGTCTATGCATATTACATTCTTGCTAGCTGTTCTGCTGTAGGGATGGCTTTCAGAAATGTGTCTACTGCCTACAATGCAGACACAAGTGTCTCCCAGAAGTCACATGGTACAATAAGAACATGTCTCATGTGGCCCAGTATTGGGGATATGTGAAGAGTGGAAGAAATTTGAAACTAGTCTGTGGAAAGTTCTACCAAGTATCATAGACCTTGAAAGAAACTCAAAGTTTTTCAAGACCAACATCCTAAGAATTTCTATAACGTTACCAATCATGATTTGGGAAGCTGAAAGAAACTGTCTTGAGCTATCAATTTAAAAAAATCAGTCAACTATGCCAGAGTTTATACCGAATTATCTTTCTATTCTTTCTATAGGAAATGGTAACATAAAATTCTTTGCATCTGAAGATGTGATAAAAAGTATATAGCTAAGAATATAGGAAAATATTACAGAAGTGCATTGGGGAGATATTTAATAACAATATTATTTTCCTGGAGTTTCTGATGTTTGTGGGTATATTTTAGCCTTTAAAAAATTATTACTTGTGATTTCTCATTTTAATTAAATACTCACATCCATACCTAATTTTATATTTGTAATTGCATATTCTTTTCTTAAAGAGCACCTCAAAATGGCATAATATTCAAGCCCCACTGATCTGGGCCCATGTTCATACCTAGACCAGAGGCTTCACTCTGAAAGGCAATGTGAACATATTAACTAATAAAGTACTGGAGTTGGTATTATCTCCCAGCATGAAGAAATCACGTTCAGTGTAAAATGACTCATCTGTGTTGCAATTCTGGGGAGGATAGGGAATCAGAGGATACCAGAGCGAGATAAGACAAGATGAGGAATGAGAACAGCTAAGATGAATGTCACCTTCTTCAGTGGCTTCAGAGACACATATGGGAATGGTAACTTTAGGCCACAGGACACGCTCAGATCTGGTGAAGATCTGGGGACACAGGGAGAGCAATGCTGCTTATAATCCGACAATAATAACATAACTCATTTTCCTGATTATTTTGTATTCGGCACTAGCTTGAGCACTTTATATGTATTAACGCATATGATCTGCCTAACAACTCTGCAAGGCAGTTTTGATTGCCATATCCATTTTGGAAATGGAAAGAAGGCATGGAGACATTCAAGAATTTGCCCTAGGTCACTCTGCTGGCACCTGCTGGAACTGGGGTTCCATGAGTCCATCTGCTCCAGAGGCTGCTGGCTTAACAACTCACACCTTTGCATTTGTATAGCACTGTGCAGTTTATCAAGCAATTTTACATACAGCATCTCACTTACAGTCCTAATAGCCCTGAAAAGTTGGCAGGGCAGTTACTGTTACTCTCATTTTGTGAGTGATTAATTGAAATCTAAAATTGCAAAGTGACTTATTCATCATCACCCAGCTATCAGTGGTGGTATTAGAGCTGAAAGCCAACCCTTGAGTGCATTTCATTTTCTCACATTGTGTATTAATAAATTTCAGCTATAGTTATCTTCAAAGACATCTTTATGTATAACGCTAACACAGTACCTTCCACAACTTCATAAAAAGGCATTGTTATTATCCCAATGTTACCAAAGAAAAATATGTAGCTTAGAGAAACAAGTCCTGGTGGTATGGCTCCAAATTCACAAGCCACACTCTCTCCTGCACAAGCAGCCATGGCCCCGGTCTACCTGCTAAATCCCACACAGGACTTGGCCCTTCCGATGCTAGGGGAACAGAAGATGGATTCAACACCTCAAGACTTCAAAGTGCACAGTGGGTTCAGGGGACATTAAATAGATCCATGTGTCTGGAGCATGAATATCAAGTTGAAAAAAATGGGACCAGATGATGGGGGCTTTGAGTACCATGATGTGAACGTTAATTTGCAGGGAGTGAGCACTGAGTATACGCAGATCTGTACTAGATTCTGTGAACAAACTGAATACATAAAAGTGTAGTCTTAAGCTGCAAACTGTTTGGCCTCTTGTCTAGGAATAACAAACCTGTATGAGAGAAGCAGGAAAAGAAGCAACTTAGGGCCAGGTGTGGTGGCTCATGCCTGTAGTCCTAGCACTTTGAGAAACTGAGGCAGGCAGATCGCTTGAGCCCAGAAGCTCAAGACCAGCCTGGGCAACACGGTGAACCTCGTCACTACCAAAAAAAAGAAAAAAATACAAAAATTAGCTGGGCTTGGTGGCACATGTCTGTAGTCCCTAGGCTGGGGCTGGGGTGGGGGTGCTCAAGTGGGAGGATCACCTGAGTCCAGGGAGGTTGATGCCGTAGTGAGCCGTGATCACACCACTGCACTCCAGCCTGGGTGGCAGAGTGAGACACTGTCTCAAATAAAGCAAATTAGAAGTATTTATGAAAGAACAGATAAATGACTTAAAAGACAATTATTATAATGTCCACCGTGTTTTAAGATCATGGAACCATACATTAAAGGGAATAATCATAACCATAATACTTAAAATGGCCCCAAGACCCATGGAAAAAAAGAGCCCTGCTTTCTCTGTGTGTTTCGTTTTAAGGTGACTGAGCAGGTGATCCAGGTTGCAGCTTCTCTGGTGGCCATTCATAAAGGGGAAAATTCTCTTTGAACCCACAGCTCTTTGGATTAATTTTTCTTCAGCTCCTGAATGGACAACAACCACAACAACAGTGCTGATAGCTGCCATTGGCTCATGGCTTACTGTATTGGGTAACTCACGTGTATTACATCTGATCTGAAGCCACTCTGCAAGTTAGATACTGGTACCCCCATTTCACAGATGGGGCAGTGAAGCCCAGAGACATTAAGTGACTTTTCCAAAGGATAAATCACAGTTAAACACAGGTATAGAAGAATGTAAGCCCCAGAAACTTTTTGCTACACTGTACCTCCCTATTCCTTTACCCAGAAACCAGTACTAGAATTTCATTTTCTATTCCATCAAGGCTGAGAACTCACTATCATGTTCACAGCATCCACAACTGAGCTGCACCTCCATAGCCAGCCTATGTTTTTCTCTGTAGCCTCTTATTTCAATTCTGCTTTCATGCCAAATTTATTATCATTTCTCCTCAAATACCTTTTATTCTTATACTGCTAAATATCTGTCATTCAGCAAGTCCTATTTACCTAGATTTTATCAAGTACTGTACTCAACATGTACAAAATTCTCCCTCTCTAGAATGCACTTTCCCCTGTCTCTACCCTTCAAGATCTTATATATCCTTTAAGGTTATACTCTTACAGGTCAGACACATAGAAAATGTAAACAAATTGTTACTATTGTTATTATTATTATTTTCATCATCAGTTTTCCAATAAAACTTTGAGCTCCTACAATGTCTAAGCTCTGTGAGGTAGCAGAGATAAAATTACCAATAAGCCATGATATTGACCCCCAGGAGCTATGATCAGGTTGTGGGAGGAGAGGGCTATTTGGCATGAGCAGGTGGTAACACACAATAGAGTACGGTAGGAACAGCTAAACGTGCCATGGAATATAAAATCCATTTTGGCATTCTGGTAGAAGGCTTTCCAGAGGAGATACTAGCTCATGCCTAATGAATATGGTGAAGTTAGCCAGGCAAATACAACTTCCATGTTATGGTAACCAATTGAACCCATTTGCTGGGGCTGGGAGTTTTTGTGAGATATGGAACTTTCAGAGCTATAACTGGGACAGTCTGGGGCAAACTCAGATGATTGGTCACTCCATTGCATGTGCAAAGATGATAACCATGGTCTGGCAAAATATCTTGAATGAACGCATAAATAAATGGATGAATGTTTCATCTATCCATGAAAAAAAAATATCTCCTACCAACTGACCTCCTTCCAAATATTTGCTAGCCAACTTGACCTGAGTCTATGTAGCTCTGCCCTGCAAGTTCCCGTCCACTGTGAACATTCATTCTGGGG
Source organism: Homo sapiens (assembly GCF_000001405.40). NCBI lineage: Eukaryota > Metazoa > Chordata > Mammalia > Primates > Hominidae > Homo > Homo sapiens. Next base: position 131,494,809 of record NC_000011.10, read on the forward strand.
TTTATGTCATAGCAAGATTTTAACAATGAAGATGCAGCTGTCACCAGAAGGTGGGTGGAGGCAGCTCTGGGAAATCACTTTCTCTCTCCCTCTCTTCCTCCCAAGTCTGTGTGCTTCATTAAAATATGTATGACAACATTTCTCCTCATATTATTGTATCACACCATCCTTAATTGCATAATTCAACATTTTCAAGGGTATTTGGAGGAAATTTGGATGGTTCATTGACTATTATTTGAAGGAAGCTGAGAATTAAATTTAAAAACATGAGGGAAAATTAGTAGTAGAAGAGACTGATTGAAGGGCTGACATGGGCAGACTCTGAGCTTTTGGGTCCTGCCCCCTCTCCACTTTCACTGTTTTTGGGTCTTTGGGCCTACACATAGCCGCTAGTTCCCAGCATGGTCCCAGGGGACAGCCAGCACAACCTGCCACTTGCCATTCAAAGAATCCTGCTGTCGGTAGTCCTCTCTCCCACACTCCCCCGCCCCTGTTGTTTCTGTTGTCCTTGTTTGTGATTTTTGACATGCGCTTTGCAGATTGCGTGTTTTTGCTTGCTCTGTTGAATGCACACGTCCTTGGCTGATTGCAATCATGCTGATTGGGAGCTGTGGCCCAGGGGCCAGGAAAGCTCTGCACTGCCTGTGCTGCGGTGGGGCTTGCTTTTGCCTCTCTGCCCCACTAACTTTCCTCTCCCATGATGGTTTCCTGGAGCTTCTTTCTGGCCGCCTATGCGGTGCTGGGCCAGTGTGGTCGATACTTGGGAGTAGGCTGCCCTCCTTCTCTTGGCTCAGGTGCTGAGATCATGTGCTGCAGCCTGGGAGTGCGGCCAGAAGAAGCCGGCCTGGAAACAGGGTTGAGCAGGGTGTGGGTTGCTCAGGGCCTCCAAGGCCCAGGGCAAACATTCAAGCCCCAGACTGCTTCAAGCTGGGGAGGGGGATTGGGCCCTCCTTGAGGCTCAGCAGAAGGCCCCAGGTTAAAGTCAGCTTCTTGCTCTTGCTCCCAGCCAACCCTAACTGATTGCTTCCGCAGGGAATGTGCACAATGATACATTTGACTTCATTGGTGGGATGGATTTGCTAGCAAAAGAGACTGCTGGAGGGTGAAAGAGGTGTCAGTTTATCAAAAGGATGTTGAGGGTTTGAAAAATGATTGCAAGAAATCTGAATTCTTTTCCAACTCTGCCGAACTTGAGATGTTTGGCTAAATTCAAAGCTGAACTCATTAGGATTGAAGGAAAGATGACTTCTGTGGAAGCCAGTGAATGTCCCTTGATGAAGAGCTCAGAAGGAAACAGATCTCTCTCTTCCCACATCTCCCCTGCCACTGGGATTTTCTGGGTGCAGTTCCCACAGTGTGGCTAGAGAGTAAGAAGCATTTTAGGGTTCTTTCCAGTTCTGGAATCTAGAAGTCATAGCTGAGAATAACCTAGACAGCAGCTTTTACACCCCCTTCACCTCAAAGGATGATGCATTCAAGGTCCTGCGGACAGTCAGCTGGAGTTCAGCCCCATGTCTGGTGATGCTGCATCTGTGCACCTGTCCCTTGGCAGCACTTCTGCAAACCCTACCTTTCTCTCTGGGTGATGATGCTCACCTGAAAAAGGTCCACCCTTTGTGATAGCACTCAGCGTCTTGCTGCAGACAAAGCAGTGGGAAAAATCCCTGGGCAGGCCAGGGCCGGCACAACCGCAGCCAAATGTAAAGGCCACAGGGGCCACAGACATACCTCATCCCCTTCATTGCTCCCCCGAAGGGTCCACCAGCAGCTCTGGGAGCCATAGGCTGAGTGAGTGAAGAAGAGCAAAGCCCCCTTCACTGGGAAAGTCATTCTGACCCAGCATCTTCATCAGCTTATTTGGGGGCATTTAGCTTGTTCCAGTTCAATAATGCATTCAATAAAACCGTTAGTGCCTGACATGAATCCCAAATGGGTGTGTGGCTGCCAGGCATGCTGGCCCAGACAGCACCTCCTCCCCCTATCTCCTTCAAATGAAAGCCAGGTGATATTAACATGATTAGCATGGATAATACGAAAAATGACAGCAACTTGGGAACAGGCACGGAGAGATTTTGAGGCCTCAGAAGACAGCACAACCAACCACAGAACTCAAACCAGCACTGGAACCTCAGGCCTCTCCCTCTGGCTTCCTACTGAACCTAGATGGGAGGTGCTGTTACTGCATTCTCTCTAGCAGGAGGTCGATAATTCAGGGATTGGGCTTTGCTTCACAGTGAGGCTGTTCAGGTTTTGGAAGAGAAAGTCAGCTCTATGTGATCTTCTGTCCACAGAGGAAACCCCTATGAAATGGGGCCTCCATCTCCTGCCTGTCTATCCGTGCCCCTAGCCCTCAAGTTTGCACCATAGATTACTATTTCTTTTATTTATTTATTTTTTCAAGACCGAGTCTTGCTCTGTCACCCAGCCTGGAGTGCAGAGGTGCGATCTCGGCCCACTGCATCCTCTGCCTCCCAGGTTCAAGCAATTCTCCTGCCTCAGCCTCCCGAGTAGCTGGGATTACAGGCTCCTGCCACCATGCCTGGCTAACTTTTGTATTTTTAGTAGAGACGGGGTTTCACCATGTTGCCCAGGCTGGTCTTGAACTCCTGACCTCGTGATCTGCCCGCCTTGGCCTTCCAAAGTGCTGGGATTACAGACTTGAGCCACCGTGCCTAGCCCATAGGTTACTATTTCTAAGAGGCCCTTTCTGAGAGTCTACATGATGTGTGGTGCCCATGTTGGGAGTACAACCACATTAAAAAGTGCCTGTGGGCAGGAGCAGCTTTGACCAGAGTGTAGGATACAGTAAGTTCCTCTTCAAAGCTTAGCCTGTTAATTTCCTTTAAAATTCAAGAGGGAGAAAATTGTTAAGTACCATGAGTTCTGAGTCTTCTCTCCAAAGAACCAATGTATCAGTATGTTCAGCTTCCCTGTTCTTTGTTCTTCATTTTAAAGCTTGACTTCCTTGTTCTTTATGTCTCCTTGCCCCTAGTTTCAGTAAACAACCCCCTCCTAGCCTGTATCACCTGCTCTGTCCTTAGTCATCCTTAGTCACCTGTTCTGTAACCATCCCTCCTGCCAAAACTACTCACCTCGCCACTCCGGCTCATACCCTTGCTCTCTTTAAAATAGCCAGTCAGAATTAGCTTAGACTGTGTGGTCCAACCCTAGCCAACAGAGGAAAGACTCAGCAGTAGGGACTAGCTGCGTTAGGAATAAGACCTCCTTCCCCTCCCTTGTCAGGTGTGTTCTCTCCGTTTCTCCATCGCTCCATCTGCGAGATGTACCCTTCTACAGAAGTAAATTGCCTTGCTGATAAACTTTTGCCTGACTGCTATTTTCACTTGGCGGCACCAAGCATTTGCTTCCAACGGGAGGTTGGAAGTAAGGGCTCTGCAGTCAGACAGACCCAAGTTCAAACTCTGGCTCTACCACGTACTGGTAATGGGACTTCAGACAGAACTGAGCTTTAGTTCCTGTATTCTGTAAAAGAGAGGTAAGGATATTACCCACCTTCCAGAGTGGCTGGGAAGAAGAATACACACTTGGCTTGGCATGTAGCTAACATTTATTGAATGCTTATTAACATTACTGAAATCATACTTTTTTGTACTGTTACTTTATTGATTTTTTTATTATGATGGTTAGAAGTTTCTTCTGAATCCTGCAAATGGCTCTGACCTCTACTCTTGCCTATGACCTTTCCTTCCTTTTCTTCCAAACATACACACACGCACACACTCACACACATACACAGAGCAAGTTATTGCCCATTACATCTGCTCTTTCCCTCTGATCTTGTTTCATTAAAAATGCTAATTCCCCCAGCCTGCCTTCCATCTTGGCATTTGCATATACATGAGCAGCTCATTCCTATTCTGGAATGGTGGCCTCTGGGCTGATCTGGGGCCTGAAAGGGAGCTCTGTTGGGAAGGGCTGGGGGGAAGCCAGGCCCAAAGCTGCCAGGAGGGGGTGGCCACTTGCTGGGCTCCTCATTTGATCTCCTTTATTCTTGCTTGCCCTCTCCTGGAGGCACCTGCTGGTAAGCAGGAGGATGCCAGCTCATGCCACGGGGACTTCTGCCTGGCATTGTCTTGCCAGTGTCAGTTCCAGGCAGGAGATGTGACCTATGCACCCTACAGTGGCAGGAGGCTGGTGCTGGCACTGCCTTCTGGGGAGGCAGCATCACTTGGCCAAGCATCCCCCGGGACATTCTTTTCCAGCACTTGGAGGCACACTCTGGAGTCCAGTCGCGTTAAACAATAAAGCACAGTGATTATGACAGCTCTCGGAGCCTGGAAGACATTATGACCACTAAGCGGGTGTCCATAATTCGATAGGAAAATGTCAGGAAACATAGATTCGATGGTTCTACACATTCATTTTGGAGTGAGTGATGTGGCAGACAAAGAAAGCATTCTTGAGATCCATGCAGTAGGTTCAAATACTATCTTGTCACTTAATAGCTAGATAGCCTAGGTACTCATTGGCTCAGAGCCTCGGCTTCCTAATCTTTGATATAAGTGTAATGATGACTCCTTCATAGAGTGAGAGGATGTTGCAACAGGAACAGTGCCTGCTCACACATCCGCCCCCCACTCCCCGTCATCTCCGCTGTCCCCAGCCCGGTCTGAGCCACTTTCCTATCCGGACACTTCAACTGCCTGCAGAAGGTCTCCCCACACTTCACTTTTGCTTCTTTCCAATCCACTTTCCACACCATGACGAAGGTGCTTGTAAAAACACAAATCGGATCATATCATTTTTTCCTGCTTTAAACACTAACCTGGCTTTCCCTTCTTCTTGAGGAAAAAAGTTCAAATATCCCTAACTCGTCCCCTGTGACTCCTCCAGTCTCATCTCACTCACTCCTCCCCTGCTAACAATTCTCCACCACACAGACCTTCTCCAGTGTTATTAATACGCTAAGTTTCTTCTGCATCAGAGCAAAAAAATCCCCTGAGCTCCCAAGCCAGATTAGGTTCCCCTTCACCCGCGTCAATGCGCTCTGCATTTACCCTGTGGGTTTAGTGTGTACTTCTGTGTCAGTTGTATCTACACGTCTATTATTTTGTTTATCTTTTATTATTTTAGGAATAATTTCTTCTCTTTGAGAAGCCACATCACTGCCAAGAAAACCCCTGGGTGATGTGTGTTCCGGCACAAACCAAGGGACAGGAGGGCTGTGTGTCACTGCAAATGCTGGGTGCAGTGTGTGGTCCCCCCATGCCTGCCCTGCAAGTGTGTTGCCCTAGGTCTCAGGCTGTATGGACCTGGCCCTGTGGGCCTTCTCACTCCCACGTGACATCAGTGGCCACGGGCTCCAAACCCCACAGTCCCTGAAGCAGAAGTTCTCTCTCATTTTTTCAGAGGAGGCGGGAGAGAGGATAAGCACCCTCCAGCTGAGAAGTACGCGGACTCAAGCTCAGAGCAGCTTCCACTCCTTCCTTTCTCTCTTTGAACAGGTTGTACATTTTACTGGCACAGATTAGAACTTTATTCCCAGAATCATTAGGATCTAAGATGTATTTATTCTATAAATATTTATGAAGTAATTCTTCTCAATGAACCCTGTTCCCTGTGCTTTATTTTTATCTGCTTATTATCTCCTTTAAGTCTCACAACAGTCCTGCTAGGTAAGTAAGTATGCTGACTATTACCTTCATTTTACAGATGAGATAACTGAGGCATAGAAAGGTGAAGTCATTTGCTTCAGACCCTATAGTTATTTATTATATATATATATATATATATATATATATATATATATTTTTTTTTTTTTTTTTTGTATTATACTTTAAGTTCTAGGGTACATGGGCACAACGTGCAGGTTTGTTACATATGGATACATGCACCATGCTGGTGTGCTGCACCCATTAACTCATCATTTACATTAGCTATATCTCCTAATGCTATCCCTCCCCCCTCCCCCCACCCCACAACAGGCCTCGGTGTATGATGTTCCCCTTCCTGTGTCCAAGTGTTCTCATTGTTCAATTCCCACCTATGAGTGAGTGAGAACATGCGGTGTTTGGTTTTTTGTCCTTGTGATAGCTTGCTGAGAATGATGGTTTCCAGCTTCATCCATGTCTCTACAAAGGACATGAACTCATCATTTTTTATGGCTGCATAGTATTCTATGGTGTATATGTGCCACATTTTCTTAATCCTGGATTAAGAAAATGTGACCCTATAGTTATTAAGTGGTGGAGCTAGAAGTCAAATTCAGATGGTCTGACTTCCAGACCTGCCTAGTTACATAACCACAATCCAAATTCAGATGGTCTGACTTCCGGACCTGCCTAGATACGTAACCACAATCCAACCAGAGGGCAGCAAAATCTCTGCCTTCAAGGGGTTTGCATTCTGGGGAGGGTAACAGACAGCTTAAGGGTGAATAAAGGCAGGAAGCAAATCCTGTCTGTCAAAGAGTGGTGAGTGTTGTGAAGAATGTAAAGGCAGGAGGGGCAGCCTGGGGGCTTTGGCAGAGGAGGCGATAGCTGTTGGTAGGGTGGCCAATGAAGGCCCCTCTGAGGAGGTGAGTTTGGGGCAGATGAAAAGGAGCTGTCTGTGTAAAGAGCCAGGGGAGAATGTTCCAGCCAGGAGAAGGGGTTGAGGACATGTTTGAGAATTGCTCCTGGGCTGGAGCCTGGGTGTGAGGAGGAACATGCAGGAGATGATGCTTAGAGACCTCAGGCTCTATTCTGAGCATACTGGGAGCTACTGGAGGGTCTTCAGGAGAGGGAAGCTGTGATCTGATTTATATGTTCAAAAGGTCAGGCTGGCTGCTTTTTAGAGAGACCAATGACAATATTTCTGCTAGTCCAAGTAAGAAACGATGGCAAAGGGGGCTGTTGCAGTGAAAGCAATGCAAAATTGGGTAGATCTTGAGTGTGCTGTAAAGGTCCAGTTACAACAGCATTTGTTGCAGAGTTGGATATGGAGGGAGTTAGAGAAAGCAAAATCACTGGCGATTGCAAGGGTTTTGGCCTGAGCAACTGGTTGGATGGTGACACCATTTATTAAGATGGAGAATACCAGAGGAAGAGAAGGTATGTATGTGTGTGTGAGTGTGTGTGTGTGTGTGCACATGTGATCAATGGATGAGCCTGGAATCAACAGTTCTGGTATGAAAGTGTTAAGTTTGAGACATCTGTTAGACTTCCAACAGAGATGTCACAGAGGTGACTGGGTCTATGAGTTTGGAGTTCAAGGGAATGGTGAGGCTGGAAACATCAGCCTGTAGATGGTATTAAAGTGCCCAACTAGATGAGTGCTCACAGAGAGAGTGTGGAGACAGGGCGTGCTGCTGAGGTCCCAATGTCTGTGTCCCCTCAACATTCCCATGTTGAAATCCTCACCCCCCAGAGGATGGAGTTTGGAGGTGTGGTCTTTAGGAGGTGATTAGGTCATGGCAGAGAGGCCTCATGAAGGCATCATGATTGCTGCCCTTATGAAGGAGCCTCGAGAGAGAGAGAGTCCTTGCTGCTTGAACCAGGACGTGGGATCTCACTGGACATGGAATCTGTTGGCACCTTAATCATGGACCTCTAGCCTTCAGAACTAGGAGAAATCAGTTTCTGTTGTTGAAGACACACAGGTTATGGCATTTGGTTAGAGCAGCCAAAACTGACCAAGACCTGGAGATCTGGGAAAAAAGGGAGAAGAGACCAGAAAATGAGGCTGAGGGGAGGCAGGAGCTGGGAGCGGGGGAAAGTGCTATCACAGAGGCAAGTTGACGAGGGGTGCAAGAGAGTGAGGAGTCGGGGCCCATGCTGCTGCATTCCCCGGCGTCTCTGGCATCCTGACCCACACCCCAGGCTGACGTGGATGCATATCGCTCATTGCCTGCTCACACATGTCAGGCATTTGCTTGTTGTTGAAGTCATCGTCTGTAACTAAAACGTAGCCTCCAAAAGGCAAGGACTTTTGCCTCCCTTGTTTATTGACAGATAGATGTATCCTTGGCACCCAGGACCAGCCCGGCACATCAGAGCTGTGTAACACAGCATCTGATCGAATGCTTTTGTTGCCTGAGTGCAGGGTGGAGGACGAGAGACCTGAGATCAACCTTGGCTTTGGCAGGGCAGAAGTCATCATATCCATGGCGAGATGTGATTCCCTCTGGCTGATGGAGATCAAATCCTCACTGGATTCTGTTCAGGAGACAAGGGAAGATGAGGAAGTACAGACAGAGGAAACAGACAACTTTCTCAGGGAGGTTTATGGGTCAGAGAGGAGAGGGACTGCAGTCAGGGTCAGGGAGGCCTTGGCTGTTGCCTCTTTATCTCCAGATGAGAGGAAATAAAGACATTTGTGTGCAGAGTGTGCATGCCCACAGGAACTCTCCAGTAAGGGGAGCCGTTGATGATGAGGGTACAAAGGAATGAGAGCTGATGTCCTGTGCCTGGGGGAAGGTGTGGAGGACTATGCAATCCTGTGCACAGGTAAGGGGCTGTCTGCAGGTAGACCAGCTTCACTCAGCAGAAATAAGAGGAGAGGTTAGAGCAGGAACATGCAGGGTAGATCTGGGGAGGATAAGGTTGAGTGTTGCAGTTTCCATCTGATTGTTTCTGGCTCTGCAGTAATGTAAGAAGTGAGGTCCTCACCGAGGAGGGTCAGAGACAGCAGAAGGTGGAGGAAAGGAGAGCAGGTGCACCAGGAAAACGGACTGGGATCATTGGGTCGTGTCAAGTCCACTTCATATTTGAGGTTACAATTTTTTTTTTTTTGAGACAAGGTCTTACTCTGTTGCTCAGGCTGGAGTGCAGTGGCACAGTCATGGCTCACTGTAGCCTTAACCTCCCAGACTCAAGCAATTTTCCCACCTCAGCCTCCCAAATAGCTGGGACCACAGGCACACTCCACTATGCCTGGCTAATTGTTTCTCTTTTTTTTGTAGAGAGAGTCTCACTGTGTTGCTCAGCCTGGGCTCAAGTGATCCTCCTTCCTTGGCCTCCTAAAGTGTTAGGACTACAGGTGCGAGCCACCACGCCCCACTGAGGTTATACATTTAAACTTAAGCTAAGTGGCAGGGTTGTGCGTGTTTCTTTAATCCATTTGGCTTCTCTATTAGAGGTGAAGTTAACTGGGGTAGGAATTAACTCAGATGCCATCACCAACCCCTACACTGACTACCTTTGTTAGGGTCATTAGTGCTTTAAGGCCAGGCGGGTCAGAGCATGAAGTCCAAAGACATGGCCTTATAAGAATTGGATTCCAGAAAAGGTGCTGATCCAGCTGTCTCTGACCCACACTTCTGAGGACTGCTCATCCAGGGCTCCCTGGCCCCACCAGCTTCCTCCAGGCCCCTGCTTCTGGACACTGTGGCTTGTCCCTCCACATCCCCCTGCCAGTCCCCTTTGAGCCCCACCAGCCACCTCTGTCCTCACCCTTCCTATCTCTGTCTCGCACAGCGCATGCCTGAATTCAGCCTGTTTGGGTTGCCTGTTCCCACTCTGACTTGCAAATGCAGACCCCTTGGGCTCACATTCTGGAGAAAACATAAACACCTCTCCTCTGTTGGCATGGGGATACCCTCAAATTTGGTGGCTCTCGGCTGCCCCCACCTGCCATAAATCAGATAGGACCGCAGCTACCCAGCTCAGCCCTGGTAAACCCCTTGGGGCTTGGCAGGAATGGCTTTCCCGGATCGAATTTCTTGGCAGAGAATTGGAAGGGATTTAAAATAACTGAGCACACCATACCACCCGTTTCCAGCTCCAAATAGAATTTGGAGTCCATTTCACACAGCGCTGGGGTTCTCTCACCCACAGATGGTGTTACCAAAATTGTGTGTGCTGCTGCTCTGTTTGTCTCTAGGCTTGTCTACCTCGACCTGCACTGCTGGCCTTTCCAAACTCTTCCTGGCCTGCGTGCTCCATGGCCATCTGGGTGTCAGCGTGCCCTCACATGTCTGTCAGCTGCCAGACTCCCTGGATCTCTGTCTATTGATTGATCTGTAAATTTCCCGCACTGTGCATCCATCAGCCGTCCACCCCCTCCACTCCTCCTGCATGCACATATGCCTGCCTGCACCCCGCTCCAGCCTGGAGGAAGCTTTCTCTCCTCTTTTGGCAATTGGCGGTCATGTCTCAGAATCCACAATATGTTGATTCTTTTCAGAATCAACACACCCTCTCCTCCGCACTATCTGACCTGGCTGGACAACAGGCAGAGGCTGTTGACATGAGTTGAGGGTGCTGCTCTATACCACAGTGGGGTATACTGCAGGGGAAAGAGGTGTGGTCTCAGAGTCATGAAACCTACCTTCTACTTGACCATTGGGAAGTCACGAATCTCTGAGTCATTCTCCTCATCTAAGAAATAGGGGTAATATTACCTGTCCCACAGGAGTGGTTTGAGGATTTGATGATGTCTCTGTGAAGCTCAGCTCACAGCACAAAGTAGGGATTTAAAAATGCTCTTTAATCTGTGGTCTATGGTAACTATCAAACAAGTAATGCTAACAACGATCATTTATTGAATAATTATTCTCAGTGTGTTAAGGACTTTATATATTTCATTGTGTTTAATTTTTGTAAGACTTAATGACTTTGATCATCAAAGTATGGTTCCCCAAACAGCAGCCTCAGCATTACCTGGGAATAGTTACAAATGCTGAATCTCAGTCTCCATCACCAAGCGTTTTCCATCAGAATTGGCATTTTAACAAGATTCCCAAGATGTTGAAAGTGACATCCTGCGATTATTTACCCCCTTTTCACAGGTGAGGACACTGAGACCTAAACTGGGTGCATAATTTGTCCTGGATCACACAGCAGGCAGCTGGCAAATCTAGGTTCTAAAACTGGCTTCCCAGATATCAGTCCTTCACCACCATGGCAGAGTGTGTTAATCAGTGTTCACACTCACGCACATGCTCACACCCACGGAAAGGACACGGTGGCCACTCAGCAGGTTCGGAGCCCATGATCCGAAATGCCCAGGGTGCAGAAGACCCAACCCAGTTGAGAACTATCTTCTCCTTCCCCAGAAGGAAGTGCAGCAGCAGGAACATGAGAATGCAGGCTTCTGTTTAACTAGCTGTGTGATCCCGCGCAAGTTACTTCACCTCTCTGGGCCTCTATTTCTTAGATTTACAAAGTGGGATGATTTGCCCAGATGTAACAGTGTGCCTCTGTTATTGCCCTTTTGTCTCGTTGGTGATTCTGTTTTGACAATCATACCCATAAGAAGCCTGTTGGTGTTTCTGTCTGATGTCAGTTATCACTCCGGGAATGGAGTTAGGATGAGGGGGAGAGAGAAGAGGATGTAAGAGGTTGTAAGGGAATGGTTGAATTAAACCTGGCTTTCCTTAAAATGACTCATTCTCAAGCATAGACAAATCAGGGAGGCCTGTGTCAATTACTCCTTGTGATTATTCCCGAGCCTATTTGTGGAACTCCAGGCCCTTTCCGTACCTCATTCGGAGGGCTTTTCTCAGGGGGTTTATGGACCAAGGACATCTGGTGCCTGAGGCTTTATGTCTGTTGGTGTGATCATCCAAACTGGGGAAGGGCCTATAACACTCCAAATGCTGGTGCCCGAATATCTTTAATTCCTTCTGAAGGGTCGGGGTTATTTCTCCATCGGGAGCACTAATGGGATTCTAATACCCTGGCAAATGGGATTTTTTACAACTGCCATTCTGCAGTTACTGAGATGGCGTGTCGCTGGGACAGCCCTATAAATCCTGTCAACTCACTCTGAGGAGGAGGCGGCCACAGGGAGAGGTGGCTGCTTCCAGTGCTGGCAGCCTGGGGGGCCCTCTGAGGGGTGTCCAGGTTCTAGTTCTCAGGATGAGTTACTATCTTTGCCAGGGAGAGATGGTAAATCATGGGAATGGGGCAGGGCACAGCCCTAGGGCCTCAGAGAAGCCACAGGAGTTTGATGGGAAGGAGGCAGTAGGCCCCTGGGAAAAGTGCTCTTCACTTCCTCTCCTTTTGCAGTTTGGTTTTCCAAGGCCTCTGTCTCTGAGGGCTCATGGACACAAGACCTAAGGATATCTACCAAAAGCAGGTACCTCTGTCCTTTTAATTCCAGGGGAACAGGGCCCAGAGAAAAACTCACGGTAGATATTAAGGAAAAGGAAAATGCAATACAGCCCATCTTTATGTTGGAGTTAAACTTGATGCCCCAGGGTATTGTTCCCAAAGACAGATATTTACATAGATATCTCATGTGCAGATGAATGACTCTCTAAGCCTGGGTTCTCTGTGAAGCCACGTCCCTTATATCGGTACACTGTTTACAGACAACCTCTCATTTTGATCACTAGAATAAATCAGAAGGATTGAAGGGCAAGATTATTTTCTTTCCACTTCAGGGATGAAAAATAACATGGCAGGCCTTAAACAACTTGTTGCAGGGAACCTAAGTTGAAATTTGCTCAGTTTTTAATCCATCTTGAATTGATTTTTGTATAAGGTGTAAGGAAGGGATCCAGTTTCAGCTTTCTACATATGGCTAGCCAGTTTTCCCAGCACCATTTATTAAATAGGGAATCCTTTCCCCATTGCTTGTTTTTCTCAGGTTTGTCAAAGATCAGATAGTTGTAGATATGCGGCGTTATTTCTGAGGGCTCTGTTCTGTTCCATTGATCTATATCTCTGTTTTGGTACCAGTACCATGCTGTTTTGGTTACTGTAGCCTTGTAGTATAGTTTGAAGTCAGGTAGCGTGATGCCGCCAGCTTTGTTCTTTTGGTTTAGGATTGACTTGGTGATGCGGGCTCTTTTTTGGTTCCGTATGAACTTTAAAGTAGTTTTTTCCAATTCTGTGAAGAAAGTCATTGGTAGCTTGATGGGGATGGCATTGAATCTGTAAATTACCTTGGGCAGTATGGCCATTTTCACGATATTGATTCTTCCTACCCATGAGCATGGAATGTTCTTCCATTTGTTTGTATCCTCTTTTATTTCCTTGAGCAGTGGTTTGTAGTTCTCCTTGAAGAGGTCCTTCACATCCCTTGTAAGTTGGATTCCTAGGTATTTTATTCTCTTTGAAGCAATTGTGAATGGGAGTTCACTCATGATTTGGCTCTCTGTTTGTCTGTTGTTGGTGTATAAGAATGCTTGTGATTTTTGTACATTGATTTTGTTAGACCTAAAACCATAAAAACCCTAGAAGAAAACCTAGGCATTACCATTCAGGACATAGGCACGGGCAAGGACTTCATGTCTAAAACACAAAAAGCAATGGCAACAAAAGCCAAAATTGACAAATGGGATCTAATTAAACTAAAGAGCTTCTGCACAGCAAAAGAAACTACCATCAGAGTGAACAGGCAACCTACAAAATGGGAGAAAATTTTCGCAACCTACTCATCTGACAAAGGGCTAATATCCAGAATCTACAATGAACTCAAACAAATTTCCAAGAAAAAACAAACAACCCCATCAAAAAGTGGGCGAAGGACATGAACAGACACTTCTCAAAAGAAGACATTTATGCAGCCAAAAAACACATGAAAAAATGCTCATCATCACTGGCCATCAGAGAAATGCAAATCAAAACCACAATGAGATACCATCTCACACCAGTTAGAATGGCAATCATTAAAAAGTCAGGAAACAACAGGTGCTAAAGAGGATGTGGAGAAATAGGAACACTTTTACACTGTTGGTGGGACTGTAAACTAGTTCAACCATTGTGGAAGTCAGTGTGGCGATTCCTCAGGGATCTAGAACTGGAAATACCATTTGACCCAGCCATCCCATTACTGGGTATATACCCAAAGGACTATAAATCATGCTGCTATAAAGACACATGCACACGTATGTTTATTGTGGCATTATTCACAATAGCAAAGACTTGGAACCAACCCAAATGTCCAACAATGATAGACTGGATGAAGAAAATGTGGCACATATACACCATGGAATACTATGCAGCCATAAAAAAAGATGAGTTCATGTCCTTTGTAGGGACATGGATGAAATTGGAAATCATCATTCTCAGTAAACTATCGCAAGAACAAAAAACCAAACACCGCATATTCTCACTCATAGGTGGGAATTGAACAATGAGATCCCATGGACACAGGAAGGGGAATATCACACTCTGGGGACTGTTGTGGGGTTGGGGGAGGGGGGAGGGATAGCACTGGGAGATATACCTAATGCTAGATGACGAGTTACTGGGTGCAGCGCACCAACATGGCACATGTATACATATGTAACTAACCTGCACAATGTGCACATGTACCCTAGAACTTAAAGTATAATAATAAAAAATAATAATAATAAAAAAGAAATTTGCTCAGTTAATACTCAACCCCAAAATTTTGTAATTTTTAAACCCCATTTGTCCCCTTGCCTCTACACCATGTCAAATCTTCCAGGAGGATGCCAGCTGATGCTCCTTTCCTCCTCAAGGTCACACTACCTCAGATGGAAAGCTTCCCTAATGACTGTTCTGAAGTTGGGGCTTTGGGGTTGCTTATGGGCTAGAGGTTTCCCCAAAGACCACTTGGTTTTGGTGCCACTCTGCATGGGCTCACTCCCAATAACTCCGCTTTGGTCTCCCTTTACTCTGTCGGTGTCCAATGTCTGTAAATTCTCACTGGTTTTGCATTTCTTTTCCTAACTTCAGCTGCCTTCTTCTCCCAGATACAGGCAGATTCTTCCCTGGCCTTACAATGTATTAATACAATGAGCACCTCTTATCCTTACCAGAATGTAAACTTCCTGAAGGCAAATCTTAAGCAAGCAGTTGCTGAGTGAATAATGCTTGCCTAACTAGACCCTGTGAGAGACAGGAAGACATAGAAGACCCAGTTCTAGTTTTTGAGGAACTTACACATTTCTTGGTGAGACAGTTTATCTCCATACGTTAAAAATCTAAGTGATTTCTTACTGTTTTCTAGTTCTTTACCACACACAACAGTTTCACCGCAGTGTCTTAGTCCATCCTTCCATTAATCATGAGAGGAGGTTGGGATTCTAATTCTTTCTTTAGAGATAAGAAAATAGAGCTCAAAGAGGTAAAGGAGACCTGTGTAACTAGAAAACTGTTTAACTGAAGGTTCATGTTCCTCAGCCCATTGCTTCAAGTAGCATAAGACTGGTAGAATAAGATGATGCCAATTTTCATGATATAAAGACACATATCTCAGGGCATCAAAGCAAGAAGGAAATGACTGAGCAGAAGGATTAGAAAAGGCTTTCTGAAGGAGGTGATCTCGGGGGTGGGCCAGAGGCCAGTTTCCCACGTCTCTAGAGTTTCTTCTCCTTGTCTCAGTAGCTGAGCTCCTGGCGGTGCCTGTGGAGGAAAGGTCATGGGCCTGGAGGCCGCATAGCCATCATCAGGTTGAAATTTACATGCGGGATGAAGCAACACAAACTGTCCCACTTAGGGGGAAAGCTGTGTGGCTCCATTTCGGAGAATGAGCCCTACACTGTGTGGTTCTTGTCACTCTCGCATCCCTCCGCCTGCCTTGCAGCTCATCCGCAGCGGGCTTTCTACTCATCACCCTGGCTCCCTGGCCCTGTACTTCCCACCACTTCAGCCCAGAGCAGCAGGGAATCTGCCAGGTGAAAGCAAAACCTGCTCCAAGCCCAGTAAAGTACCTCTGTCTGTGTTTTCTCAGCATAGATGGAGAGTGGATGGGTCTGCTTACCAACTGCCCTTTCATGTTTCCTAGCCATCCAAAGGACGGTGCTTGGAGCCAGACAGATTTCAGTTCAAATCCAGCTCCAACTCTTACCTGTTACAAGACTGTGGTCAAACTACTAACTTCTTCTAAGTGTCCAATAACTTCAGCCTTAATTTTTTAAAAATTCTAAAAACCAATTTCTATCTATCATATCACTTTTATGATCATTTGATGATTGTTGCTTTTATTTTATGACCACTAGACGTTTATAAAAGTCCTGGGGGCCTTTGTAACTGGATGAACAAATGCTCAGCTCATCCTGTGCCCATCTCTTTCTGTCTGCTCATTTCCCCAGTTTTGCAGTCAAGGTTTGTGCCCCAGTTGGAGTCCACCGGGTCTGTGGGGGTGCTGGTGCAGAGCTCGGCCTTCTGCCCCGTCCTGGCTTGGGTGGGTCTGCACGGCCCCCTGGGCCGTGGGAAGAGCTCCCTCTGCAGCAGCCAGTGCCTCTTGATTCTCTGGAAGGAGCCAGCAGCCATCTGTGTGGAAGGACAGGGCCATACTGTGTCCTAACCTTGGTTCTGCCTCCAACTTAAAGTGCGGTTTGAGGAAGTCACCCTCTCGGGAACTCCAGTTCTTCAGGTTAAAAAAATGGATTTTGAAGAGACTAAGACCTCTTCAGGGCTGTTGGCCAAATTGAGGGGGACAGTGTCCTGTGCTCCAGGCCACGTGATGAGTGGTGCTTCTAGGAGCTCATCGTACACTCCTCTGAGACCTACACCACATACAGAGGCATCTGAGCAGGGAAGCAGGTGGTTGGTACACACGGGTTCCTTGGACCAGAGCAGAGATTCAGGAGGAGCCAAGCCATCCCCTCAGGCCCCAGCCAGGCCATGAGCCCAGCAGGTAAGGCTGGGACACCAGCCAGTGGGAAGAGTGCAGCAGTGCCATGCCCTAATTGAATCAAAGTCTGACTGCCAGAGACCCTCTGTCTTCGCCTGCCGCTGGCCAGGGCTCTCATGGGATTCATGCTATTACCCTGTCAACTCCAGCACACCCCCTCATTTCCCTCCCTGCTTAAGAATGGTTTAAATCAGCAATGCTAGTGCCTCCAAACTTCAATCTGAAGCCTAAGGTCTCATGTAAGCTAGACTTTGTGCTTGCACTTGACAAACAAAACAGAAACCCCGAGGTTATACATATTACGTGACTGGGTCTCATCTCTGCTTAGGATTGATTTTCCTCCATTCCCAGTTGCAGGACACCAGAATGATGGGATTATTGTCTTGGGCAATCACACTGTGGCACCTGGCAGCTGCGTCCTCCACCTCCTTTCTGTGCATACTGCTAAATAGGCAACATCTAGTTCCATTCGGACCCCAGAATCCTCAGCTCTTACAGCACAAATGGGGCATTTGCTCAATCCCATTGTAACTGAAAGCACTTTGCAAAGCCAATCTCTGTGTCAGAGGGCGACCTTTCAAAATATGAAAGCGGAAGAGCCTGTCCACACCTGGGATGGCAGGTGCAGGGCCCGGCCCCTATTCTATGGTCCAGAATTTCCAGCCATAGTGAAGCCAGCGCCACCTGCTGTCTAGACAGATCGCCACTGATAGTGGAAGGGAAAAGAAACAGCACAGGGTCTAGACAGGTAAGCACCTACTCAAGTACCGAGACCCACAAGTTCCAAATTGCGCATTCCACTTGCTAATTCCAGGCCTAATCACCAAAGCTCTCCTGCATGGACCATGAGCCTTGGGGACACGAGTGGATGAAACTGCTCGACTTCTTGTTGTGTGCCAGTGGGTGCATGCACACGGTGGCATGTACTGAATTGATTACGGAAAAATCATTTTTGAGTTGGTTCTTTTGTCTCTCATTTGTTCACTTTCTGAATATATTTAAAATCTTTGTCCATGTCCTTGCTGCCAGCTCCTACTGCAAGGCCTCAGTAGACCACGTCTGCTCCCCTTGCTCTGTGCTGCCCTTGCTCTGCCAGCCCAGGCAGGGGCTGTCCTCAAACCAGAGCCTGGAGACAGGCCCATGTGATCTCACCTGGATGGAAAGCCCAGAGGCCGACTCCCACAGCTGGGTGCCTCCTGGAGGATTCCCACCCACCAGGGCAGAAGCCAAAGTCAAATGCCAGGGCTGTGCTCCTCCCTCTCTACTGCCCTCAGTTTCTCTCAGCTAGGCTTCTCCTGTTCCCCCCACAGCAGACTCAGCCCAGTTCTGAGCTCCTGAGCTGATGGCAGCAGGGAGGGATGGAGAAAACAGAGCAGGCCGTGGAATCCTCTCCCAGCCCCAGCATGTGCTGGCTGGGCCACGGGATGCCTGGCCTTCTCGCTTCCACTCTCTCGTCTCCTTAGCCACCTTCCAGACCAAGATCCATGACGAGGATGCAGGCAGACCCCCAGACACCTGTGTGGTTCCTGAAGGGACAGCCCCATGCCCCCCACCCTCTCCCTGTCTTGACTCAAAGTTGCTTCTGCAAAGTTTTTCCTCCCTTGGTCTTGATCAATGGCTCAATTTAGCACCCGATTATTCAGTCCTACGCTTGGCACCACTGAGATCTCGGGACATTTCCTCTTGTTCTTCCCAGCCCCTTCTTCTCCAGCTGCACTTAATACCTTGTTTTGCTCCGTGACTGGATCATTTCAGCCTGTGACACTGCATCCTCCTCACATTCTCCAGGAAGGCTCCATGGCTCCCCGTCCCTGAGCTTCACAACCTTCACTGTGTGAACGCGTAAGCTGTGGCCCTTCCGTGGCTGAAGGCCTGAACCCAAAGTGCAAAGTGAGATCAATTCTTTCCACCAGTAGATCCTGCTTTCCAGACAAAACAATATAAACTATCATTGCTGTTGCCAGGAAGCCTCCCTTCACCCACAGTTTGGAGGAGACATTGTGTCAAGCCCTCAGAGTAGGAGTTACAGGCTCTGCACCCATCCTCTGGGGTTTCCATAGGAGGCACCCAAGAGGTCCACAGACCACAGAGATGGCCAAGCCAGCTAGACCGGAAATACTGACCAAAGACAGAAAAAAAAAGTCCTTTGAAAACAAGTCAATGTCAGCTCCTCCCTGAGCCTGTGACATGAGGGGAAGGTGCAGGAATTTCAAGTTTCTTGGAGACAGGATTAAGGACTGAGAGCGGCTTCCTTCCCAAGTCCTTCTTCCACTGTCAGATACAGGGAAGACAGAATGAAAAGACTGATATGAAAGCGCTTTGAACTTTTTTAGGCTCAAAGGAGCTTTAAGGATCTAAAGCATTATGATTATCTTTTAGCAGTGTGATAATATTGATTATACAGGGGCCTGGTGGAGTGTCCCTGGCTGCATCCACAGAGTCCTTGGGAGCTGAAAATATTTATAAGTATTGTTGTGTAAAGGTCCCTGGCAGACTGAGATTCAGAAGGAGATTCATAAAGGTAGTGCAAGGCCCCGAGGTTAAGTTTTATCTTAATTATGTGTTGGGAAGTGGCTTTCCAGGGTCAGAGCCCCAGGGGAAGAGAAGCAAATGTCCCTTCCCAGCAGACCCTCACCCTCCTGACAGAAGCATGCTCTGTGTCATCTTTACCTTGGCTTCTGCCTCTGGAATTTATGCTTCTAAGCCTTGGCCTAAGGCTTCACCAGGAGAAATTATTATTAATGATAATAATAATAATGGTAAGTCAGCTGACAGCGTCGCTAATGTCCCAGGGGAGAAAGCATAAGAAAATTGCCTCTCACATAAACACTTTCTGCTATAGCTGCTGAGGTGGGAAGAGCACAGATTTCAGAGTCAGAGAAAATGGGGTGCAAGTATCCGCCCTGATATGTCCAGTCTCTGGCTAGGCCCTTGACTTTTTTAAGTTCTCAAGTTCCTTATCTGTAAATGTAGGTAATACAAACATCTACTTGATAGTGTTGTAAAATTCCAAGGAGAAGGAACATTCAGCTGAGTGCCCAGCACGTAATGGCCGTCAAGTGACATTAGGTATTATTAATATTGGCCTTATTGGCAGTCTTTAGAAAGCCTCAGAGTCACCTCTCAATAATTTTAAAAGGCAGATACGGGAGCCCACACCCAAGATGAATGAATCCAAATCTTTAGGAAGGTGGAATTCAGGTATCTGTATTTTCCTTACTGTATTATGTGTTACTTTTTTAAAAAAATTAAATTTGTTTTGTGATTTATTTATTTATTTATTTAATTATTTGAGACAGGGTCTCACTCTTTCTCCCAGGCTGGAGTGCAGTGACACAATTTCGGGTCACTGCAGCCTGAACTCCCAGGCTCAAGCAATCCTCCCACCTCAGCCTCCCAAGTAGCTGAGACTACAGGTCCCTACAGGTCCATGCTACCACGCCTGACTAAGTTTTGTATTCTTTTTGTAGAGGTGGGGTTTCTCTATGTTACCCATGCTGGTATTGAACTCCTAAGGCTCAAACGATCCTACTGCCTTGGCTTCCCAAGATGCTGGGATTACAGGCATGAGCCCCCATGCCCGGCCTTGTATTTTATATATACACATAAAGAGAGAGGGAGAGAGACAAGGTCTTCCTCTGTCACTCAGGCTGGAGTGCATGGCATGATCACAGTTCACTGTAGCCTTGACGTCTTGGGAACAAGCGATCCTCCTGCCTCAACCTCCTGAGTAGCTGGAACTACTACCAGCATGTGCCACTATGCCTGGCTAAGTTTTATAAATTTTTTTGTAGAGATGAGGTCTCCCTATGTTGCCCTGGCTGGTCTCAAACTCCTGGGTTCAAGCAGTCCTCCCACCTTGGCTTCCCAAAGTGTTGGGATTATAGGCATGAGCCACTGCACACGGTGAGTGTTACTTCTGATTCTGGATTTGTACCAAGAATCAGAACCACTTGGCCTCACCCACAGTGTTTGCAAGGCTGCACGTAGATGGTGCTTGTCAATTACCTAGAGTGGTGCCCAGAACTCAGCGTGGGGAAATCGTGGCATTAGAGAATGTTCTCGGAGCCCAGTCCTCTCCCTGTGGTAGATGGCCTTTCCTGCCTCCATGTGAGCAGTTAATCACCTGCAGCAGCAACTTGGTGCTCTATCCTCCCCCAGCATGAACATGAGCCGTTACATGTTGGGGATAATTGAAGGTGAACTACAGAGCTGGATGGACTCCCCTGTCCAGAAAACAAGTAACCAATGAGGTAGGAGTTCTACATGGGTTCAAGGCGAGAATTGTAAAGATCGTTTTCTGCTGGTGCTAGGGACATTATTTTAGGGATGTGTGATTCTGGCCTTGGAAGCCAACCCTGGTTCAAAGCAATAACTCACATGTAATAAACTTACAGAGTTATGACCCTAGGATCGGAGATTTTCTCTTGCTCATCTGGCTACTTTAGCTGCATCAGGTGTTTAAGTGTAGAAATGAGAAACGTTTCAGGGAGATTGCACATACAAAGCTTCCTGTGGATGCCCAGCCTAATTTACAGTCATTTTTGTTAAATTATCATATGTACTACCATGGTAAGGCTGGAAAACGAGTCCATTCTCTGCTTAGCTTCTAGGTGGAGAAATAGTCACAAAGATAAGGCTTTTGCATGTGGACTTATATGGAATTAGGGTTTAGAAAATATAAACAACTTGCTAAACTTTGTCACTTTTCCAATGAGCTAAATGGAACTTATTCATCCCCTTAATAATGATGTGTATTTGTTGGGGTTTTAAAAGTAAATACACTAGCTATAGAGAAAGCATTACTTGAGTGAATGGATGTCCTCTAATCAATGTTTGATTTCTGAAGTATGCTTTTAATTTCTCAAAGTGCTTTTACATATATTATCTCATCGATTTACACAATGGTCCTGTGTAGCAGAGAAGCAGGTATTATGTAATTCCTATATTCTATACATAGAACAGATGCTTAGTTTATTAATTCAGGGGCGTGTAGTACATTTCTAGGGCTTCTGAATTCAGTCTTCTGAATCTCAAGCCTGTGCCCTTTGTGCAAGTTGACCCTGACCCTTTTCTTTTTATTTTTTTATTAGATGGAGTTTCACTTTTGTTGCCCAGGCTGGAGAGCAGTGGCGCGATCTCGGCTCACGCAATCTCCGCCTCCCGGGTTCAAGAGATTCTCCTGCCTCAGCCTCCCAAGTAGCTGGGAATACAGGCACGTACCACCATGCCCAGCTAATTTATCTAGCAGAGACGGGGTTTCACCATGTTGGCCAGGCCAGTTTCGAACTCCTGACCTCAGGTAATCCACCCACCTCGGCTTCTGAAAGTGCTGAGATTACAGGCATGAGCCACCACAATTGGCCCCCTGACCCTTTAAAAAAGTTACACCTCCATTGTGAGAAAATATGTATTGTATTAATTGGGCATTGGAGGTGGAGGACTGGAAAAGCATAAAAGCGTTTCTTGTGTGACTGCTCAGAGAGAAGGTCGTTTCTTTGTCTCTGTCTCTCTCTGTTTCACTCTCATCCTTAGTGGTAACGAATCTTTGTGCATCCTCTTGGGCTCTTTTAAGTGGTTTCCACAGTAGATATAGGGCCACTTTAGATTGCATTTCAAGATTGGTTGCTGGAGCAGGAAAAGAGAATATGACATATAGAGTGGCTATCTCTACTGATAAAATAAGATGGGCATGGGGGAAGGGTCACCAATGGGAGTGGCTCTAGGCATGCTTCAAGGAAGAATAAACAGCCTGACTGGGAAGTCTTTCCCAGTTTTGCAGCAGACTTGAATCTTTTTGGTGTGATCACAATGTCTGACTTCTCATTGCCTATGCTGTGTGCAAGGTCTGAGCTGCTGATTGGGTCTCATTTTACAGATATCCCAATCATGACCTCCAAATGGATGCCTGATTGTGTCTACACCCAAGACATTGGCAAAAGATTCTGAATAATGTGTGGGAAATTCAGAATCTGGCTGCCTGAATCAGATGTGAAACAAAGACTCCAGGGTCTCTGTACTGAGGACCACAGACTCAGAAACTCCCTTTCCTTTTTACTGTCACCTCCATCCTTGGTTACGGCATGGCCTGAATATCAGCACTGAGTGCATCCCGATGTTATAATTACAAGAGGAATTATTATGAGGCAAAACAATAGGCAGGCTGGAAAATGGGGGAGTAGAGGCCTGAATGAGTCCTGCTTCTTTCTGCTTACTTGTCAAATCCTGTGTCTCAGATATGCCCTCTCCACAGCCATCCTAATTGATAACTCAAGCATCACTCTTTTTTTTCCCTTCTTTTGTTTTTAAGCTGATAAGTGTGGAATCCAGACTCTGGTCTAGTTTCTTCTTTGTGTCTGCTCTGGCTCAGGCAGAATAGCCTTCTAGTCCGCAGCATGGTCTTTGAAGAGACTTTACAAGATTCCTGTACCTGTATTGACCTGCCTTCAGATGTTGGATCTAACTAGTTCATTTTCCAGCCAGCCCCCACTCTTTTGAACTTCCCTTGCTTGCTTTCTCATTACCCACCCCTCCCTCTAGCTCAGATACCCAATGTTGCATGGTCCATCTGTACCACTCAATATTCTGGATATCAGCTTAGCCATTCAACTTAGCACTAATGCAAACATCCTCATTTACATGGAATGCACAGAAGGTGACATTCTGTCTGTAACAATAGGTTATAATTATCATGTCTCTCATTTGTATTCCATTTTATAGCTTCTTGAATTGTTTTCACACGCATAACCCCATTTGATTATTCTCAGAGTGTTGAGAGGTGGGCAAATATTCTTTCATTCCTTCACTCACCAAATATTGATTGAGGGGCTGGGGAAGCCAAGGTGATGAAGACAGGCAGGCATGATTCCTGTCCTAGTGGAGCTTATATTCTAGACAAAATGGATTTTGATTTGACAGCGAAACGGAGGCTCAGGGAAGTTAAAAGACTCGAGTCACCCATGCAGTAAGTGCAAGAATGGGGACTGGAACCTGGATCTTCAGATGCTTACCCCAGGGCTCCCTCTAAGTCTCCTTGCTGTTTCTCAGAGGATGCAGGAAGTCCTCATTCTGCACGTGGGCTGTAGTTCAGAAGTCCTTTTTTTAAGCTGAGTACTTAGAATTCAGTACACATTTTCCCATAGAAATTATGTTATAAATGGTTACTATGCTACAAGGCCATCCAACAAAAGCCCAGTTAACCCATTGAACCCATAATGTAGCTGAAGCATGCTATTAATAGGACAATTCCTTCCACTGCTACACCATTGGGGAGGAATTTCACTGGACTCATTCAAAATTGATGCTGTGTGAATAAATTCACTCTTTGGCCTTTGGATTTCCTCAGTGACTCACTGTAGGCATGACACTGTGCTGGTGTAAGGGGCTCTCTTTCCTCCATTTGCATACTTTCCTCATCTTTCCTGCTTTCTCTATTTTTGTATGTGTTGCAAGAAGCTAATGTGTATAAGCACCAGGCTTCATTTGTATGGATTGCATGCTACTAAATGAGTAAGTGCTTGTCTGGCTTAAGGACAAATATATGGCTGTTTCCATAGATACCCGACCTTAATAACTAATTAGGACAACAACACATTTTCCAAAGCCTATTTCAGGGCATCTCAGATACAGCATCCCACAAATGTCCTGTATTGTAGGTGCATTTTCCTTTTTATTTCTCTGCAGAAGTATCAATAAACAAACTATAATGCCTTTAGTAGAGACTAAATGAATAGAAATGAGTTTTACCTGGTGATGTCTTGAAGTAGTGCTAGATAAATAGATTATGCCTCACCTGCTCTTCTGAACAAGAATCAGATGCGCTCTCCTCAGGGCCACTTCATGAGGAGAAGCCCTGAGTTTCAAATTGAGAGCCAGGGGACATATCTCTTCTCTCTTATTCCCTTCCACTGCCCTCTTCTCCCATTTGAGGCTTCACTGGGACCTAGAACCTGCTTGTTAGGGAGCTGTAGAGTTAGTTATGACCAGCCCAACTCTTCTTTACTTTCAGGTCTTCATAGGAGGCTGCATCTTTAGTTTTATTTCTGGGTTAGCACCTGAGAGGTGAACCTGCTTGTTAGGGAGCTGTGGAGTTAGTTAAGACCAGCCCAACTCTTCTTTACTTTCAGATCTTCATAGGAGGCTGCATCTTTAGTTTTATTTCTGGGTTAGCACCTGAGAGGTGAACCTGCTTGTTAGGGAGCTGTGGAGTTAGTTATGACCAACCCAACTCTTCTTTACTTTCAGGTCTTCATAGGAGGCTGCATCTTTAGTTTTATTTCTGGGTTAGCACCTGAGAGGTGAACCTGCTTGTTAGGGAGCTGTGGAGTTAGTTATGACCAGCCCAACTCTTCTTTACTTTCAGGTCTTCATAGGAGGCTGCATCTTTAGTTTTATTTCTGGGTTAGAACCCGAGAGGTGAACCTGCTTGTTAGGGAGCTGTGGAGTTAGTTATGACCAGCCCAACTCTTCTTTACTTTCAGGTCTTCATAGGAGGCTGCATCTTTAGTTTTATTTCTGGGTTAGCACCCGAGAGGTGAACCTGCTTGTTAGGGAGCTGTGGAGTTAGTTATGACCAGCCCAACTCTTCTTTACTTTCAGGTCTTCATAGGAGGCTGCATCTTTAGTTTTATTTCTTGGTTAGCACCTAAGAGGTGAACCTGCTTGTTAGGGAGCTGTGGAGGTAGTTATGACCAGCCCAACTCTTCTTTACTTTCAGGTCTTCATAGGAGGCTGCACCTTTAGTTTTATTTCTGGGTTAGTACCTAAAAGGTGGTGAATAGAGTCTTCAACTTCTATCGTCGTCAACAGTTGCATTATAGAATCTCCAGATAATAAAACATCACATTTCTAAGTGACCTAGAATTCCTTTAGCGCTGGCAAAGAAGGGACTTCCAAAAATAATAATATATATTAAACATCTAGCACATGGAGGCATAGTTCTAGGTGCTTTATAAAGATTCTTTTAAGTCTACCTGATAATCAGATATTAAAACTTTTGAGATATTATCAATAAAGATATTATCAATTTTAAGGTAAACAAACTAAGCTGAAAAGTTTAGGTGATTTTTCTAAGATCAAAAAGATTGTAAGTGGTAGAGGTGGGTCTTGGAACCAGGAGTCCACTGGGCGGCATTACACCAAGAAGTTCAAAGGACTCTGGGAAACAACAAATGTCTCATCTCTTTGATGTCTGTCCAGCATACTTCTGTGGTGTCCAGGATAGCCACGCAATTTGATTTATGAACATCCTTAGATCTTGACCCTTTCTTAGAAACTTGGGGAGCAGGAAGAGCTTTTTAAAAATCCTTCCAAATACAGTTGATCTATGATGGTTAACTTTGATTCTATCCTTTGTGTCTTATGACAGCTGCCAGTCATTGTTGGCATGAAATGGATTCCTACTTTATCTCTACGACTTAGAAGCTTTATATGTACACTACCCTTAAAAGAAAAAAAAAAATCTCCAAAACCTACCTACTCAGCATTCTTTTTTTCAAGTACATATGTCTCAGTCCATTTTGGTGTTTCTATAAAGGAATAACTGAGGTTGAGTAATTTATAAATAGAAGAGGTTTATTTGGCTCATGATTTTGTGGGCTGTACAAGAGCATGGCATCAGCATTGGCTTCCGTTGAGGTCTCAGGAAGCTTCCGATCATGATGGAAGGGGAAGGGAAACCAGTGTGTGCAGAGATCACGGGTAAGAAGAAGGAAGCAAGAGAAAGAAGCAAGGTGCTTGGCCAGGCGTGGTGGCTCATGCCTGTAATCCTGGCACTTTGGGAGGCTGAGGTGGGTGGATCACGAGGTCAGGAGTTTGAGGCCAGCCTGGCCAATATGGTGAAACCCCATCTTTACTAAAAATAAGCCGGGCATGGTAGCATGTGCCTGTAGTCCCAGCTACTTGGGAGGCTGAGGCAGAAGAATCACTTGGACCCGGGAAGTGGAGGTTGCAGTGAGCCAAGATCGTGCCACTGTACTCCAGCCTGGGTGACAGAGTGAGACTCCATCTCAGAAATAAATAAATAAATAAATAAATAAATAAATAAATAAATAAATGCAGAAGAAGCAAGGTGCCAGTCTTTTTTTTTTTTTTTTTTTTTTTTTTTTTTTTTTTTTTTGAGACGGGAGTCTCGCTCTGTCGCCCAGGCTGGAGTGCAGTGGCGGCGCAATCTCGGCTCACTGCAAGCTCCGCCTCCCAGGTTCAAGCCATTCTCCTGCCTCAGCCTCCCGAGTAGCTGGGACTGCAAGGGCCCGAGGTGCCAGGCTTATTTAAATGACCAGCCCGTAGGGGGACTCTTGTGGGAACTAACAGCAAGAACTCACTCATTACTGTGAGGACAGCACCAAAACATTCAAGAGGGATCCACCTTCATGACCCACACACCTCTCATTAGGCTCCCCTCCCACTAGGCTCCCCTCCCATACTGAGGATCACATTTGAACATGAGGTTTGGAGGGTCAGCTGTCCAAACTAGAGCAGCATTCCAAAAGGACTCTGTGCATATATGAGTTGAAACATGCTGCCCTGTCCTCAGAATGTAATTAAGACCCCCTGTTTCCATTCCTCTCTACTATCTGCTTCCCCCTTTGTAATTGCTGAAGACCTTTATGCCTGGATTTTTCATAAATTCATGTTTCTCTCATTTCTAATATAATAATAGGTCAAACATCCTTTGAAATTATAAGCAAATTAAAATTTAAATTGACGTGATTTATATGAAAGGATCGCCAGGCAGATATATGAAAAGACTACAGTGGAAAGTGACTCTGGGTTCCTGGATTAGAGAGATGTATAATTTTATGACTGCTAATCAGCTTCGTCAACGTATGTTAATTTACTGCTTGGGTCATCCGGGATCTCTTCCCCTCCCAGACTTAGCATCCCCGGCTGACTTTTGAGTGAGTTCAAATTTCCTTGGGACCATTGATTACTGCAATTACTGGGAGAATGAGAAAAGATTTTGGAGAGCTAAGTCAAGCCCTGTACGCTCTCAGTTGGCTTGTAAGTCAGGTGACCAAATGCATTGCTAACAGTATTTGCAGAACAACAAGAAAAAAAAAAAAGCCTCCTTGTTGATATTTGTGGTGTTTCATTTTTAGCTAATGTAAGTCTAGAAATAAAATGGTCTGCTGAGATCTTTACTGATATGTATTTCATAACAACCACTGAGCAATTCACAGTTGAATTGATGAGCTATCAGGGTTATGTGTTTCTGTAAAACAGAGACATCTACCTTGGAAAAGCTTTCTCCAGGGAAACAGACCTATTTGAGCTAAAGTAAAACAAGATTAAAGTGTGATTAAAGTGCTGCAAATACGACCTACGTGGAAAGGTTGGAAGAACTGGGATTATTTAACCTGGGACAGAAAAGCTGCAAAGAGATTTCAGGAAAACTTCAAGTGTCCAAAACCCTGACTCCACTCAGTGCTTTCCTTGGCCTCCATAGATTATAGAGCAGCAAGCATGATCTTAAGCTGTATTATTAGGGTTTTAGGTCAGTCAATGGCCTTCAAGCCCCAGCTGCTGCACGTTAAAATCACTTAGCAGCCATTTAAAACATGCTAATGCCTGGGTTCTACTCTAGACTGATGAATATCCAGAGGTGACGACCAAGCATTAGTATTTCTTAAAAGCTCTGCTGGTGATTTTAATATGTAACCAGAGCTATGAGTTACTGGGTTAACTAGAGGAAAACAGTTCCTGACCACACATGCCTCAGAAACATGAAAGCATCTACCACATTTTTAAAATCTGAGTGCATCATCTTTGAGATGGATTGCTTGTGGTTGTACCAGCCGACTTAGTGTCCCTTTTTCTGGATTGGCCATTCTTTCTGCTAAGTGGCCAGGGAGCATGAGATCACAGATAGTATCTCAGTGTAGGTTCTAGAAAGATATTTGTTGAATGAATGAGTGAACAAATAAATGTCAAGAGAACTCCTAGGACATTAGCTGACAGTTTGTAATACTAGTTGTCAGAGGTGGGTTTCGAGAATGGCTTCCCAAAAGCAAATGATGGTTAAAGTAAGAAAGTGTCACCAGATTTTATGATTCAAAAATAACAGCTAAACTTCAAGACTTTCATAACAAAACATGGTAAAGATAGCAGTCAGAATTCAAAAGTGAACAAGGAAGGCAGTAATGTAGAAGTGTTGGTAGTGTATGTTGATCACTCCTTTATGAAGTTTAGAAGAAAAGGAAGGGTCAGGCGCAGTGGCTGATTCCTGTAATCCCAGCACTTTGGGAGGCCGAAGTGGGCAGATCACTTAAGGTCAGGAGTTCAGGGCCAGCCTGGCCAACATGGTGAAAACCCCATCTCTACTAAAAACACAAAAATTAGCCAGGTGTGTGGCACATGTCTGTAATACCAGCTACTCAGGAGGCTGAGACAGAAGAATAGCTTGAACCCAGGTGGCAGAGGTTGCAGTGAGCCAAGCCACTGCACTCTAGCCTGGCTGACAGAGCGAGACTCCATCTCAAAAAAAAAAAAAAAAAAAAAAAGAATAAGAAGAAGAAAAGGAAGGAAGAAGAGACATTAAGGTATATCTGGAAGTGAAAGAATTCTCTGTGCAGTTTGAAAATAGAGAAATGGGGTGGGTGGGGAGAGTAAGATGCTGAACAGGGTAGCATAGCTGAGGGAGGAAGACTGCAGAGGGGACAAGGTTGAGAACACTGCAGAGGACTTCTCCCATAATTCAGCAATAATTCGGGTAGTGTGCCTTTGGTCTAGTTAGCTTCTGTTGTGTAAGAAACCATCCTGATTTGTGGATGGGGAATTTGGGCAGAACTCAGCTTGGTGATCCTCCCACTCCATGTGGTCTCAGTTAGGCCTAGCAATGACATTTGCCTGGTGACTGGGCTGGTCTAGGGGATCCAAGACAGCTTCGCTCTCACGCCTTGCTGCTGTGGAAGGCCATGCCCACATGGGCTCCTTCTTCTCTGTGGTGTCTCAAGATGTTTCTACACGATCTTTCCAGTAGGAATGCTGGGCCTTCAGTGGCAGCATCAAGCTCCAAGAGACGAAGGTGGGGGCTCTCGGTCCTCCCAGGCTGGGCCTGGTGCTGACATGTGATCCCTTCTGCTGCACTCTGTTAGTATAGCAAGGCACCAAGCCCAGCCCAGACTCAGAGAAAGGGGAAATGTAATCCACCTCTCAGCGACAGGACTATCAAACAACTCATAGTCATCTTTAATCCACCAGGGTCATGCTCTAGAAAGGATAAGCACAGAAGAACAGTTTTGAAGTAGAAAATAGTAAAAGTGACTAGCCATAGCCGCTGATTAACCAATTAATCTTGAACTGTTTTCTCCTCTGTAAAGTGTGGTTAATAGTAAGACCTGCCTGAGTCTGAGACTGGGTTTTCCAGGAGACAGAATCTGAGACGTAATTTAGCAAATAAGTTGCTGATTGGGGAGTGCCCTTGAAATCAGCACCTGTGGAAAGGTGGAAGAGGAAGCAGGAATGAACAGAGGGACAATTCAGACTATGACACTGATCAGTGGCGGCCGGGACCAGCCCCACAGCAGGGGCTGGAGTGAGGATGACCTAACTCTTTGGGCCCTTGGTTTCTCTGAGCCTGGGTTGCCTTAGCTGTGAAAGGGGTCAATAGTTCTTGCCTAATGGCACTGTCATGAGGATTGAGTGAGAGCACACATGCACCTGCACACAGGAAACCTGGTACAGGGGATGCCTGATAAATGTTTAAGGTGATGGGATGTATCCTAAGTAATTTCTGAATGGAGTAAGGGGGCAGTAATTACTCATCAGAGTAATTCTCAGGGGGCGGGTATTGCCAGACCTCTACGCTTAATCTTGAATGTGGCCACCTGGGGAAGGGACATGGCCCCAGAGAGGTCTCTCTCCAGCAGGATTGATCCCCAAAAGGGCTGAGAGCCATAACCACCTGTCTGCCAAGGGCACTCTGGGCAGCTGAGCAACAATCTCTCTCTGAAGTGGGACGTGGGTGCTGACCCCGGTGCCCATCACAGGGCATTGGCAATGCTTATAATGCGCCGGAAATCGCATCCTGTACATTGGAAGCTCTGTTTGAATGTCAGCTGCTGTTGACCAGTGGTTGCCATAA
Source organism: Homo sapiens (assembly GCF_000001405.40). Classification (NCBI taxonomy): domain Eukaryota; kingdom Metazoa; phylum Chordata; class Mammalia; order Primates; family Hominidae; genus Homo; species Homo sapiens. The sequence goes on from NC_000011.10 coordinate 131,525,389, forward strand.
AGGGTTTGCAGGCGAGACAAGGGAAGTGGTTTGCTGAATGATGATGTGGAGAAGGACCAGAAGATAGCTAGTGCTTCTGTGCAGGGGCCACACCAGCATTTAGCACAGTCGGGGTGGGCCAGGAGTCAAAGGTAGCCAGAAGGAGCCTAGCTAATGGACTGGGCAAATTTGGAAAATTGCTAATACATTCACAGACTGGTGTCAGTAAGGTGGCGCTCTCTTCACTGTGTGAATGAATGAAAAGGTCATCCGACTACACTGCTTTGCTTTCCCGTGATTATTCAGCATCACTGGGGCATGAGGTAATGGGAAGATAATGGGCTCTGGGTTCAGATCCCAGCTTTGCTGTTTCCTAGATGTATGAACTTTGGCAAGGTAATTAATCTCTCTGATCTTCAGCTCCCTCATTTTAAAATGGAGATCACAATAACAAACTTGTAGGGTTACTTAACAGTAATGTGTGTGTGTGTGTGCATGTATATATACATACACTTTGCCTGGAAAGAAATGCCTGAGATCAACAAGTAAACGTTTCTATGCTACGTGGAGTTACTTGCAAACTGTCTCATGGCTCCATTCAGAAATTACCTAGGCTGCATCCCACGGTGTTGAGATTCAACGTAAACATTTATCAAGCATCCATTGTACCAGGCTCCCTGTTGTACAGGTGCAGGTGTGCTCTGGCTCAATCCTCACAACAGTGCCATTAGGCAAGAACTATTGACCCATTTCACAGTGAAGGCAACTGAGACTCAGAGAAGCCAAGAGCCCAAGGTGTGAGTTAGCACATAAATGACACAGTCAGAATATGAGCCCATGTCTTTGGACTCCCAGTCTGACCCCCACTTTACTGCAGCGCAGTAGAAAAGACAGTCACCCTAAATTGAGGCACAGGTTAAGTATTTCTCTGCACCCCAGCTGGGGATGGCTGATTGGGCAGGTGTGGGTCCACAGTGGTACTCACAGTAGGACAGGTCAGGTGTGTGTTTCAGGTGGGCTAATCACCATAGATGGGAGCGTGCATCTCCAATGTCCGCTTGGATTGTCAGCTTTCTTTGGAATAATTAAGAGAAGGTAAAGGAAGAGGAAAAGGAGTAAAGAAATCATCTTTGTACATTTTAATCTGAGCTGTTTTCGAGCAGTGTGATAAGGTAGGTTGTCGAAATGTCAGCTTCTCCTTATCTCTAATTGACTTAAGTAGAGGCAGCTCTAATCCTTGTGTGCACAGGAGCCTGGAATGGAGAGATGAGGCCAATTGATTCCTACTTTTTAATTAACAGGTGAGCTGCTTAAAAACAATAGTATATTGGGGGCAGGTTGGGAACAGGAAGGAATGTGAGGGAGGGTCATCTCCACCACAGTGGCATTTAGAGAAATATTAACAAGTGTCAGCATTTGATTTGAATCAGGGGCTGGAGCAGAGGGAAAAGTTATGTCTTATGCATGGGTGTGGTCACAAAAGACTGCTGCCAAAGTGACAAAAAATATTTATACTTCTCTCCATACACAAATGGAAAGACCCTTCGATTTTTGAAGTATCATGAGGGAGACCTCGAGGTATTCCCTTGTGCAAATTGCTCCTCATACTGTCCCCCCATGTTGCAGCCAGGAGCAGTTTAGTTGGTGATTTCAGTCCTATCTAGTCCGAGCAATGACAAGTCAGCCTGGCAACCTCTTACAAGTCTCACCCAGCCAGTGCATCAAATCTGGAGGAACTTTGCCCACACTGTGTCTGATGTACCTATGTGTAACCCCCCTGGTCTCCCAGAGCTGACTAGCTATTCTCGTCGTATGTGCTGGTTCTAAATGGCTAAGGCTCCTGTCCTCATTCCCTTGGGTCTCCTTATTCTGAACCCAACCTGTTTGGCTGATGCCCTCATTCCCTACAAAACAGTTTTTATTCCCCCACCCCTGGGGGCTGGATTTTATATTCTGGACCCTTCTCCCCTTACTTCATCTCTAGTTCTATAACCAACAGCTTGGTGACATCTATGATCACAGTTCTCTTCTGCATTCACTGCACATGACCACCACCTGGATATTCTTATCACCATGCCTCTTCCATTTCCCAAATTAGTTTCCTGGCATACTCTTACCTGGATGGATTACACTGAGATTTGCTCTATTTCCTGGATATAGGCCATTGAACTCTGTTCTGCCTTAGTTGGGGATAGAGAAGGAGGAAAAAGCCTCATTATTGAATTTGCTTCCCAAGACCCATCCTTGGAAAAAGCCATCTTATGTAATTTCTTTCTTTCCTGCTATTTCTAACATCCCAGAGTTCTTCAGAGCCAAGCAACCATGGATCATGATGCTTACAACGTTATGGGAGCATGCACTCAAATACACGGGACTTTTAACTAGTGTTCTTAGTATATTAATAGATGAGAGGCAGGGGTGTGGACTAGACGGTCTCTGAATATTTTCCTTTCCAGGATTTAACAATCTGACTCTTTGGTAGATTTGGAAAGCGATAAATCAAATAACTATTGAGGATGTTCAGCCCATTGATCATGTACTAGTTGAGTATCCCTAACCTAAAAATCTGAAATCTGAAATGTTCCAAAATCTGAAATGTTTTGAGCATCAACAGAAGGCTCAAAGGAAATGCTCATTGTGACCCTTCAAGTTTTCAGATGAGAAATGCTCAACTGGTATAATGCAAATGTTCCAAATTTTTTTAAAAAATCTAAAACCTGGAAGACTTCTGGTCCCAAGGATTGCAGATAAGGTGTAACTTTCACCTCTCTATCTTTATGCTTGTTTTCATTTTGTCTGTTTTTATTTAACTTCTTAAAATCTTCCCCAAAGTTCTGTTATCAGGGAGACATCTTGGTCTGGGAATATGCCTTCCCTCTTCAATAGAATTCATGTAAGTTTCCTGAGGATTGGCACTGTGTTTGATCCATTGAGATAGCTCCGTAATAAAAATAACTGGCATTTATTAAGCACTTACTTTGTGTCTGAAATTGTGCTGTGCCCTTTACATGTTTAGTTCCCTTAATGCTCACATCTGTTCTATGAGAGAGGTGTTCTTCTTATCTGCATTTTATAATTAAGGAAATAGAAGCTAGGGGATGTTAAGAAACTTTCACAGGTTCACACAGCTACTCAGTGCCACAGATGCTTCACCAATATGCAATACAGTCTTCCTGCAGCTATCCCGGTGCCCATGATGACTTCTTATTCTGTGTTTGTTGAATGAATGTTGTGTTAAGGCATGGATTCTGTTTCCAGTTCTGCTGCTAACTGGAGTAATCTCCTCGAAATAATTGAGCTCATTCTTTTTATCTACCGCCTCCCACAGATCCCAGTACAGAGTAAGTATTCAGTAAGTATTTAATAAATGCATGCTAAATAAATGGGTGAATGAGTGCTTGATCCCAGAATTCTCTTCTACATCTAACAGCCTATGACTGTAGCTTATATGGATCTCCTCTTCCCTGACCTCTCATAGCACACTTGATGTTTAGACATTTGATTTGATTTGATTTCATCTTTTGTTGGTTCTAACTGTTTAGTGTGTGTGTTTTGTATTTCCGAATAGATTACATTTTATTTCCTTGGTATTCCCCACAGTGCCTAGCCCAGTGCCTAGATGTCATGAGTGCTCAGTAAATATATATTGCAATGGGATTGAGTATCGCTTCAGCACACTTCAAGCCAGAAGAAACACTGAAATTAGTCACCTCCTGGGCTATTGTTTTCCTCTTTAGAGAAGCTGTCATGCAGTTTCTGCTAAACAGATGTTTTGGACAGGTCAGGGAGCAGAATCCAGGCTGCGGCTAATGGCACAATTTGACATCCTGCCACAGTTTACCCACCCATCTGCCCATAAGGGCTGGTCCCCAGATAGAAAGGGTATTTACGAAGCTCTTAGTAAATCCAGAGGACAATCATGTAAAAGATAGACTCTTAGATAATTGATAAAATTTCTCTGAGTGAGTGGAACCCTTAGGTTGTTGTAAACATGTGTACATGCTTGCACGTGCACACACAAGACTCAACTTTGAACCTTGAGGGAAAAATTAGACTCTCAACCTTGCTCCTTTCTGATGAATGGGAACAAAACCAATTCTCAGAGGGTAAATAGGATGGGGAAATGCAGACAGGCTCATCAGTGCCCAAGGAAACCAAGAAGGGCCACCGGAGTGTCAAGGCTCTCCAGGGAAAATGTGGGTTTCTACAGCATGGGAGACTCCAGAGACTTTAACACGCACCAACTGAAATCAAGGCTGCTCGGTGCATGTGTTGGTTTCATGGCATGGATATTTATACAAGAAAGATAAACCCTCTAGGAAGTGATTAAGAGAAAAATCAAAAGAAAGACTGAAAAGCCTGGGCCTGGAGTGACGCCCACCTACCCTTAGATACCTCCCCTGTACCTAATGGACTTGATATTCTTTGCAAATAGGCATAATCACTACTGTTTTGCAATTTCGTGAATAATCTACCCTTGGAGGGAATGAAGTTTCTTATCCTATTCTGCCAGCCTCCTCAGCCACCCTCCCTCTCCCCCAGCCTATAATCTAAGGACTCCACCTCTCCCCCTCACACACTATTACAGAGTTTGTTTGAGGAGTGTACAAGTGCCTTCTAGAAAGAGGCAGACTGGGTATTCGTTTACTCTAGTGCTATCATCCCTCCCCATTGGATGCATCTGAGGAAGGTGAATTACTTGGGGCTGCCTCTATATCTTAAAATCCTTCCACACGTCAGATAGAAAATCACTTTGCAATTATATTTTTACCAGGCACTTTAAGGCAAGGACAGTGTCCCCTTCATCTGAGACCCTCTGGTGCCTGGCACAGGGCATGGTGCTTAGTAGGTATTTAATAAATACTTGCTGAGTGCATGAATGAAAGAAATTCTAGGAAGGTTTGAGATATACCTAGACTAGTGTGGTGGATGTTTTATATCCTTTTTAAATCTACTTTCTACCCTATGAGAATGTTGAGCATATGAGAATTCAAGGGCAAAAAGAAAAAAGAATGAATTTACTGTGAAAGTCATCTAGTAAAGTTGAGTGCCTTTCTCAAAAAAAAAAAAAAAAAAGACTGACCAGTTCTTTTACTGGGGGACTTGAAAGCTTACAAAAGAGAAAGGAGGGTGGGAAAAAGGAGGGAAGGGAAAACACTTTCCCCACTATAGGGAGGGCTGGAACTGTGAACAAAAGCCCTATGATTCACCCAAGAATAGAAGCTTAAAGGACTCCAACTACATGCCAAGGCGCCAGAGGTCCTGCCAGCCTCAGCTCATGTGGGGCATTTGCCCTTTGATGCAGCCAAGAAAGGGATTTCAGCAGCAAATGGTGACCTTAGAACAGCTGTGCTGGAGGGCCAACGACCCCCTTAACCTCACCCTGACCCTAACTCCCTCCCCTCCTAAATGCTAAAGGGAGCAAATGAAAGAGTTAATGATTAGACTAGAAAAATCAAGACTGTGTTGTCCATAGAATTACTTATCAGAAAAAAATACGGAGGCAATTAAGGAAGAAATGTAAACTATACCTTGCTAGAGGTGGGAGAGAAGGGAGAACAGTAGTGGGAGGTAGGGATGACCAGTGAGCACAGAGATGATGGAGGCTTCTGCAATAGATGGCTCAGCACACACTCAGTGCCTGCCACGAGCAACGGCTTCTCTGGCCACCATTTAAAGGGAACCTGTTATTTCCACTTCATAGATGAGAAAGCTGAGGCTTTGGCAAAGCCGAGTGACAAGACCAAGGCTCCACTGCCAGACCAGAGCCAGAATTTTTAATTCTTTTAGACAGGATCTCACTTTGTTGCCAAGGCTAGATGCAATGGTGTGATTATGGCTCACTGCAGCCTTGATCTCCTGAGCTCAAGTGATCCTCCTACCTCAGCCTCCTGAGAAATAGCTGGGACTATAGGTGCATGCCACCATGCTCTGCTAATTTTTTTTGGGGGGGAGGTGGGGGTAAAGATAGGGTTTCACCTTGTTGCCCAGGTGGATCTCAAACTTCTGGACTCAAGTGATCCTCCTGCCTCAGACTCCTGAAGTGCCGGGATTACAGGCATGAACTGCTGTGCTCTTCCCAGAATCAGGATTTAATGCTAAGTGTGTCAGATGTCATTGCAAAGTGTAGTGAAGTGGAACTTAAGGAGGGAAGGAAACACTTTCTTTTATCTTTCTTGATGTTTCTCTTTCACTATTGCAATTGTAACAGCTTTCTCTGAGCTGTTAAGACTGCCTGTTCTCTTGGCATAGAACTAAAATAAAACTAAACATAAGCCAACCTGAATAATTAAATATTTATCGAATTTCTACTATGAGTTAGGAGTGTTACTCTGAGCTGGGGATACAAAGTGAGTAAAACACCGAGGTAGAGGGTTTTCATAAGATGGAGGTGAAATGCTTTAAGAAAGCAAGTATGGGAACATTAAGTCTTCTGATAGGAGGGGAATTAACTGAAGCTTCTGCAATAAGCTGTTATTTTGGAGGGCAAGATAGGGAACGGCATTTCAGACAGAAGGAACCGCATGCACAGAAGTGTGGAGTCTGACAGCTCCTGCATTTCAAGTGCAGGGATTCCTCCAGGCTGTTTGCTGGGGAGAAAGGAAAGGTCATAGTCAGCCTGCAAGATCTGCTGCCTTCATGTATGTGTGTTGCTTGGTTTTTGGAGTAGTGGTGTTTGTGGTGATTTTCATTTATTGTAGTAAAATATACATAACATCAAATTTACCACTTTAACCATTTTAAACGTAAAATTTACTGGCATTAACTACGTTCACAGTGTTGCACAACTATTACAACCATCTCCAGAATTTTTTTTAAATCATCCCAAACAGAAAATACATCCCCATTAAACAAGAACTCCCCATTCTCCACCCCACTCCTCCAGCTCCTGGTAACTTTCTGTTTCTCTGAATTTGCCTATTCTAGGCATTTTATGGAAGTGAAATCATTCATTCGTCATTTTTAGCTGGCTTGTTTCATTTAGCGTAAGGTTTTCAAGATGTATCTATGTTGTAGCGGGTATCGGAACTCTACTCCTTTTTGTGGCTGAAAACTCCTCCAGTGTATGCATATATCACATTGTGATCACCCACTCCTCTGTCATAGACACTGGGTTGTTTCCACTTTGGGGCTACTGTGAATAATGCTGCTATGAGCACTGGTCTACATGTATCTGTTCAAGTCCCTGCTTTCTATTCCTTTAGGTGTATACCCAGAAGTGGAAGAGCAGGGTCAAATGGTAACTTGACGTTTCATTTATTTGAGGAACTGCTAAGCTGTCTTCCACAGCAACTGCACCATTGTACATTCTCACCAACAGTGTACAAGGGTTCTGGTTTCTCGACATCCTCAGTAGCACTGACTGTTTTCTATTTTTCTTTTTACATAACACATTCTAATGGGTGTGAAGCACTATCTTATTGTGGTTTTGATTTGCATTTCTCTAATGATCAGTGATGCTGAATGTTATTTTCATGTGTTTATGGCCTGGTATGTATCTTTTTTGGAGAAACGTCTATTCAAGTCCTTTCCTCTTTTTTAAGTTGAGTTTTTCATTGTTGTTTTGTTGTTGAATATATAAGTTGTGACTACCAGGAGATCTAGTATTGGAACAAAATGTCACCACTAAAGGTGCAGGCTTATTTTTGTTTAAGTTTAATAAAACACAGCTCTGCCTTGCTGAGATGTGAGACTGAAAAAAATATTTAAATAATTTTTATTGTTGTTGTTCTTGTTCTTGTTCTTATACATTTTCCTGAATAAGTGACTCTTCTAGACTCCCCCATGGCCAAAAGTAATAAAACTCATAGCAGAAGTGGGAATGGCAAGCTAAATAACAACCCAGGAAAACCACTGCAAAATCGTCTGCAGATGTAAATCATACTTTGTGAAAGCCATTGGATTAGAAACACATTATCCTTGTCTGATTCGCTCACACCCACATGTTCCTAGTAAGCGTCGAGCGTGATTTACACCCTGACATTTAAGGAACTGGGAAAGGGTGATGCTGCGCGGCCTTGATAAATGCCTTTCTCTGTGTCTGTTACACCAGCCCAGGAGAGAATGGGGTAGACGTCTCCATCACTGAAATGGGGGGCCTGGGCCTTCTGCTTAAATGGCTTCTCTGCCCAGCCCTGACTCAATCAGGAAAAGCAAAGTAGCTGCTTGGCCCAATGACTATAGCCCAGGATTGGAAGATCAGAATTTCTGGCTTCAAATCCTCACCTGCCCGTGTCATTGAGGTGGGCTTAGAGCATCCCTTCTGTGAAATGGGGGCAGGAGTCGTGGCTACAGGATTGTTTTATGCTTCCTGTGAAATAAGGCAGGTTCTACATGCATAGTCAATCTGCCAGGAAATACAGTTGGAGAGATAGATGCTGCAGGAGGAAAGAAAGCTCACAACAAGGGGAGAAGAGGCTACAAGCAGCCACGCAGACATTGAAAAACAAACCGCAGGTTTTGTCCAGCAACAAAAGCCAATGATATCTAAGAACTAGAAGTGTATTTGCTGTGTTTTCCCATAGATTTGAAGCCCCCTGTCCCACGACACAGTCTTCCCCACCCAGGGAGGGATCCAGGGACGCGTGTATTTCTCCGTTCACCTCTCATTCCTTACTGGGCCTTGGCATTTCCAGGCAGTGCTGCTCCATAAACACTCATCCTAATGGCTCCTCTGGGGTCTGGAGGGGGGCGGTTAGCTGCATTCGTGAATTCAGCATTCAGTCCCTCATATCCTTCAATTCAAGTGAACAGCTGGCAGTAGATAGTGATAGCAAGGAAAGAAGCCATCACTTTGTTGGATGTTTCCCTGAATAATAAGTGAACTGCTTACGACATTTCTGAGAGCATCCAAACAGCCATCACCCAGCCACGGCCACGACCAGGCTACTCAGCAGGGGGAGCAGCCTCTCTAGAGTTTGAAACATGGGTGAAGTGGAAGCTCTCCTGATGCTCATGGATATGAACACTAAGACATCAGACCAGACACACATGCACACATGCATGCACACACATGCACACACACACACGCACCCCACACACTTTAGAATTAAGTTTTAGTTATTAGCTTGTGAAGCATCCCTGAATCTTGGTCCCCTCCTCTTTAAGATGGGGGTAACACCTTACCAACGATCTCCTGGTAACATTAAATAGGGCAGGATGTGAGACAGTCTCTGGTACATCATAGGTTTTCAAAAATGTTTAGTCCTTTAGCTCCTCACCCAACATAAAAGAAAATCTTGCGCTTGTTCCTTTGCCCAGATAACAAACCTTATTCTGATATTTTGGGGACAGCACAGGACTGGAAGAAAAAAAGAAACTTTTCTAACCGTCACATTGATTTCCCTTTTGGGCACACAGAGCCATTACTGAAAAGTCACTTGCTGAAGTGGTTGTACTGTGGCCTCTTCAGGAAGGGGGATGTGCTAAGGCCAAGCCAGGCTGCTGGAGTGCCTGGAGCACAAAGCCCTTCTGAGCATGCTGAGCCCTTGATGACTGGCGTGGACTCGGCCCCCACTCCCTGCACAATCATGCAGCACAAATCCCTGTATTTTCAATGGAAGGAGCCGCTCCAGTGGCGCTGAAGAAAGATGGAAAAAATCCTTTTCTTGCAGGCAGGTTTGCTCTGCAACCACCACTGAAGGTGTTTTAAAATTCACCTTGAGTTTGCCTCTCAGGTCCTTGATGCTGCTCGCGGAGGGAAGGTAGACGAAGGAGGCTCGTTCGTCTGCGTGCCATTGTGTCTAGGGTGGTCCCGGGGACAGGTGTTAGCTCTCTGGGACAGCCAAAGGACGATGGGCCCTCAGCAGAAGGAGGACTTAATTAATCGGTGCATTGATTGCCTACTGTGAGTCAGGTGCTGTGCTAGTGGAGGCAGGGGAACAAGGCACTATCTTGTCTTCCGGCATCTTAAATTCTAGCCAAGGGTGTAAACAGTTATATGGCAATAAAAGAAATAAATAACAACTCAAATCAATAATATGGGAAATGTCACACTATACTCTGGTCCATGATTGAAACGGAGAGGACATTAGGGGCTATGGGAAGAGATCAGTTATTAGCTGCTTCCTGCAGGCCTCTGACCATAAAACAAGCAAATATTTCTAAGGACCCCTATGCTCATCGCCTCGTCTGATGCTATTTTGAAATTCTTGTCAGTCTGTTAACTGCTATACAAATGGCATAAAGGTTCTTATGAGAATCCCTGTCCCCTCCCATTCCAGGTGCACAGGCTTCACACTTAAGTCCTCAAAGGAAAGAAGGCAAACATTGCAATTACCCCAAGAGGAGCTTAGCATGCCACATGCTCTGTGTGTATCTCCCTTGGAACAGTTATCACAGAGCCTTGATTCTCACCTGCCTCCCTCATGGGACCACAGACTATTCAAAGAAAGGGCCTGGTCGAATCTGCTTCTGTAGCTTCTCCTTGGCCACCGCTTGGGATAATGACTGACACATAGAAACCACGCCGAAAACATGGTTGAACGAGTGCTTATAGAATGCTACTGACTTACTGTGTTGCCACTGGCATATAGGTCTGATATCCGTGGAAGAACTGCTAAGAGTGGACAATGTTTTGCCAGAAAGAATGAATGCTTCCTTGTCAAAAAGCCAGTATTGTAACAGAGGTGTGGGTTGGGTGGTTGGGTAGTAGCACTCACCTTATTTCCACTTTTCCTCAATAGAATAACTTGCGGGGTGGGGTCTGTGTTTAACCGTATCTTCCCTAAGGCAGTTCCAATAGGCAAATGGGTACTTGCACCCCAACAGCCATAGGAGGAGGGTTCTTGTTCTTGTTCAGGTTGGGCAGAAGAGATGGGCAGGGGTACAAGGTGGTAAAGTGCAAGGTACTTGTACCCCTAAAATTTCCCAAGCCTGCTATGTGAATGCTGTCCAGCCCTGATGGCAAATCAGAAAAGTGGATGCCCAGGAGAGAGCAAACCAATGGCACATGAGCAGACAGCACCAACAATGAGCGATTATTTGTGGAGCACGCATTACATTTACTCAGCATCACCCTGGTTACTGGGGGACATGCACATAGAGTATGGAGCCCACAGGTAGTAAGTGCTTTATTAGAGTTTGTTAAGTAAACATGTAATTACATAGAAGATAAACTAAAGTTTTTATTATTTTTATATGAAAGTTATCAAACATACAGAAAAGATGAAAGATTTTTACAGTTAAGACCCATAAACCCATCACTAGATTCTACAATTAACACTTAATTTAATTCTCTTTATCAGAAATTTACCTGCTACTCATCCATCAATCTGACACTTTTGATTGTATAAAGGTAGATTCTACTTGAGGAAACATGATGTATACGCATGAAACAATTACTCAGTATTTTCTAGGACAACGCTAAATAGTGAGACAGAGGCACACGTCTGGATGGAGTTAAGAAGGTGATCATCCGTGAGGAATAATATGTTCAGAGACTGTGTCATGGAGGGAAGTGGGCCTGGAAGAATGTACAAGATTTGCGTAGGAAAAGGGAGAAAGGGTGGTCTTTAGGTGTGCGGAGTCATATAAATAATGCCCGGGGGGACCCAGCCCAGAGGAAAGGTGAGTGGCATCCCTCTGCCCAGTGTTACACCTGGCTTCCAGCCAGCCTGAGGCTGTTCTGGTGCCCGTGAACTCAGACCACCCTCATCATCCTAAACATCACCGACCTGGGGGATGAAAGCTCAGTATGAATACCTCCGAGGCACTGCAGACCTTGAGGGAGCTGGGTGCCTCTCTTGCTGAGTGACTCATAGTAGGCATTCAAGAGAAAGGTCCACAGGGATGAGCTTCTTCATCTAGAGTGAAGTTTAAAAAAAAAAAAAAAACAATTGAGTTGGATATGTGTGAAACATGGGAAATTGAAAAACAAAAAGGAAATGAGTGAATTTGAGGCCCCATCTTGACAACCCCTGATAAAGACCAGAGAGCTTGTCTGCCTGTCTCCCAAGCAGGGGCAGTAACATAGACCTGACTGAAAGCAACACGTGAGCCTGAGGAAGAGCTGCCACCTTCCGGTGGGGCACCCACAATAGACAGCTGCGCAGGGTATAAGCAACTTGTGCGTCCGGGGCTGACAGAGCCGCTAAACAACCACACCTCCTCCCAGGTGCCATCTTGGGAAGAGGCTTCTGAAGATCAGCTTCAAAAGGCTCTTATTACTTAAGGTCCTTCCTGGGACATTTGCTGGTAATGGGAGTCAGATGCAATCCTCGCTTGTGCTTAAAAGGCAGACAAGATGGTGCAGAGCAATTACTGAGTATGTCTGCACAATTTTGAAAACCAGCTACCTGTCCCTTGGCAGGAGAGGCTTTGGCTGCCTGCAGCTGGAATGCTCTACCTTGCCTTTGTTTTTCTCTTTTCTTCCGCTGTCTCCCGGCACTGCCCTCCCAATTCACCTGCATTGTTTCTACCTCCTTCCAGTCACTGCACTAAGCATGGATTCCATCTGTTCGGGGCTCCCTGGAGAAGGAACACACACCTTCACTCTGCAGTAGTCACCCAGTGCTGCGCTGGTCAGCACACAAGCAGGGGACCCTGTACTGACAGAACAAAGGACAGCTGTCCTGTGAGTGGTCCAGCCATGCTCGGGCCGGGAGGAATTCATGCAGCACACAAGAGGGATAAGCACATTCATTTTGTGACGCAGCCTCTGTGTACTTTGTCAGCAAAATGGAGAACACTCACTATTTTCTCTGGCTTTTAGGATTTCCATATTTATTGCTTGTTTGCTACCACTGGGGAGAAGGGAAGAGGAGAAAACAACAACTTTCTTCATTTGAAATTTTAAAACATGAACATGTGAGGTTTACCCTCCCTCCCCTGTTCCCCTGCAATTCCAGCAATGCACAGGACTGTAGAATGTTACAGCTGGAAGCCCTTGAGAAATCTAAACAATAGTGCCTCATTTTACACGCGAGAAAATCACGGACAGGAGGTGAAGGGGCATGGTCAAAGTCACATACCTAGTTAGTGGCAGCCCTGAGACTAGCATTGGTGTCTGCAGAATCTTATTTTTCTTATTGCTGTGCTATGTGGGTTCTGTTTCTATTCAAGTCAAGAATCCTACCACGTGTAGGAGATCCTACTCTGTATATGGTACTGTGCAAGACGCTATCCACTACCTGCTTTAATCCTGCCAGTGCCCCGCTGGGGTAGGATTTACTTCCATCGGTTCAGTTGTTATAGTTAGTGCCTGATCACGGGGCTGGAGGAGCTCTGGAGCAGAGCTCAGGCAAAGGCTGTTGGTTCTCTCTGGACTGTCCTGTCCTGTAAAGGTGGACATACAGGATAAACACGAAGCAGTAAGGAGCAAAGTGCCTGGCTGGCAGGAACACACTAGTTGTTTGTTAAAGGGCAAGGTGGGAATGATGTTGGTCAATGGGTACAAAATTTCAGCTAGAGGGAATAAGTTTTTGAGCTCTATTGTACAGCATGGGGACTACAGTTAATAATGTGTTGCACATTTCAAAATTGCTAAGAGAGTAAATTTCAAATGTTCTCACCATAAAAATAAGTATGTGAAGGGATTGGGCATGTTAACTTAGCTTTTTTTTTTTTTTTTTTTTAATTTTTTTGAGAAAAGGTCTTGCTCTGTTTCCCAGGCTGGAGTGCAGTGATGTAATCACAGCTCACCGCAGTCTCTACCTCCCAGTATCAAGCAATCCTCCCACCTCAGCCTCCTTAGTAGCTGGGACTTCAAGCGCATGCCACCATACCCAGCTAATTTTTGTTTGTTTGTTTGTTTTTGCAGAGATGACGTTCTACAATGTTGCTCAGGTTGGTCTTGCACTCCTGGGCTCAAGCAATCCTCCTGCCTCAGCTTCCCAAAGTGGTAGGATTACAGGCATAAGCCAAAAAGCCAATCCATCAAGGAGCCAGGAAGGCTTTGCAGAAGTTCCTTCTGGAAGAATTTCAGCCAATAGCCAATATTGAAGGAATTAGAGGGAAGGTATTTCAGGCAGAATGGAGAGGAAGAATCAGGATGTGTTCAGGGAAGAGCATGTAGGCGAATGTGAATGGGGATGAACGCTTGTGCACCAATAGAGAAAAGTGGGGCTGGAAAGGGGTTCAGTAATTTATGGGATGATATTAATTGGGGCCCATCATGTTTGGGGCACTCTTGTAGGCCTGTGACTTAGCAGACAAGGATGGGAAGCACCTACTCACACACAGATAGTGCCGTGATGGCCAGGGCCTGAGAGCCTAATTCCATGGGACCATTTGAGGTAAGACCTGAATGACAAGAAGAAGTGGGCTCTGAGAATAATCAGGGCCAGAGAGCTCTCCAGGCAAAGAAAAGGAAAGCAAAGGGCTTTGAGGCAAGAACTAGAGACCCTGTGGAATGAATAGAGGTGGACTTACCAGCAGGAGAGGAGCTGGGGCATGGGAGTGGAGGTGAGACCAGGCAGAGCCTGCAGTGCACTGCAGGAGGTTGAACTCTATCTGAGCTACTAGGAGAATGAGAGGCCCTATGTTATCTGGCCTCTGCCTCTATCCTGGACCTCATCTCCATGGGAAAAACTCATCTCTGTTTGTGCCCAAGACTCTTCCAGTTTTAGCACTGAAAGTCTCAAATCCAAGGAACACACGAAGTTCCAGGCAGGCGGGCAGTTGGTCACCTTAGCTCCCACCTCATCCTTGCTCACTACGGTCCTGTCACAACAATGTGGGAACATGCTGTGGAGTCCCTTAAAAAGCTCTGGCTGATTCATTAGAAAATGCATAGCAACTCAACATTTCTGAAAACAGGACTAACATAATTAAAGCTATTTAAGCTTGTTTTTTTTTTTTTTTTTTTTTTTTTTTTGAGACGGAGTCTCCCTCTGTTGCCCAGGAAGGAGTGCAGTGGCATAATCTTGGCTCACTGCAACATCCGCCTCCTCAGTTCAACTGATTCTCCTGCCTCAACCTCCCAAGTAGCTGGGACTACAGGCGCATGCCACCATGGCCAGCTAGTTGTTTTGTATTCTTAGTAGAGATGGGGTTTCACCGTATCAGCCAGGCTGGTCTCAAACTCCTGACCTCATGATTCATCTGCCTCGGCCTCCTAAAGTATTGGGATTACAGGTGTGAGCCACCATGGCCAGCCAGCTATTTAAGCATTTTTTAAAGATACTGACGACCTCCAAGGCCATTCAACTTACATAAAAATGCCTTTCTGTGGAAATTTGGGCATTCCTTTGGCTATGGAGAGGGTAGTAGGTCAATTGGCATGGCTGAATATAAAAAAGATCTTCTCCGTCCAGATGTTTCTGTTCACATCCTCTTGTGCAGCATAGTTTGGAATATTTCATCTTCATTCTTCAAGACTTAAAGGTGTATCACTACAGTAAACAGAACTTAAAGGAACAGGCCTTTGCATGGCAGCCCAGCTGAATCTGCACAAGGCCCTTATCTAAAGCCAGTTGTGAGAGAAATACAGTAGCCTCTGTGCTCATTACCTCTAGAATTGCATTTTCTAGCTTCTCATTAGGAAGCGGTGACATCAGAATAGGACCCTGCCCCTTTAAGAGTCTTTCCCAAGATAATGGGATTCATGATCTCACAATCACATAAATCACTGCCAGCCCCCTTGAGTCAATTCATACTTCTGTAGTTCGTTAGTGGCACGAGAGGAAATTGCATTTATTATAATTGCCTCTAATTGCACCAGATTAGTGATTACAATTATTGATGGCAGCTGATTATTCATTAGGCATCAAATCAATCCCCGTGCTTCTTCATTACTCGAAACAGTAACTCTGATGAGAGGTCTAAAGGAGGCCATGTCCACCCTTTCCACTAAATGGCAGGCTGCCTCCCCGTCCTGCCTCGAAACAAACACCTGAAAATAATTTAGGACTTAAAGTGACAGAGAACCATCCCTCGCCTTCCGCCATGTAATGCCTCATCCCGAACCCAGCACTAACTGATGAAATTACGGAGGCTGTTAAACATCACCAAAGACTATTTGGAGGTCCCAGAACGCTCCAGAATTGCTAGCTTTTCCTGGATGCCCTTCTTGGTTGCAAAATGAAAATTTCAGAGTTTCCTGGGTTACTTCTGGAATATATGTTACCTACAATACATAAAGAGAGTAGACCTTACAGCCACACAGGCCAGACTTAAATGAGCTATGTAAACCTAGTCGATTTTGTGAGCTATGTAAAGTCAGTCAATTTTGTGAGCTATGTAAAGCCAGTCAATTCGTGTGTGAATTTTTGGGAGCTATGTAAAGCCAGTCAATTCACGTGTCCTGTCTGAACTGTAGAATAGTTGCTAGATTGTGTATAAACAAGCAATGAGATCTCTGCTTCTCTTGTTCACCATCAGAGTCTATCATCTAAAATAGGGCCTGTAGAGAAAAGAATACAATAGCCATCTAAGGAGTTAAATACCTACCTGCAGGGGTTGTGATGATGGCTGAATTAGATAACATATTTAAGACTTTGTGTTGTACCAGGTAAAAACTAGTTGCTCAATTAGCGTCATTTCCTCTCTCCCCTACTTCCTCCATGCTATAACATCTAAATTTATATCCTTTATCCAGTGTGTCTCTTTATACACAGGCTCAATGTTAACTAAATTTATCTTTTTGGTGTGTTCTTCTTGGTGAACATCAGTATATGTGTAATAGAAGTGCAGCTTCCAGAAGACTGTTGCCTCATTTACTGGTAGCTACAGCATGCCAGGCACCAGATCTAGAGGGTTAGAGAGATCAACAGAGCATAAGTATTGACCTTGAACAGCTGACAACTAAATGGGAATGATTGTCCATTCTATTTCCATGTGTTGTTTGCATTAAAGGAATATCCAAGTTCTAATGAGCCCACAGGGGATGGAGAGACCCGGCACAGCTCGGAAGGTCAAGAAGGCCTCAGAGTTAGCTTTTGAGATGAGCCTTGAAGCTGCATAAATTTTTCCAAGTGCCTAACAGGTCACTAGCCTTCCAACACACCATGTAGCACCTGAAGAGACAAGAAGAGAGAAATGAGCATGTCTTCAGAACTGCACTGTGAACTTCTAGGTGCTTGATACATGAAGACAGTGACAATGTTAAGTGCCATTTTCCAGACGCTCCCATGGGTAAAACTTCTGTAACTAAGCAATCTTTTCTTCTCTTAGCTGCTGACATCTCAGAAATGTGGCGACATCTTGAGGTTTTCTTCTATGAACTTCTGTGAAACCTTATGCTGCCTTTGGTGACACAGAACCCTAACCTATCCTTTCCTCAAATTCCCAGCTGACCCAAATGTACCCCCTATTTTAGCACCCACATTTATCAGCTCCCTCTACTTCTCACAATCCCCCCTACTTCCACTAGTGAGTTAGTTCAAGAGCCTAAGTGTCTCCAGGTAGCAGAGACATTCAGAGCACACCATTGTCTATATCAATGCAGGATTTCCTGAAAACCAGGGAGGGAGGGAAGGAAGAAAGAGCCTCTGGGTGAGGAGGTGTGCAGCCTGGCTCTTTGTCAAGTCTTTGTCCCACGTGAGAGTCGGTGCTAATTTCCCTGGTTGCT
This sequence comes from Homo sapiens, assembly GCF_000001405.40. NCBI lineage: Eukaryota > Metazoa > Chordata > Mammalia > Primates > Hominidae > Homo > Homo sapiens. The sequence continues at coordinate 131,542,877 of NC_000011.10, forward strand.
TAGGCTTGAGCCCTGTAGTATGTCTGACCTACACCCAGATCCTCTAGGGATGTAAGCACAGTGATTCCCAAAACAATCCAAAATACGAGGCCCATAGCCTGGAGAACATGTCCCTGGTGCCCCTTCCTCTGGACGCCTTCCTTGCCCACATGGTTGCCAGTTACGCTGCCTCCCAGGGAGCTGAGGATGAACACGTGACTTCTCTTAGCAGAGTGAACGTATCTCCTACCTTAAGTCTCTTGTGTGTCCTACTTGTGAGCCAGTTGAAACGCTGCCATTTTCTCCAGAGACTCCTCTCTACATCAAGACCATGTAACCATGCAGGAAGAAATCAATCTTCTTTTCTAGCTAACATGTTCCATTACCTCCCCTGTTTTCAAAACTTCCCATAAAGTGGCAGTCTCCTCTCTGAAGGCTACTCTTTTAGACAGGAAATACGCAGGGATAGCATCACTTCCAGAGAAACAAGAGAACAGACTGATAGATCAGAACACCAGATAATGTCTTCCCTTTCTTGGCAACGGTACATATCCCTAACCTCTTTCCCAAGACCCACAGAAGAGCAGGGTCTCTCCTGAAGGGCAACAGGACACTGATCCACTGTCTTGTAAAGGAAGTTGTGTTCAGTGATTTTCTGATTAGGGAGAAAGTTGCTACAACCAGCACCAGAGGAAAGCTGTCTGGTGATCAAAGACCTTGGGGGTTTGCCTGGGCTACTTTTGGAGGCTGCCCAAAGCCTGCTAGCAGCTCCCACATGAGCTGGGGAGAGGCTCTGCTTCCCTCTACTCCAGCACAGCTTCCCCTAATTCTGAACTTTCAGAGAAGCACAGGTTCGAGCGCTCTCCCTTGCCCAGTCCTTCATCAGCTGGTGCCCGTAGCCCTGCATCATCCTGGTAACAGTTGGTAAACGAGTCCCAGTCTAGCCGCTTATGCAGGATGGTTGTGCAGTAAGAACCTTCATCCTTATGGCAGGCACATTAATGCCAAGTTTGCTCATTCTAATTAATAACAGTTAGTAAACACCAAAGAGAGCTAATGATGATTACAGGCCACAGCTCCTGCGTGTTAGCAAACACACCAGGCAGGTGGCCTCTCGTCTCTTCCCAGGAAAGAGGCTAGGTCCTCTTCTTGCAGAGATGTCTTGCCTCCTCAAGGCCCCTACCACCATATTTAGCAAATCTTGGGTTACTTCTCAGCCTGGAAAAGACCAAGATGCATGCAGGTCAGTCCCATGGAATGGATCATGGGCTGACTTCAAGATTAGAGGACTAAAGAAGCAGGACCTTTGATCTTTTAGGGTTTCCAGACATCTCTTTCTGGCACTTGGAATAAAACAAATTTTTCTTATTTAAAAAATATTTTTTCCAATTTCAAAGTAATACAATTTGCTTCAAAAAATTAAAATACTACAGAAGCATATAAGAAGAAAGGGTGAGTCTCCCTTCGTCCTCTGGGGAAGTGGGATTCAGTGCCTGGTTCGTTTGTCTACAGTTCTCATCTCCCCTACCTCCTCTTCTTTCTCCAGCTCATATTTCTATTCCTGGTACACAAAGCTTCCCATTCTACTACCAAATTATCCCTGTTGTGAATCCTTTATTCCCCATTTGGCTAAGCCTTTACTCATCCTCTATCCCTAGATATTTTTTTTTTCTGACTCAAGGATTCTGCCTATGGTAATATTTTCTGTGACCCTGAAGGCAAAATGAGAGTTCAACTCCATGGTGGCACTAGGATATCTCATCTTGGAATGTTTTCTTCTCTGAGTTCCAGGGGTTGTGGCAGTTAAACATAATTACATCCACTTCCCGTCATTCAGATATGAACCTAAAGTTGGAGAATGTTTTATTTCCTGCTCCGCAGCCCTGGGCATACAAGGACCTGTGAAGAGTGGACGTGTGAGTCTGACAGAGCCTCCTGGGGGCGCCGCTTGCTCTATGTTTTGAGCCCTCCAGGCGAATCTCTGGTCATCGAATCAGATAACTTGATAGCAGTGGGTGGAGGTGGTTTGAGGAATAGGACAGGCCACGGTGGTTTCAGAATCTTACCAATAGCTTGATCATTTTCGGAAGGACCCCAGACCCCTCTCAATCTGTCATTATTTTTGTTGTTCTTGTTAATCCCATCCTTCTTTTTACGAAAATTTAGCCCACGGGGCTGCAAGGGTAATATGTCTTCTATCACTGTCACTGCAATTCAGGTAATATTTTCTTTCTCGCTGGACTATTAACTGTATCCCACTGGAACCCATTCTCTGAGAGTTTAAGAATGAAAAGAATGTAAATAAACAGTGAAAATGGGTATCATTTCTAAGGATGTTTATAAAGTGATCCAAGCAGATACTCAGGTATAACCAGAATGGCTTATCTTACCATCTTTTTAAATGCATGATACCTTTTCCCTCTGTTTCTTTGTCTTTTTCTTTTTCTTTTTTCTTGAGTCTGTCTCCTTTTCTGTGTATTAGCTTTTCCTCCATTTTTTTCTCCTTGATGACTTTTTTTCTCTCAGCTTTCTCATTCTCTTTCCTTTCCTTTTAGTCACAATAAAGAATTGAAGGGCATTTTCAAGTTTGGTTTGGTTCATTAAATGCATACATCCAGATGTATGGATTTATTCATCCATACATCTATCCATCCACCCATTTATTCCACCAGCATTCACTGAGCATCAGTCTTCTTGACATCAGTCTCTTTGCTAGGTTCTCAGAATAGAGAGCTGAACAGTTGATCCCTGCTCTCAAGCCATACTGAATCAACAAAGGGAGAGAGACATGAAATCAAAGAAACTATTAAATCCATGAAGGACACAATGGGAGTTTTAAGAAGGTGATGAGCAGGTCTATGGGGACATATTAGCGAAACTTCCTAAAGCAAGTGACCTTTGGGCTAAATATGAAACTGAGTTGAAGGTGTCGTCAAGTAGAGGAGGGGCAGGGGCCTGGGGAGAAGATAGATTTTTCGGCAGAGGGACCTGCAGTGCCTTCATGCAAAGAACATTTGAATATCCGAGCATTATCTAACCTGGCTGGGAGGGTTACAGTGACGCTTGACTCAGGGAATAACTGCTGACTTTGTTCATCAGAACCCAGCTGTTTATGGGTAGTCAGCTTAGAAAGTGGGAGGGGGACCTTTACATGTTACCTAATACACTGCTGTGGAATTTGAATTTTTATACTGTGAGCATCATTTACTTTTATCGAAAGAAACACTAATAATTTATAGCCTCATGCACCATGTTCCAGTGTCAGGTCTTTTCCTTTTAGCAAGCAGAGAGATAGGAAAGGTTTGAAGCGGGGCAATTGCATGCTTCAAGTTTTGTGACTGAAGCTTTGTTTCCTATCCCTTCGCTTTAAAATAGGTTGAGTATAAGCTTTCTGTATGCATCTGTAACAAACTAAACCCGGTTCTTCTTTGCCTCAAAATAACCCTGGATTGATTTTATCTTTCTCTTGGTCCGTGATCCTTGATACAAACAAGGTTCCCACGGCCCCGTTAGCCATTCCACTCTATCCCTGGCCACTGTCCTGTTTCCCTGGCATCCCATCGCAAGAGACCTGCTTTTACTTTCACATTCTGCACAGCAGGGATTTCTGCAAAAACTGAAAAATTGCCTATCAATCCCTGGTCAAAGTCAACTATGTCATGTTCTGGGACTCAGGAGGACAGCCTGTGCTTACCTTCCTGCACTCCACTGGTGCACCAAGCTGTCCTGCTCCTCTCCTTCAGAGCTTTTCCATTTGACTTCACCTTGTTCCCGAGCAGTGAGAGAGACCCAGCAGCCTCTGCAGCTGCCTGGACCACTGGGGGAATGTAAATGGAGCAACCACATAAACGAGGAGTGACAAGCACCACGCTGAGCTCTCTGCAAAGCTGCCCAGTGACCCTAGGAGGGAATGAGAAATAAATTAGCCTTGGGGTTTGTGAGGAAAGCAGGAGGCCCGGAAAACTCTTCCTCTTTCTTTCCATTGCTTCTCAAACTGTACCTTTTGTGTCCTTCTAAATCCATCTACCAGGCCTCAGGAGCCCGCAGGTGTTCCCCCAGGCTAGGCTGTCTTTTCCTTGTCCCTAAACCCCCTGAGTTCCTTCCCTCCCTTTCCATCATGCCTCTGAGTTACTGTTCTATGGTGCCCTCCTCCAACCTCCTCTTCCAAGAAGCCCTCTGTGGTGACCAGAGCAAGGTCAGAGACAGAACCAGATCCATGCACATATGTGACTTTCCACAGGTCAGAATTTTATTGATGTTATTTCAGCCATGACCTACATGGAGTTTCCAAGGTGGTAATTATTCTTACTATGTCTCATTCACTGGGTAGTCAGAGGCGTGAGCACACAGGCCCTAGCTGACCCACAAGTCAGTGAATGTTGCAAACTATATATAGTAGGATACTTAATCATTATATAAATGTTATAGATTAACATTTCCACATCAAACAAAGTAACATTTAACAAAAAGAGAAAAGGGGGTAGGAAAAAGGGGTTAATGAGCCAATCCCAGGAGAGCGCCTTGGACAGAGAGAGAATGCTGGCCTGATCCAGACGATCTTCAACGTCTTGCACGGGAAGAGACTTTGAGGTGGGCAGAGCCTTCGGTGGCAGATGCCAGGCGCTAACCGTGGGTGACAGTGGGATGGCGTTCAGTGAAATGGTTTTGTGGACGGTGAAGTCCTGCTCTTCTTAGAGTCCTTGTCCTCTCTGGTAAGAGGTGATGTAAAGTGTGTGTCTGGTTATGCCCTTGTCAGGTTGAGGTAGTTTCTGTTGATTAGGTGAATGTCTGGTCCTGTTGGTATGAAGCCTTTTGAGATGTAAGATGGAGTTCTTTTCTAAGATGGAGTCACTTACGTCAAGAGTGACTATACTATACACCCTCTCAAAGAGTTCGCTTTTAGTTCTCTCCTAGTCCCCTCCTAGTCCCCGCAACTCCAACAGACTTGGATCCTGCACATCAATCTTATCTCCCTTTTTGAAAATCCTTGAAGGGGAGCCAGGATTGATAAATCTTTGGCATCTCTCAAACCTCATAGCACAGTGCTAGGCAGTAGGTGGCTGATTAGCCAATGCCTAGGAGGCGTCCGAATAAGATTGCAAGCTTGTTTTCAATCATACCAAGAAGAGCAGGAACTTGCAAGGAGACAGAGGAGCTCAAACTCATCATCTACCACATACTAATTAGGTGACCTTAGGCAAGTTCCTGAATTTCAATGAGCTGCTGTTTCCAGAACTGTGAAATAGGGATAATAATACTTCTCTGGGAATTTTAGTCACTGTTAAATTAGATATGCAAAGCAAGTAACACAGGGCTTAGATTTTACTTGGTAGTTAATAAATCTTAGTTTCTTTTCCTTCTTTAATCTTAGCAAGAATTTTTCCCTTTGGCCACAAGCATGTTTTGCCTCCACCACCACTCTCCCCTTGTGCATTTTTCCAAGTCGATCTTATCCAGGAAAAAAACATCCCCCAGGCAGTACATCCAGGTGATGCCTCAAGGAATGAGTCAAGAAAGGCATAAAAATTATTATTTTTTTAAAAAGCCTATCTCCCTAGAAAGGAGGGGTGAAGCCTGATCATCTTTTTTTTATATTCAGAGTTCTTTCTTCTCCCCAGAGACTCAGAGCTATATAAATGTAAAGTTATAATAATTATGATAACATTTACATTAAATGTGATGCTGACAAGGCTTTATGAGATACAAAAGTTTGCTGATTCCCACTGGAATGGATAGAGCAGAGTCTGCCTTCCCCATCCTGACTTCTTTCTATTCCGATCCAGAAAGACTGCCTGTGGGGAGGGTGAGGGAGAAGGTGTGAGACTGACAAGTGTTGCTTTATTTATTTATGTGATATCTATCAAATGCACCCATTGCCTCCAGGTCTCTTAGTATATCTAAATCCAGCAGTTAGCACGTACATGGAATGAAAAGAAACAAGCCCACAGCAAACTTCCACTATGAACCAAATATTTAAGGTCAGTTACCAAATACCTGGGAATTGGGGACACTGAGACAGAAAGGATAGCAATGAGGAAACTACAATAATAAAGAACTTTATAGCCAGTGACAAGATTACACTCAAACCTGGGGGTCCTGGGAGGCAGAATTCACAGCTTATACATCCTTATTTTATGTAGGGTGTTTGTGCATATGCCATCAGTAAAAGTAGGAATGAATGAATGAATGAACGAACTACAGACAGAAAAGCTCCTCATCTCCACCATTTACTACACTTTTTAGTTCCCCACAAGCGATATCAAGAAAACATAGAAACAGTTTAGAGGCCGGCTGGGGAAGAAAGCTGTATCTTTTTCTGGAATATCCTCAGATCCCATTCTGGAGTTTGACAGCAGAAGCATGGAGGCATAGAAGCTGAGGCCACTATTGGGAAGGGACCTTGTGTTTATCTGAGATGGTACCTGTGAGAACTTGACTCAGCATATTGCAATAAATTGAGTCAGCAAAAATTATGTCTAGGGTCACACCCTATATAGAAGAAACCCCAGGCACAAAATTTTTTTTAATTTTTGAATTAAATTTTTTTAAAAATTGTAATTAAAATTAAAAATTTTTTAGACAGAAGGAGAGAAAGAGTCAAAGGGTTGTCAACTGCCTACAAGATGTGGGGCACTAAACTAAATCTTTCATACATATTATCCCACAATGACACCATGGAGTAATGATTATATCTTTAATTTCTCTGGAAAACATCAACAACAAAACAAAACGCCCTGTGCTCCAAGGAAGGGAACTAGCCCGCCCAAGCCACAAGGGGCTGTGCTTTCTGGGACCCACAGCTCTTTGCCCCATGTGTTCAGGTGTCTTCGATCCTCAGAAAGGGTTTTCAGTCAGAGATAGATTCATTGTATTGGAGGTTATTCAAAGCTATTACATGCAGCCTTTAAAAGATCTTCATTAGTGGAGAGGCTGGGGAAAAAATAAAATATTCACATGAGGAAATTAAATTCTGCCCCAAAGATGATTAACATCCTAACACTTAGTTCCATCTTTCAAGTGACAAACCACGATTCGAGGTGATGTCTCTTTCCCGTGCCCACGTGTGCATATCTGTATTATGCTAGTACAGCTAAGGGTGTGGTGACTTGCATTTCACGTCCTGCAGGGCGGACTCAGGCACAAACACTCAGTGTTTACATTGCTCAGGGGAGGCATGAGGCTCTGGGATGAGAATCGCATGAGAATCATGGCATGAGAATCAAGGATCTGTACTGGCAAAAGAAGCTGGAATAATAACAGGATGACAAGAAGAACAATAGATAACGACATTAAATGTTTACTATGTGCCAAGCACAGTTCTGAACACCTTACGTGAAATGTGTTAATTAAGCCTCAAAAATTGGGAGGATTGCTTGAGCCCAGGAGTTTGAGACCAGCTGGCCAACATAGCAAGACCCCACCTCTACAAAAAATTTAAAAATTAGCTGAGTGTGGTGGCATGCACCTGTAGTCCTGGTGACAGGGTTTGAGACTGTGTCGCTGCCCAAATCTCATGTCAAATTGGAATCCCCAGTGTTGGAAGTGGGGTCTGCTGAAAGGTAATTGGATCATAGAGGTGAATTTCCCCCTTGGTGCTGTTCTTGGCATAGTGGGTGCGTTATCATGAGATCTGTTTGTTTCAAGGTATGCAGCACCTCCTTCTCTCTCTTCCTCCTGCTCTGGCCATGCAAGACCTGCCTTCTTCCCCTTCGCCTTCTGCCATGATTGTTAATTTTCTGAATCCTCCTTGGCCATGCTTCCTGTACAGCCTGTGGAACCATGAGCCAATTAACCCTTTTTTTCTTTATAAATTACCCAGTTTCAGGTATTTCTTCATAGCATTGTGAAAACAGACTAATACACCTAGCTATTCCAGAGGCTGAGATGAGACGATCCTTTGAGCCCAGGAGCTTGAAGCTGTAATAAGCTAAGATCATGCCACTGCATTTTAGCCTGGGCAATAGAGCAATACCCTGTCTATTTAAAAAAATACCCTCAAAAAACAGCCCTTAACAGACACTGTTCTGCCTCTTTTCTACACGAAGTTACCGAGACTTCCAAGTGTTACGTAGTTTGTTAATGCTGTTGCCCTGCTGGCTGTGGATGAGCCTAGATGCAGACCCGCTGACTCTCCACCATTTGCATTTAATTTTTTTTAAATTTAAGTTGTATTTTATGTTATTTTATTTGTTTTTTGTAGAGAAATGATCTCACTATGTTGCCCAGGCTGGACTTGAGCTCCTAGGCTCAAGCAATCCTTTTGCCTCTGCCTCTGCAGTAGCAGGGACCACAGGTGTGACACTGGTCCCAGCTCAGCCCTTGCTTTTAGTCTGCACTCTACTTTGTACCATTTCATGGAGAGGAGAAAATGGGAGGACCCAAGGTGACCTTTAGAGAGCAGAGCAATCAGCAATCACTTTAGAAAGAAGATAATAGCTCCTAAAGGAAAACTTCTCAGGTAGCCAAGAGAACATGGTGATCAGTTGGAAGTAAGCAAAAGAAGAAGAATGGACTTTGAGGGTGAAGGGAGCACATCTAGTGTGGAAACACTGGGAGAGGTTCCTCCAAAAAAAAAAAAAACGCACGATTGCAATGAACCTGGTATCTACTATGATCTCCCTCTTGGAATTCAATTCTCAGTGTACACAGAGACTCCAGGAAGCCTTGCAGCTGAAAACCCAATTTAGCATTGGTAAAACCAGTGTGTTTCAGACACATGAAATCATGAACCCACTGGTCCACCATTTTCTCTTTATACCTCTGTGAACATCCTTGTGTATGTTCAAGCATCCTTTACCCAGGAGACTGCCCTGTTGATAAATCACTTATCCACACGGGCTTTCTTCTGCCCTTGAGAGGATCGACACATGTTTTTGTGGAGAATTCAGGTGATTGCAGAGAAGCATGCAGGCCCAAAGTTATGGCCACAACAGCAAACCCTAGTCCTCAGGTAACTTAGAAGGCAGCCACATGATGAACTATAGCAAAAAATTCCTTTTTGAGGTGAAACTGTCACATCCCACGTCAAGGCTACCACACACTGGGCATGGCAGAAAAGAGGCGCAGACCTCTTTGGCCATCCAACACAGTTCCACAGTTGGTAAGGTCCCTACAAGCACCATTAGACAATGCAGCAGACTGCAGCAAGCAAAAGATCTACATGTGCATTTTATAAAAGAGGACCCAAAAGGCCAAGTCACCATCACTAGGTAACACAGAGAGGCAAGTTAAGACCACAGTGGAATAAAAAGGCACACCCACCAGAATGAGGAAGGAAAGAAGGAAAAGAGCTGGAAGGGAGAGAGACAGGGTCAGGAAAGAAGAGGAAAAGAGAGAGAGAGGAAGAGAGAACAGAAAATAACCCTGCCAACATCGAGTGTTGATAACGACGTCATGTCATGGTAAGTATCACGCACGGCTGGAGATGGTGTAAAAGTGATGCTGTCAGTTTGGAAAACAGTTTGCCTTTATCTACCAAAACTTAAGATATGCATGCCATATGGCCCAGAAATTATACTCCTGGTTGAAAGAAATGTGTGTACATAGGTACAAGGGGACCAGGGCAGGAATGTTTCTGGTAACCTTGTTTAAAGCAGCCTCAAGAGGCCACTGCACCTCCAGCCTGGGCGACAGAGCGAGACTCCGTCTCAAAAAAAAAAAAAAAAAATACCCTCAAGAGGCCGAGCGCGGTGGCTCACAACTGTAATCCCAGCACTTTGGGAGGCTGAGGCAGGTGAATCATGAGGTCAGGAGATCGAGACCATCCTGGCTAACATGGTGAAACACCGTCTCTACTAAAAAAAATACAAAAAATTAGCCGGGCATGGTGGCGGGCGCCTGTAGTCCCAGCAACATAGGAGGCTGAGGCAGGAGAATGGTGTGAACCCGGGAGGCGGAGCTTGCAGTGAGCCGAGATTGTGCCACTGCACTCCAGCCTGGGCAACAGAGCAAGACTCCGTCTCAAAAAAAAAAAAAATAATAGCCTCAAGGTAGAAACAGTGCCAATGTCCATCATAGAATGAAGACAGAGGTTGTGGTGTATTCATTCAACGGAACGTCAAACAGCATTGAAAATTAGTACATTCAAACTACGTATCACAAAAAAGACTCACACAATCCAAACCAAGCTACAGTGGCCAGAAAAAGAACACATATTGCTTGACATTCCATAACAGGCAAAATTAAACTCTTATGTTCAGGAATGGATGCTTAGGTGGTAAAACTTTAAAAAGGAAAAATCGAGGGCATGGTTATAATAAAAGTGAGCACAGGAGTTATGCTTTGTAAGGAAGGGGAATGTTTGATGGGGAAGGGGCAGGAGAGGCCATGAGGTCTTCTGGGAGCTGGCAATATTCTATTTCTTGTCTGGGTGGTGGTTACAAGGATCTTCAGTTTACAATAATCCATCAAGCTGCACATCTATATTGTGTGCACTTTTGATGTAGTGTATATTCTACCGGTTTTTAAAAAGACTTAAGCAACCTGGATGAGAACACAGACCAACTGCACTCTCCAGAGCACGAGATGTGTGCTGGTCATGACTTACCACGCAGCTTCACCTGAGGACCCACAGATTCCTGGCCTGCATGTCTGTTCCTTCTCTTGTGTTTCCTAGTTTAATGAATGACAGCACCATCCCATTCTAGAAACCAGGGAGGCATTTTGTCTCTTCCTGCTCCCAGGTGTTCTGTATTCCATTAGTTTCTAAGCCCAGTTTATTTCCACCTCCTACACATTTTGGAAACTTATCTTCACCCTTCACGCCCACTACCAAAACCTTAGAACTGTGTAATCTTTAACCTATATTACGGCAACATTTCCCCATGTTTTTTGGTTGTTATTGGTGGTGTTTCTACTCTCCCGTCTATATAATTTTATTTGCTTCACTGTTCTCAGAGGGACCCTCCCGAAATGCAAAGCAAGTTATATCATAGTTGTAAGATCATCATCATTTCCCCATCACCTGTAAAGTCAAGTTCTTACCTCTCCATGTGGCACACACGGTCATCTACAACCCGTTGCCCATATATATTTTCACTCTCATTTCCCGTAAACGTGACCACTTGATACCTCAAGCCCTCTTAACCTATGAACCTGTTATTCCCTGGGCTGTCAATACCTTTGTTCCTCCTCTTTGCCTGGTCAATCCCACTCATTTATCAACTGTTCAAGGACCAGATCAAATGAATCTTCCTCTACGAATGCTTCTCTTCCAGCCTTTAAATCCTGTAAGAGTTGACTCTTCCCTCCTTAGGTTTGTTTAGTTCTTATGTACTAACACAGGTTCATGCTCTTTTGCTATAATGTGTTGTCATTTCTATCTCCCTTTCGAGATCATGTGGCTCCTTCATGGCTTTGTCATAGTGATGCCCATAGTTCCTAGGACAATGCTTGGCCCAAAGTATGCTCTTGATGAAACTTATTGAACAAGCTGAATGAAGACTAAATGATTTCAGTGATGAACCTGTGATGGTTTGAGGCTTAAGGCATACCCTGAAGAAAGCAAGCTCCTCCAATATTTAGTGGCATATCAGCTGATCAAAAATACAGTATTTAATCACATGAGACTTTTGGCAGGAAAAATTAAGATCCTCAGGGATGTAACAATTTATAAATAAGTATTGCTGCAAATAATCTTTCTTTATATATAAAGGTCACCTGCAAACACACACACACACACACACATCTACAAAAAAAAAAAAAAACTCATGGGTACAAGGAATGATAGAATGCTATTTCTTAGCACTCTGGTCTACTGCATCCTCCTGGGTTCTTCATTGCTGTTGACTGCCATCTCAGATAATTCACAGGTGGGACGCAAAGGAATCCCTGAGGTTCAAATTGTATATTAGCACAACTTTGAGGTATATCAAAAGTAATTAGGTTGCAACAATGTTTTTTGAAATCACCTGGATTTTTCCATCCCTTCCTTTTTGGAGAACCTCAGCCTCTGCTTGGATGCACTTTGCTTTGCCTTCTGAAGACATCATCTCCCAGCTCTGCTCCTGAGTGGGGGATGGAGGCTATTGATGGCAGGGCACCTGTCCTAGCTGTCTATTTTAATTAAACTTTTCAAGCTGTCTCTGGGTGGCCAGATAAGCAAAACAAAAGACCTTAGGTCTTTTAAAAAAGCTATACACTTTCTAAATCACCATTATGGGCCATGTGTGGTGGCTTGTGCCAGTAATCCCAGTGCTTTGGGAGTATGAGGTGGAACAATTACTTGAGCTCAGGAATTTGAAGCTGCAGTGAGCTATGGTCGTGCCACTGCACTCCAGGCTGGGCAGTGGAGTGAGACCCAGTCTCAAAAACAAAAACCAAAAAACAAAAATCACTAGTATGTGTTCAATACAGTAAATTCCATACACATCCTAAACATAACATAAATGCAAACGTTGTTCTCAATCTGTGGCAAGATATATTTATACTTTGTGTTATTTGGTTTGGTTCCTTTTTGTCTGGTTCTTAGGAGGAAGACAGGATAACAGAGCAGAATTCCATTGGACAGGGTTGTCATTGGGTCCTTGTGATTAAATCTATATTGAGGGCAGTCTTTCAAAGGTGAAAATCATGGAAACCCATAAGTAGTTTCCGGGTCTCTTCTTGGTGTGTATTGTAGAACAGAGCCCTCCACTGCAGGAGCATCAACTAATGGTCCTGAATTGCCTACACATTCCCAAAGTCTGCAGCCTGTGGCATACCCAATGACAGGTAGATTTGGAGTAAGTAAAATATGGAGCAGTCTGGGAGCATTTTGTTGGCTCCTTCTTCGATTTCATCAGATGGTCCCAGCTCAGTTATCAGCTTTGATTTTTAGATGGTGTCTGGGGAGAAGAACATTTCTAGCTCTTGCTCAGGCAGGAATGGCCCAGCTCCTGCCTTCCCCTTTCTTTGCCAGCATTGTCCTCTAGGAGGATGACAACCCCGTGGGGCACAGAACCGCTTCTCTGATAGGATCTCTTCCCCAGGGCAGCTACTCCCCTAGGGAACTGACTGAGTAGAGACATCCTAAATGCCGAGGAGTGATGGCACCATGAAGCCCCCAGATATGGGCCCCATGGGTGGCAAACAAGGAAATGTTCCAGATGCCAACGGTGCTGCCCTTGTTTATGACCGAGAGGAAGTTAACCCATCTCCAAGGGAACAGAGTCAATGGAAAGTTTCTTGCGTTTGCCAGAAAATGATAGTTTCATATCTTGTGGATGAAAGTTTGTGTTCTGAGAGCTGTCATGGTGGAGACATGCCCTTGGAACCGAAGACAGACAGACAGAAGATTTGAAAAAAGAGTGAAAATGAACACAAGTGACAAGATTAGAAAGGAGGATGCCTCTAATGTCAAATTCTTATCCAGTCCCCAAGTCACCTTCCCCTGGCAAGAATTAGGCCCTTATAACTGGAAGTTACAACTACCTCTCCCCTTCCCCCAAACAGAGGGAAGCAGGTAGACAGAATATTGTCAAGAGTGTACATTTAGAAGAACAATCTCCTCTATACAGATTACATGAAAAGCAGAGTATTATAACTTAATGCTTCAGGTTACACTTTTACTGGAAATGATATTTAATAATTAATAAGTCAGAGTACCCAAGTTTAAAGCCTGGTTCTGCTACTTTCAAGTTGTGAATTCTTAGACAAATTACTTAAAGTTTCTGTGCCTCAGTATTCTGCTCTGTAAAAAGACCACATAATAGCACCTAACACATAGGAATTTTTTTTTTTTTTTTTTTTTTGAGGTGGAGTCTCACTCTGTCAGCCAGGCTAGAGTGCAGTGGTGTGATCTCGGCTCATTGAAACCTTCGCCTCCCAGGTTTAAGTGATTCTTCTGCCTCAGCCTCCCAAGTAGCTGGGACTACAGGCATGCGCCACCACACCCAGCTAATTTTTGTATTTTTAGTAGAGACGGGTTTTCACCGTATTGGCCAACCTGATCTCGAACTCCTGACCTCGTGACTCACCTGCCTCAGCCTCCCAAAGTGCTGCCATTACAGGCGTGAGCCACCGCACCCAGCCTTGGGAATTTTTATAATTAAGAGAAAAACCATATCTGAGGAAATTATGTTGTGAATGTTAGCTATTATTGTTGCATACTATCTGGGACAGAAACCTAATGATAGGTGTACACACTGTCTTGGTGTCTGTGCATGCGTGTGTGTTTGTGTGTGTGTGTGTCTGCAAAGGGGAATTTCAGGTGATTTGTAACTTTTTTTCTTTTTTTAACAGTGTGTCATGACAGCCAGAGGCAGGCGATTCCAGTATTTTAAAGCAAACATAGAGATGAATATTATCTCTCCAGTTAAGCCAATGGAAGAAGTTGGGCTTAAAGTTGAGTAACTAAAGTAGGGTAACTAGGTTGCTATGTATGTCTCAGTGGCCAGGACATGCTCTGTAATCAATGAGTTGTTTTGTGAGTTGGGTAAGCTGGTCAGAGGAATGAAAAAACAGAACATGATTCAGAAAGCAATGGCCTTCACCTCCACCTGATCATTGACGCCCCGACCCTGTGAAAGACACTTGACATTTTGTACTTCAAGCTCCTCCTGTAAAAGTAGAGACGTGGACAAGAGTCCATTTTTAAAGTGCAGAGGTGGTTTAAATCCTTTCCTCATCATGACTGAGTGATACTGCCAAGATCTTTCAACATTAAGTGCCTATTAAGCGCTCTCCTTTCTGGAAGTCTAGGTTCCTGGGCCTAAAACTAGTAATAAACTTATCTTACTTCTAACCTGGAAGACACATTTTTAAATTAATATGACTATGCTGTATCAACTCTGTGATGTGCCGCACAGGGATGTGTGGGTCTTTGTGTTTGGCTGCAGGAGGCACTGTTGTTGATCCTATGGTGCCTTACTCAATTAGATGCTTCTTGGAGCATTTGAATGAGGGGCTAGCAGGGGGTGTGGGGGTATGGGGTGGGAGTGGAGGGTGAGTAGTGGTCTGTCATGGCTGTATCTCTGAGAAAATGGGCAATGTCAGCTTACAATTGGAATATCAAAAGAACTAAGCTCCAGAGTCAATCATATAACTCACTTTGCAGCATGCAGCTCAGCTTTTGAGGGGTGGTATCTCTGCTGCTGTCTAGAAATTCTGCATCAAGGTAACTGAAAAGAAAAACAGTTACCTACCAATGAAATGTTGTCCCCTACAGCCTTCCATTAACATGTTCTGTTTAGTACTGACATACGAAACCAGGAAGCGCCTTAATGAACTTGCCGAGCCTTTTGTGCTATGACATTGCTCCCTTTGAGCCCAGCCTCTTGAGAAACAGACACCATTCTGTGCAAGGCGGATGCTTGAGGTTGATGTGGGCCTGTACTGAAGTTGCCTTCTTTCCTTTGGAAGTTCTTCTGCGTGCTTCCTTGGGAGCAGCACAGAGCCCCTGCAGCCCTCCCTAGTGCTAACCCCTCCAGCCTGGACACTCTGCACAGCCCTCCTCATACCTGACACACTCATTCTGATTAGCTTACGATACAGAGACCTGGGAATATCCATACCCATCCAGCAGCCCGTCATGATTCAGATTGTCAGGGAATTGGAGGACAGACAGGGAGGCCTGTTTTCTAATCCTCAGGGTTTTATATAATCCTCCTGGTTTTATGATTTCTAATCCTCCTGGTTTTATGATTCCAAAGGGTTCAACCACCTCTGTTCTTTTTCTTAGAGCTACAAGTCTGTTTGGTTCTCAAGTGGTTAGGATTTCCTACCTTTTTGGTATACGCGCATTCTATATTAAAACAGCTCCAAGGTGATCCCCTGAGAAGTTTAGACTATTCTTTGCTAATGGGGTTGGCAATGTCCTAGTAACCCAGGCAGTGTATGCCTTGGCCTAAATAGTAGGGAGCTGGAAAGTCAAACAAATGTTATCGGAATAGCTACACATAAGGTTCACGTCTTTGAGAGGATAGTGTCAGCTGGAGGAGAAGGGGTGCCATCCCCTACCCTCGCTGGATCTCTGCGAGTGGCTTCATGACGACTGAACAGGACTTGAGCCTGTAGGAGATGGAAGATTGATTTCAGGTTTCTTATGTACCATTCTACAGAGTGTGACTCACGCTGATCTCAGAAAATGAAAAAGAAAGAAAGAAAGAAAACAAAGCTAAGCAAATTCAGCAAAACTTAATAATTAGTGAATTTCAATAATAGACATATGGGTTTATTTTACCATGTTTCTGTGATGCTTGAATATTTTCTTAATAAAAAATCAAATTCAATATCGAATTGAAGGATTCATTATGGAAGACCCGCAAGGAGGTTTTAAAAGAACAAGCAGGAGGAAGTTTGCGTTTGTTTACTTCCCACGGCCAGCGTGTTTTGCGGCTGACTTGGATTTCTCCTGGTGAGGCAGACTCCAGGATCACACATTTCCAGCCATGTGCCCAAGGCCTGGTCTAAAACTCTTCTTTTTATTCTCTTTAGTAAAACATATGGCTATTCCGAACAGTATTTATTGTGTTACACACAAAAAAACTTATCTACGACTGCTGGTATTTCAATCGAGTGTTTCTTGACAGTTCTCTGGTAAAGTGATTAACCAGCTGTCTTTTTACTTTTAAGAATATGCTTTGCTTCTCCACTCCTTTTTTCCCATTCACATCCTTCATATCCATCAGGAAAAGCTAGGTATATTCACCACACAGTCTCAAATTTGTTAGATAAAATTCCTGACCCTTAAGAATTTTGTCTTTAAAATAGAGGCAAAACACATAAAATAATGTCTCAGTTTCAAAGGTCATTATACCTGAGTTCTATATGAGTCAAAATATAGGTTAAGACGCTGTAATCAGGCCTCTCCCAAAACAGTGGCTTAATCAAGGTAGAAATGTATTTCTCTTTCAAATAGTGGTCTAGGGCTAGTGGAGCAACCTTGACAGCCACAGCTTTGACTCTAGCTCCAAAGTGGCTGCTTCAGCACTTACCATCACACCTATGACCCAAACAACAGGGAGGAGTAAGGGAACATGAGAGGCTCACTTTCGTTCCTTCTTAAGACTTGGCCTTAAAGTGTATACATCCCTTCTGCTGTCATCCCATTGCCCACCTAACTGCAAAGGTGGGTGGGAAATGCAGTCTCTAGCATGGAAAACAGGGAGAGATATTGGTGAAAGCTAGAACTGTCTGCCTCAACCAGCTAGTGACACATCAGGACTCAAATTCGACTGTTTTGACTCTGCAATTGGTGCTATTTAAAACAGGAAACAGCAAGTTAAAAAATGATTTGTTCACAAAGACAAAGGAGCACAATTGCTGCCCCACGTGTCTTCAGGAGATTCTGCAGGTAAAAGTTTTGAACCAATCCTGTGAAGTAACTGGCCTTTGCAACTCACAGACAGAAGTGACTCTCCCTATTCAGTCACACTTTTTGCTTGGCTTTATCTTTCACGGAAGGCTAGGAGGTTTTCCAGCTTTCTACATGGAAGATCCCGTTCTTCCTCACTTTGAGATTGCAGAGATAGCTACCTGAACGCAGATCCCCGTAGTCATAAACGCAGTCAAAGAAATTTTGATTCAAAAATACACTATACAAGGTCGTAGCCAGAATATATGTTCCAACATGCCATCAATTCTCTAGTAATCATATGCTACTTAGAAAAAAATCAATACCATGAGGTTGGCTGCAGTATAACACACAAGGAAGAGAACCTTTTGTGGAATTTATTTTCCATTAGATTCTTGTCCAGTGCTCTAAATTCCAGAAGTGATTGGCTTCCTACATGCTTTATTCATTCTGCTGACTCCTCCCTTCCTCCTTTCTTCCAGTCACATCTTTTGAATATGAAAAAGCCATATTCAAAGCTTAATGTATTCTTCATGAAAAACCTTTAAGGCCATCTCAATAAGCACAACCATTTCTTATTTAATAAACAATCGCTCTCTCATTAAATGTAAATTAGTTCTTTATCCTTAGCTGTATTTGTTGAATCTATTACTTACTGTGTTTACCAATTTTGTTTCCTTTGGCTCCAGAGCTTTCTGTAAACTACTCATAAATATGAAGTTGAAAGGAAGGCCCTTTCTCTGTGTGTAAGCACCTGCACAAGCCACTTTGAACAGCCCTCTTCTTCAAGTCAGCTCTGTCTTTCCCATGCCCCCAGGCTGACCATCCCGGCTACCTACACATAGGGCAGCAAGATTCCGGGTGGCGTGCAAGATCACCCTGGACCTTCGTCTCTCAGAAAAGCCAGTGTCCACCTTCCTAGTTCTGTGTTGCAAAAGTCAGAAGTGGCTGCAGGTGCAATCTGAAGGGAACAAGCGCAGTCAGGCTTTTACCGAGGAGAAATGGGTTATTTCGGTGGCAGCAGCATTTGGCGCTTCCATTCACTGGGCCCCAACATGTCCAAGTTTCCTGGCTTAGAAGGGCACAGTGTAAGGCCCATCTGTTCCAGCAGGCTTTCCCTGATTAGATAGGATGCTTGGCAAACAGAATCCCAGATAATGGATATTTGAATATTTTTGTAATTTCCAGGCTTGTGCCTAACAGCTTAGCAGTTGGCCCTATGTTTAAAGAAAATGGGTAATAATCATGACTAATGTGGCAATTTCCATTCAAAAATTTCCAATGGTGCTTAATTAAATCTTCCAATAACATTTGGAAACAAAAGTTCCCCCATCCATTGTATCCATGAAGAAGACAGAGTGAAAGGATAGTGGGTGGACTCTTGAGACACTCATTGTGGCCAAACCCAACCAAGGCAAAAAACTGTGGCCATTCACTTAGTTACAGATCCCAGAGGATCCCCTACAACCCAGCCCTTTAAATGGAACTGGTCTATTTTCATTCCTTCAGTCTCCGCTGGGGGACAGGCAGGAGGTGGAGTGAGAGAACAATTTGTTAGTATCCCAGATACTCTGTTATTCCCACCGCAGAGACACAACTACTGCATTGCCCCACACTTTCCTTTCCTGGCCCGAGAAAGCCTCATTCCTTCGGCCTTCATCATCATCCTTCTTCTTCACCTCCTTTTGTTTCCTTTGCCTCATCTATGAAATCAGGCAAACAGGACTCACCCTTTACCCTCTAGGGATGTTGGAAGATTGATAACATGTCAAGAAACAGACTGGATTTATTTGAATTTCACAATGTCCTATTTAAAGAGAGAAGAGGCGACTGAATAAAGAAATTTGGAAGCCACTCTCTGTGATTTTATTTTTAAGTCATTTTTCTCTCTGTTATTACTATTTTTTATTTTTTAGGATTTTTTTGGTCTGGTTCTACTGCAATTCAAAGTGTTTTATAAGGGTCCCAACTGGTGCTGGGAAGCAGGCCACGCACTGAAGCAGGGCAGAGAGAAGGAGGATGCAGCCAGTCAGGCCTGGGGACCGACAGCCCTGTCACGCTGACTTATGATGGATGAGGGAAAAGTCTATTTCTCATCCGCAGTGGGGGAGGTGAAGTGTAAAGAAAGATGCTCCCAGAGTCTCTGGGCGATTCATCTTGCAGCAGATAAACTCTAGAAGCTACAGAGTTGTGAAGGAGAGAGAGGAAGAATTGAAGAATCAAATTCATTATGTGAAGTATAATCTCATGAGGAAATATCAAAATATGTCAGCAGCACCCAAGACGGGAAGGTGGGGAGAGGGTGGGGAATTCGCTGATGGTATTTGTCAGTTGCTAAGCCAGGCGTGGAGGGGAGAGTTCCTGGGTTCCACTGCTCTCCTGCAAACAGCCTTCCCCACCAAATTCCCAAGGAGGCCCGGCAGAGACCATGGCATGTCATGATGGATGAAGCCAGGAGATGCAGCCAGCACACAGGAGACCTCTTTGAAGGCGCTCTTCCCCTGTCTAAAATTCACTTTCGCTACTTTTCCTTCGTGTTTCTTAAATTTAGACTCTGCAGAAGGCTAACATAGAGGTTAGATATGCATAAGTAATCCCATTAACAGTGGTACAGGGTGCTTTCTTTCTGGAACATTTTGTAATTATGTCTTTCCTAACCACTTCCTGTTTGTTCCCAAATTTTAGCAGAGCTCTACCTGGCGACAAACAGCCCGAACCTTGCAAATGAAAATAATTTGGGGACCCATTTCCTGCCCCTTTAACCATGCTTAGTGGACTGGAATTCTCTGAGTCCTGCATATGCATGAGGTCTGCAGACCTGGGCCCTCCATGGCCCCAGGGGGAGAAGATGCAGAAAGCTTCTCTGACTCTGGGCATGGGGCAGGCTCTGTCATTTCCATCTCTGTCCCGCTTCTCATTCCCAGAGTGACCTTGGGCAAATCACTTTCACCTCCTTGAGACTCAGTTTCCACATCTGGAAAGCTGAGATAATAGCTACCTGCCTCCTGGGGGAAACTGCAAGGCTTAATTAATTAATGTTTGGCAAAGCTTCCTAGACCTTTGCTTGAAAGAATCCATGCAAGTGCAAATTATTATTATTATATCACTGGAGCCTTAGCTCCAATTTTGCTTCTGAGGCTAATGATTATTTCTTTTCTGAAGGAAAATATTAATTTTAACTCCAAGTAATTTATCGGGTAGTGGGAAAAAAAATTACCATTTGTCAAGGACGGCACTCTCTAAATGGAAGTTCTAGCAGCCCCTCTCTGGGGAAGACTGCAAGAAAAATCTTCCTATTTTACCATCATCCCTGGGCATCTTCTCTACAAGGCTCGTCCCTGCTCCCCTTTCTTCACTTTCTTCCCACCGGGTGATGGGTGTTAGCCTGGGCGGGCCAGGGCCAGACCTTAGCTGAACTTGCTTTCTATTTCTCCTGTGACAGCTCCAGACACTTTTTTTTTTTTTTTTTTTTTTTGGCTCAGCACAGAAACCAAATACCACATATTTTTAAGAAACAATACTTAGTACAATACCCTTGGATTGATTTCAAATAACTAGGCACCCTCTCTCTTAAAAGTTTCAAACTAATTTACTGTGTCAAATGAACCCCCTTCCCTAAGACAATGGCCTGTGCTTTTTATGGTGATAAAAATAGTGCAAGGCATTGGTGGTCATTTTCTCCTTTTTGATTTTCTGTCCATGAGGCTTAATGAATGGCCTGGCTCTCTATGCTAGGTTCCCAATGGCCCCTAGAGCAAACCATCTCTACCGTTCCTTCGCTGTTTTTAAAACAGCCTGCAAGTGCTTATGTGGCTGCGTTGCCAAAGAGAGACCTGACTCTGCTCCCCAGACCTTGTCCTGGTCCTGCAACCTGAGGCCACCAAGAAAGTAAAATTAGTCTTTGCTTCACTAGGAACACTGTAATTGCTTATCAGCTTCAACTGCAGAAGCAGACATTTTGTGCAAGGCTTTCTCTGCCAGTGGTTTATGCCCCTTGATTCCTGCAGGTTCTTTTGGAATTAGTCAGTATCTACTCCATTTTACTAAGGGAGGAACTGACTAACCATGAGGTCCTTTTCACTCCCTCTTTCTTTCATCCTGGTGCAGATAGTCCCTATGCCACCCTATTTATTTATGCCACCTTATTTATTTGTTTGTTTTTAAACAAAGGAAAATTATTTCCCATAATTCTGGAGGCTGGAAGTCTGAGATCAGAGTGCCACCATGGTCTGGTTTTGGTGAGGACTCTCTTCCTGGCTTGCAGACAGCCACCTTCCCACTGTGTGCTCACATAGTAGAGGGATAGGGTGGGTAGGGGGAGAGAGAGAGGGAGGGAGAGAGAGAGAGCAGGCTCTTTAGTGTCTCTTCTTTTTCAATTTTTTTTTTATTTTTCCAGCTTTTTTGAGGTATTGTTGATATACAAAAATGGCACATAATTATTGTATACAACATGGTGAGTTTGGACATTTGTGTATACTCATGTTATCATCACTACCATCAAGGTAACAAATATATCCATCACCTCCAAGAGTTTCTTCATGTCCATTCATTTTACTTCTTTTATTTTAAATTTTAATTTCTTATGGCAAGAGCACGTACCATGAGATCTAGCCCCTTAACAATTGTGACTTTAATATTCATTTTCCTCTTTGAGCCTTCTTCAGACGTTGCTCCCTGCAAGAATATTCTTACAACACACATGCTCAGACACATGCTCACATGCACACACATACACACACATACACACACACACACCTTTCTTCTGTAAGTGAAGCCCTTCGCTTCCTCTACGTCTGCCCATGTGTGCACTGCCCAGGCCGCAAAGCCCTTTCCCTTGCTGTGTTTCTAGTACCTGTCACCTACACCGCCATGCGGTATGGGACAGGACGACATACTCCTTCTTTGGTCCTTCTCACATCGCAGATGCTTGCGGTACCTCCCCCTGCATGAGAAGAACAGCACTTCTGAGGGAGCTGCAGACACCCTGGCGCGCATGTTGGTGGTCTGCTCACCCCAACACTGTCCCCTGTGAACACAGGGAGCAGCCCCCTTCCTGCAGCTGACCCTTCACCGCCTCTCCAGGGACCTCCTGCCTCTCTGTCCACCTCCAGCCTCAACCAAACACCAGTAGCTTCCTGAACACTTTGTTTCTCATTGTCTGTGCCCTTATCCATGCTTGTCTCTCTGCCTGGCATGGCATGAACTCTTCTTTCTGTCCAGAAAAATCCAACCAATATTGTTGGCCCAGGTAGAGCGTCTCCTCGTGAGGTTTCCAGGTCTCCTCCTGCCTCGCTGCTGCCTCCCAGGCGGTGAGAGCGGGGTTGGTTCTGTTCTCATGCCATTGCCACACCTTGTACACAGCTCGGTTGCTGGCATTCTCCATGCTGGGCTGAACATCTTTGTTGTCATGGCTCCTTCCCCTTCCAGCCGCAGGGCATTGTGAGAGCAGTGTCTGGACTTTGTATGGTACTCAATAAATATTGGATGCATAATTGAGTGAGCAAGTAAGTGCCTTTATGTTCTCCATTTTTAGAGCAAAAATTTATCATACATTTGAGCCATTCTGCAGTTGAGCTAGAAAGATGTCTGAGAAATCTGCAAAGGGCCCTGAGATCCTGTGGGGACTCTGCCCCGTGACTTCTGAACACCCTGGACCTGGGGCACCTCACTGGAGTCATCTAGAGCCCCCATGTCCTCAGCACAACCATGTAACTCAGTTGCCCGTCTTTTGCCTAGCATTCTCAAGGGAGAATCGTGGTCCTTGTGCGGACCCATCTACATAGTCAGGAAGTTCTATTTCTGTTCTACCTGAAGTCCTATCAGCCCCAAACTAGAAAACACTGGGTTTTAGAAAAGGATGGGTAACCTGTGTGCACCTCAAGCCTGAAGTGGTTAGGAATGAAAATGTGATGTCGATATGAGATGATATTATTAGAAACCTGTTAAATGGACTCCTGACTTGTGCTCTTAACGTCTCTCCCTTCCAGAAAACTGCCCCACACCCGGTCTCATTTTGTGCAGTCAATATAATCCTGATAAGATCTATCACGGCGCTTATGGTGCGAGAAGAAATTAAACATTTAGGGGACTCCTCCAGCGCCACACTGATTGAGCTCAAATGATGCTGCTAAGTTGACAGATGCATTTGTCTGTTCTTGCTCGCCAGTAAGTCTCCCTTGCAGAATGTACAAATTCCTTTACAAGGATGTAAAAACAAATCAGGAACTCCTTTATGCT
This sequence comes from Homo sapiens, assembly GCF_000001405.40. NCBI lineage: Eukaryota > Metazoa > Chordata > Mammalia > Primates > Hominidae > Homo > Homo sapiens. The sequence continues at coordinate 131,566,365 of NC_000011.10, forward strand.
GCTTTCTCCAGGAGGGAGTCTCCCCGTACCTGCCACTGGTGCATGTGTGTGTGTGTGTCTCGATGTGCGTGTGTGTGTGTGTGTGTCTGTGTGTGTGTGCACGTGTGCTAGATGCAAGGGGCATGCAGAAGGAGAGCCAAACTGCTGCTCGACTCATCATCCACGCAGTGTGAGTCTCGAGCCTTCCAAGGCTGACCCTCTTTTCCCCGCCATTCTGTTAATTGAGCCACCCGTGCCAACTCCTGAAATGCAAGGACAGTCTTGTCAGCAGGGGAAGGCACCTTGCACCTCTTAGCCAAATGCGGCACAACTTTAAACCGATTAATAAAACTCTTAAAAGGATAATATTGTTGGGCAAAGTGCTAAGGTTTCCTGCTTTCGCTTGGGTTGTATTTTTATTAAGCTGTAAGCCTTGTTCTGAAAAAGAGAGAGGGGGAAGAGGGAGTGAGAAACAGAGACTTTTATAGCCTGCAGCCTCTTGTTTGCAGATTATTTTCCAAAGATGCTCAGTAGAATATCAATTGCCTGTGATTAGAAGTCCTGCCCGGTACTACCTTGAACAGAAGAGGCTTTAGAAGTGAAAGCAGTTCCTCAGAGAAGCCACACATTTTAGTCTTGGAAAAATCTCTCAGCTGGAATTTGACCCTCAAGGTGGTCAGAGCTAGGATGTGGGGGTGGAGCTTAGGGGGTTGGGTGTAAGCTGGGGAGATGGGCACGTTTGGAAGCTCCCGTTCTATTTCACCTAAGGAACATGTCTTTTCCTCATCACCAGAGAGACCCTGTGGGGGACTGGGGAAGAGAGGGGCTGGGAGATGCTTGGTGGGAAACCTAAAAAAACCCTAGAGGCCGGGCACAGTGGCTCACGCATGTAATTCCAGCACTTAGAGAGGTCAAGGTGGATCACTTGAGGTCAGAAGTTTGAGACCAGCCTGGCCAACATGGTGAAACCCCTTCTCTACTAAAAATACAAAAATTAGCCGGGCGTGATGGCACACACCCGTGATCCCGGCTACTTGGGAGGCTGAGGCAGGGCAATGGCTTGAACCTGGGAGGCAGAGTTTGGCAGTGAGGCAAGATTGCACCACTGCACTCCAGCCTGGGCAATAGAGCAAGAATCTGTCTGAAAAAAAAGACCCAAAAATCTAGAGTCTGGCCAGAGATACCTGGGAAAGCTCTGACCTGGAAAGCCTAAAAGACGTGTCCTATTGGAAGCATTGCTGCTCAGGGCCCATCCTGTTAACTCTTCCAGTTCATGAGGAATACAACTTACCACAAACATTAAAAAATCTTCTTTCCATTTTAATAAATAGTGATAATTTCTAAATGGAAGTATGAGCCTGCATCAGCTCAGTTGTGTAAATGTTAAAGTCCTGCGTCTTTCTTCCCCAAATTATTTCACAAAGATGCTACTTGAATCCATTCCACTTGCCCATCAAAATGAGAAGATGGCACCAGTGAAGGCAGAACAGATGGGAGAGATGGAACATCACCTGGGTTCCCAGGGACCCAAATTCTTACAGACATTTGTAGTGACAGAGGTGCAATCATAGCACATGGTATGTGCCCAGTAATTACTTGCTGAATAAATAAATTCATAAACAGTAATGATGGCATCCTTATTATTACTACTAGAGCATAGCAAACACTACTGAAACCGCATCATCAGCTGAGAGCACAGTCCTATGTGTTTTACATATAGTAAGTCACAGAATCCTCTCGACAGCCGAAGGAGGAAAATTCTCTCTGTTTCAGTGGTAAGGAAAGTAAGTTCAATTTGCCTAAATCATTATTAATTATTCATAAATGAACTATCCTCCAATCATAAACAGTAAACAAAAAAGATGTGGCAAAAGTGGCCAGCATCTCTAGGGCATTGACCACATACCGGGCTCAGTCCTGGACTATACCTCAGTAAATCTTCACAGTCCTCTTGCAAGACAGTGAATATTAGATCCATTCTACAGAGAAAGAAACTCACTGACCTGTTAACCTTCACTTGATATGGTATTGTCATTTCACAAGTGGGGAAGCTAAGGCTTAGAAAAGCTAAGCTCTTTGCCCAAAGTCACATTGCAAATGCCAGGAGTTAGATTCTAGCCTAGAAAAGAAGAGTGAGAAATTCTCCTAGTCTCATATGACGTCATAGCAACTGTCCATCTAGAGACCTTTGCATAGTTTTGATTGGTCAGATGTGAAAAGAGGGTAGTCTTCCCCCAACACAGGCTGCACCCACACTTCTCATGGGAGTCTTTCAACACCACCACTGAGACAATCCAACATGGTGGGAAGAGATTTCTTCTGCACATACTGGGCCTAGAATCCACAGCCTAGGTCCACTCACCTCTCTGATGGTTTCTCATTCCACCACGGCCAGTTGAGTATGGAGCACCAGCACGCATTCAAAGTCAGCCTTGCTAATTAGAATATGAGGGGGCCTTAGTAATGTTGGGGAGGATTACAAATATATCAGTTCACATTACTGAGCTTGGCCCAGCTGTATACTTAATAGCTCCCAGATGCTCTCTCTCTCTCTTTTTCAACAGCTTTATAGAGATACAATTCCAGAACATATCATTCACCTGTTTGAAGTATCCACACACTTGGCTTTTAGTATATCCATAGAATTTTGCATCCATTACTGCAATCAACTTTAGAACATTTTCGTTATCCAGAAAGAAACCCTGAATTCCTTAGGCATCTACTCCTGAATCCTACCGTTGCTCCAGTCCTAGGCAACCCCTAATCTGCTTTCTTTTTATTGCTGTTTTTGTTTTCGTTTTCATTTTTTTTTTTTTTTGAGACAGAGTTTCGCTCTCGTCACCCAGGCTGGTGTGCAATGGCACAATCTTGGCTCACTGCAACCTCTGACTCCCGGGTTCAAGTGATTCTTCTGCCTCAGCCTCCTGAGTAGCTGAGATTACAGGTGTCCACCACTATGCCTGGCTAATTTTTGTATGTTTTAGTAGAGACAGGGTTTAACCATGTTGGCCAGGCTGGTCTCGAACTCCTGACCTCAGGTGATCCACTTGCCTTGGCCTCCCAAAGTGCTGGGTTTACAGGCGTAAGCCACTGTGCCTGGCCCCTAATCTGCTTTCTGTCTTTATAAATTTACCTGTCCTGGACATTTCATATGTCTTTTAATGACATTTTTTATTCCTACTTTTACACTCAGGTTTTTCTCTATCTTAACTTTTCTTTTTTTCTTCTCTCTTTTTTTTTTTTTTTTTCTTTGATACAGGGTTTTACTCTGTTGCCCAGGCTGGACTACAGTAGGGTGATCACAGCTCACTACATTCTCAAACTCCTGGGCTCAAGCAATCTTCCCTCCTCAGCCACCTGAGAGCTGGGACTACAGGTGCCCACCACTATGCCTGGCTAACTTTTAAAAAGTTTTTTTTGTAGACACTGGTCTTGCTACATTGCTCAAGCTGGTTTCAAACTCTTGGCCTCAAGTAATTCTCCCACCACAGCTTCCCAAAGCTCTGGGATAATAGGCATAGGCCACCACGTCCGGCCTGTATCTCTGTTTTCTAGGCCTAAGAAAGACCTGGGCCTTCTTGACTCCAGCTGCATGCTCACACTTTCCAGCCTCAGAAATGTCACTTTAGAATGGGCTGAAGTTCTGCTCTGGCCTGTGGTCCCCACTCAGGGAAGCTCCTAGGAGCTTGTCTTTTTCTTTTAATTTCTGCATTCTTCCCAGATATCATTTATTCTGTCTATATCAGTCTTCCTTTTCCTCTGGTCTTTGCTCTTAAGACTTCTAAGTCTGTGCTCCCATAACTGAAAACTGCACAGAATCACTCGAAGCTTATTGAAAAGGCAGATTCTTGGACCTCAGCTTCAGAGGCCTTCATTCAGTTCATGGGAATCAGCATTATTTGTAAGGCCCCCAGGAAGTTCTGAAGTGGGTGGTCCTTTGATTTCACTTTGTAAAGCTCTAACTGTCCTCTAGTAATACTCCTCGGCCGCGTTCCAGGAACATTCTCCATTCCTTGGTTCTGGCTCTGCTCTAGAATTGATTCACAAATCCTAAAATTTTCTAAAACCTAGAAGCAATAAATGAACCTTGAAAGAGATGCTTTTAGAACAAATTAAAAGGAGTGACTTAGTAGATCACAAATTGGTAGAGTGTTTACCCGTAGGAAACAGTGCAGGCTATAATAATAATTCAAAAACAAGGCCAGGCGCGGTGGCTCACGCCTGTAATCCCAGCACTTTGGGAGTCTGACGTGGGTGGATCATGAAGTCAAGAGATCGAGAGTATCCTGGCCAACATGGTGAAACCTCGTCTCTAATAAAAATACAAATATTAGCCAGGCGTGGTGGTGCGTGCCAGTAGTCCCAGCCACGCAGGAGCCTGAGGCACGAGAATCACTTGAACCCAGGAGGCAGGTGTTGCAGTGAGCCAAGATGGCGCCACTGCACTCCAGCCTGGCAACAGAGGGAGACTCCGTCTCAAAAGTAGATAAATAAATACAAAATAATAAAAATTATTCAGTAAACAGAATTGCCTATTACATGCTAGGCACTGCAGACTCAGAAAGGAACAAGAATCATACACCCCTGGCTCTCCAGAGGGAAGAGAGTGGCGGAGAAGACAGCCATGGAAGAGCTGATTAAGGCAGCATGGCAGTGCAGAGTGGTAGTTAAGAGCAATGGCTTTCCAGCCAGTTGTGCTGAATCCCAGTTCTGCTGTGCGGCCTCGGGCAAGTCACTTAGCTGCTCTGTGCCTCAAATTATTGATTTGAAATGGGGATAATAGTGGCTCCTCATGGCATTGCTGTGAGAAGTGCTTCAGACAAGGAGGTGCTCAGGAAGTATTAACTATTAGGTAACTAATTAACCATGCTTTTTTATAAATGCTGGAGTTGGGGAGGGGAAGTGCAGTTAGTAGCTTGGCCGGAGCTGCTCACTTGGTCTGAAAGACTCTGATGAAGTGACATTGCAGTGGCTCCAAGCGCCGTACTTGACGATTTACATATATTAACACGAATCCCCAAAATCCTGTAGAGTAGGTATTATGCCTGTGTTAATCTACCCAGGAGAAAACTGAGCTTTCCAGGAAGTTTAAGCATCTTGCCCAAGGTCATAGAACTGGAAATGGCGCCAGCTCCCAGGCAAGCTCTTAGCATGACAGGCCAGCAAAGATGCAATTCTGGGAGGAAAGCTCCATTATTAGTTATTGGGGGAAACCAAAACATTTTAAAATAACTGTGCCCTCTCACAGGCTGCCTCTTGGCACCACAGTCAAAGAAGAATGCTGAGCTGGAAAAACGTTGTGTTTAGGGAGACAATTCTTCTGTCCTTCTGTTTATGTTCTTTGTTAAAGAGCACGGTGTAAAAAGACAAAAGAGATGTCGGATTTCCTTCTCTGAAACAGATCCCACAGCACAGAAGGCTGCAGTCTGAATCCTGTACTATTTAATTAAGGCAATACAGGACTTGTCCTTTCAGAACTAGGTCACAAGTGTGCCTCAGCACAGAGACTCCTTTTTGGTAATATGGGCTTTGGGAGGAAGAGAGCACATATGAAAAAAAGTGAAATCTGTCTTCCAAGATACCAGCTTTCTGTCTTGGGCAGGGTACAGTGGGCTAGGCGAACAATTTGAAACAACAACCACAGCAATCTGAGACCCTGGTTGGGCCAATTTAAAAGAAATTTGACCCATGCTCAGACATTTCATAAACTCCCATTGAAATGCACAAAAACATGCACATCAGGTCAACCCACGGTGCTTGGCTGGTGGGTCAGTGTGTAGCCGGGTGCCCTCTCGCATGCAGAGAAGGACATAGGCACACACAGGGCAGCCTTTCTCTTTCAGAAAGGATATCACTGGCCACAGTGCTTCCTAGGGAGGCCACGGGGTCAGACCATCAGAGGTGCCCTGATGTACAAGGGGAGCCTGGCTAAAAGGTACAGTGATCTGTGACAAGATTCCCATCCCAGAACCCAGGATCCTTCTGATACAGAGAACAATTTAAGATATTTGCCCCCTAAGGACACTCTTAGGCATTATTCTTCTCCAGAATTAAAAGAACCAAAACTGGACCATCCGTGACTCCTGTCCCAATCTTCCCATCCAGGCTGGATGTTACCATTTTCCCCATCCCTGCTTCCTTCCCTTTGTCTTCCTTTACCTGGCTATGCCTTTTGACCTTTGGTGTGACAAATTTCAGCTGCCACTAATGTTCATGTAGAGCATGTTTCTCTTTCCCTTGGATGACTGTGCGCGCATTGAAAGACTTTGCAGAGACGGCTCCCTGAATAGAAATGCATGCCAGACAAACAACGCGAGCAGCTCAGACATCCCCACAGAGGCTCTGGGAGCTTAAAAAGCCCACGTCACCCTAGAAAAGAGGCTATTAAGGTGTGGCGTGATTTGCACTTTCAGGCAGAAGCTTTTTAAGCTGCTGCAGAGCCCAATCACAGGGAGATGAAGACTTCAGTTTCTCAAGATATGCAACTCTTCTGCTGATGAAGGAGAATGTTCCCGGGTGCAGGTGGAGTGAGAACGGGTTCCTGGCACACATTCAGCAACCTGGTGAGGAGAGCTCGGACCATGTCGCCGTCACCTCTTGTCTGTCTGCTCCCCATTTCCCTGCAGCCTCCAGAGCCAGCATAAGGGGCTGGAGAGGAGGCTCAGGACCATGTAAAGATCTCAGTGGAGCTGAGCAGAACACCACTGACTCTGCACTCCCTCCTCTTGACAAGGCCCTGGAGAATCCCTAAACAAGAAGCAGTAGCAGCCGAAGCCCAGGAGCATGTGCTGGAGAGGGTTTGGGAGCAACTGGTAAAGTCTGACCTGCTGCCCGGAGCCCATGTCATCTTCTATCATTCCTAGGAGGAAAATTAGACCCAGAAGCCTGGCTTTGGAACAGGGAAGACTGGGGTTTACATTTTGGCTCTGCTTATTTGTCATTGTGTCCCTAAGCCACAGTTTGCTCATTTGCAAGATTTCTGTTTTTCAATACTGTAGAAAGGAACAGATGAAAAGTCTTGCATAAAGTGCCTCACAGTAGAAAACCAACATAAACTAGCCTATGTGATATTTTCAAATGGCAAGAAAACGAAGACAGGGACTCCCAACCAGCAGGGGACAATTCAGTTCAACTGAAAGTAACTTCAGTTTTCTCCCATTGTTGGGTAGAAACAGAATTTCTACTCTCTCTCAAAGTCTTACCCGGTAGGTGACCACCTCTCCCAGGCACATCCCGCTCCTCCAAGGCCTCGTCTTCTGAAACAGTTCCCCCTCCTATGATTGCCGGGGAGAAGCTGGAAGAAAAAGAAATAGAGATTATTTTCGTTAACAAGTGCCTTCTATCCAGATGACATTTTTCTGCTCCCAAATCTCTCCTGAATTGGAGTCGTACCCCGTACTGTCTCTCCATGGAAAGATCGGGCCCTTTCTCTTGAAGAGTGAGAAACTGAAGGCAGGCTACTCAGTCATCTCTCGAGTTGGTGACCAAAATGTGCCTGTCCCCACATGGATTTCTTCTAGGGGGCTGGAGCACTGTCCACCTGCGGGCACTGGAATCTCCAGGAGTTTCTTCTTTTGCTCACCAGACACAGCCCCATCACATGAGCCACAGCAGCCTCATGCTAGCTTAGGGGATAAAGGCCTGCAGGCTCTTTTCCTTATTTTTAAAGCAAATTGCTCTATTCCCTCTCATGGCTTCAGCACGTGGGTGTTGGGGAGGAGTTCGGCTGTGCAGGTGTGGGAGCTAGACGCCCAGTGTGGTGTCTGGGGAGGGTTGATGGACAGCAGCTCTAACGTGCTTAGAGAGTCAAGGCTGGCTCGGCCTTTGGAAATCCAAATAATCTTTAAATGCCAACTTTATGCTTCATAGTTATAGTGAACCATTCAGGGGTGGCTGCAATTCAGGAAATGATATCACTGCACTCCCCAGTCCAGTTAGTGACCCATTAGCTAAAAGCTGCCCTGAGTGTCCACAAGCCCCCATTCTCAAAGCCCCCTCAGGTGCCCCACTCCCTTTAATTCTTTCAACATCTAGGAAAAAGGCGTTGTTCATACTCTATTTTACAGAGGCATAAATTGAGACCCAGATGGTGGTGATGTGACTTGTCCCAGGTTATGCAGTGTGTGAGGGGCTTTCAGAGTCCCAGGCCTAAGGTATCCCCACTGGGCTACACTGACACACTCAAGAAATGCAAACTAGAGTGTGTGTATGTGCTTGAGTGTGTGTGTGTGTGTGTGTGTGTGTCTACACATGCACCTTTACATTCACTTAGGTAGGGATGGCTGGGATCCTGTCCAGTGATCTACAGTCAATGCCAGTCCCAGAGTTCCTTGGGTGAAGAAGAAAGAGAAGTTAGGAGAACAGTGGAAGGAAGAGGTGTGGCCTACACCTTGTAAAGGAAGCAATATTATTCCTCCTGGGAAGTCACTTGTCTCCCCAGGCTTTGAATGGAAAGCAGCCTCAAAGTCCCTTGGCATCGACGGGGGCTGCTCCCTCCCCACTCCCCACTGTTACCTCTGGGAAGACCTATGCCTGGTGCTGAGGGGACCTTTGGGGCTATTTGAATAGCAGCAATCCTCCTGATTTGCTTCTCTCCAAAAAACCCCCTACTTGGCTGTGGCCTGAGCTCTCTCAGGCTTGGAAGAGACTTTAGACAGCAAGCACTTCAATCTATGTTTAGTGCAATAATCTCCTATTCAGCAGGAATTCTCAAAATTTTTCTCAGAAAACCAGTCCGTTTGGATGACTCTTTAATAAAATGGGGATAAAGGCTCCATAATTCGCCAGTTTAGGAAATTGCTGGATACCTACCCTCCTCTGAAAGAGTCACAGTGAACTTCAGCATACAAAGGCTCTGAGAAGTCCTGCAACAAGGAAACCAGTTTAACATTGTTAAATTATGGTAAGACTAATAGGCTTTTATATAGACACACTTTAAACATCTTCTGTGACAGGGAGCCCCCCGTCACATTAAACCTTTCTTCCAAAAGTACACTTACAGTATATGTCTTTGGGCCTATATATTTTAATTTCTCTTCTGGTTGAAATGTTTCTGGAGTATAAGAACTACATACCCTATTATTTATATGGCAGTACACAACATATAGAGATGTTCAGTACTGCTCTTTCCAATAGGACATCTAAGGAAACCGAAGCATAGGAAGTGGCACAGTCTAACTGAGGAGCATAGTTAATGAAATTAGGGTGTTTTCTTGTTAGATCGCTATAACTTTTAGAGTTGAGATGACCGAATGGGAATCTACCTTTCTGCAATTCCCAGCCTGATCTTTCTACTTTCACTCTATTTCCTTCTACTGTTTAGCTGAATATCTTCAAGAAAGTAGTTTAATGGTAGGGAAGGGAGTGGAAATAATAAAAATAATGGCTTATCCTTCCCCAATTCAAAAAGACTTCGAAGTGCAGATGATTTTTCACCTGCAGCGCTTGGATGGCATTTACCTCTAACGAACTAACATACTCTCCCTGGCTCCTGGAAGCTCCTGCTCTCTCCAGGCTCACTGGGTGCTCTGTGGATTCCAGATGAATTATCTCAAGTGGCAAATATACCTTAAAAGGAGCAGAAGTGCAATGCGTCTTCTAATACCAGGGTTAAAATTTCATTTTATTCCTTGTCTGATGCTATTCAGGACTGTTATCTTCCTTCGTGCTCAATAGGCAATAGAAATATATATGTCGGCAGAAAGCCAGGCTCAGACACGGTATCTAGAGAAGGTGGGCTGGAAAAAGGGAGTCAGTATGATTTGTGCTCCCTTCCTTCCTCTCTGCTCCTACCAATTAGAGAAGGGAAGGACCCAGCCCCCAGACCATAAATAACAGCTCGCCCCTGAAGTAATATGGCTTTGCTCACATTGGCTGCATATTCTATAGGTTTGCATCCTTTTCAACTCTTCTCCAGCACAGCTGAACAAATACAAGAGGAAACAGCAGGATGTGGATATTTGAGGGCTCTTCTTTCAAAAGAACCAGGATTGGTCCATCTAAATGCACAGAAGATAAAGCTCTTCCTAGCATCCTCTTTCCTCCTTTTCTGGTTCCCCATTCCTTACTTCTTAGGGTCACAGCCCTGACCTGCCTTCACCCATTGTCTTATACTTTTGCTCGATTCTCCACCCCCAAGATTATCAGAGCTTACCTGTCTTTCCGCTTCTTCCTTTCAATGTTCTCTCAACTAGACACACTGGAGAGGCTCTAGTTCACACCAACCCTTCAACGACTGGCAAAGACTGCCTCCATGTAAACATAAGAAAATGCCTAACTCAAAAGAAAAATATAATCTCTAATGGTAGATTCACATAGGAGAGCTCATGAGAATAGTTTCCAAGACCCTTCCAAGAATGGCCAAAGGGCATCTGCCTGCATCAAATTTGATAATAAGATGATCCCTGACGTAAATAATAACATAATCATTAATGGCAAAGTTTCTGGAGTCTGACTACCTGGATTGAATCTTGGCTCTGTCAGTTTCTTACTGTGTGACCCTGAGGAACTTCTTAATTTTTTTCCACAAAATGTGGTGCAATAATATCACCAATGATATGGTTATTGCAAGATTAAATAAGTTAATCTTTGCAAATGTTTAGCACTGTGCCTAGCCCATTGTAAATACTCAAAAATATTACCTCTCAATACATGGATACTAAGATAAAGTCATGTGGTATACAGGCACATTTCAAGGACTTTGGGGTCAATAAAACTTGAGTTTGAATTTTGGCTCTTCTGATTACTGGCTGTGTGATCACAGCCAATTTATTTAACCTCCTTTTAGCATCAGTTTCCTCATTGGTAAACAGGAATAATTGCATTTCCCTCATTAACACTGTTGTGAAGGTTGAAGAAATCATGTATTTGAACATACCTTGTAGCTAGAAGGCATCAATAAATATTTGAGGATGGGGAAAACATCCTCTGAGCAGATAGCTTGAAAAAAATGACAAGGATTCTTTGGGGCATTTAGATGTGTGCATTTCAGTAATGGACTTACTTAGTCGCTCTGTCCTGAGGCTATCTATCAACTCTTATAGCACTTCTGTGAGGCACAGAGCAAATGTGGATAATGGTGTCTTGATTTTATTAACAAAGTGAGTGTCCCAAGAACCAGTCAATATAGCACAATCAAATACAACTCCAGACAGGCAGATTGCTTCCTTCCTCTAAAGCAGTAGTTTTCAAATTGTATTTTGCATTTCACTTTTTCAAGAAGGATCTAAAATAGGACATTATTATAATATATAAAATAGTAACATTTCTTGGAACGAAAGTGGCTAGAGTTGTGCCTGCTCTGTTTCTCCTTCATATCCCGCGGTGGTGTCTGCAGTACCTCTAAGGAAATCTAAGTCTCTGCAGGATGCAGCTTCAAAACCAATGCTCTAAAGCCATGGAATTTTCTTCAGACTCTTACAGTGTGCAGTATGGATTAATAGTGATTTCCTACTGTCTTAGATTTATTAAGATTAAGTCATGTCAGACAAACCTCATTTCCTACTTTGACAGTATTCTCCAGGGAAATGTAGTGAATTGGTATTTCAGGAAGGCATTTTACAAAGCCTTTTGTAATAGCTTTATTGCAATGACAAAGAAGTTTACACTGAATACCAGTAAAATTAAGTGTATTAGTAAGTAGATGAACAACTATAGCTAACAGGTACTGAACAACTAACTGATCAATGTCAAGCGGCAGGCTGCTAGGACACCTAGGACACTGGCTGTGTCCTGTATCATTAAATATCTCCATCAGCAAGTTGGATGAAGACATAGAGATGACACTTATCAAATTTGTGCATGACATGAAATTGGGAGGAAAAGCAAATTTATCAGGTGATCGAATCCAGAAAGATCTTGTCAGGCTGACAGAATGGGCCATATCTAAGATAATGGAATTTCACAGGGAAAAAATGCAATATTTTATAATTAGGTCCCCCAAGCAAATTATTCAAATATAGGTTTATGTCATATCTGATGTCAGATTCAGTTATGATCTATCTAACGGCAGGAAGTAGAGGCTCTTTGAAAGAGTCTTTCAGGTAGATTTGAGCAGTAGATAATGGGATAGAGAAAAAAGGCCAGTGCATTTAGGGACAAGGTGGATACCACAGGGGAGAGCTGCAGGGAAGTGGGGTGGGTCAGAGTGGGTAAGTATTCCAGTGAGAACAGAGACAGGGGAGCTACATACATAAAATAACTCTTTCATTCATTCTTTCTGAATATATTCATCATGAGGCCAGAGAGTATGGCTTTTAAGGGCATAGGCTCTAGACTCAAACTATATGAAATTCAAAATTGGCTTTGTTACTTCCCAGCTGTGAACCCTTATGCAAGTTACTTAACTTCTCTGTGTCTCAATATCTGCATCTATGGACTATATTTGTAACTATCTCCCTCATAGGGTGATGGTGAGGATCCAGTTCCCTTATGCTTATGTAGTATTTATTATTTTGACAGTTTTTCACTAAGTACACAGCCTGATTGAGGAGGAGGAATGAGATACATTACTTCTTGTGAAGAAAGGCTGATAAGGTTCAAGCAGAGTATCCCATGCAGGAGGTTCACAAGGCCTGGAAGCTTAGCAAGATAGTCACAGGAAAAAGACAGAAAGCCAGGAATCAGAACTGCATAACATGGAGGAAACCGGACTTGGGGACTAAAATAGAATTTAGGCAATCAAAAGAAATGCAAGGTCTGAGTCCAGCTAACAATTGATGGGGAGCTTGAGGTGTTGGGCTGCTGTTCTTTAAATCTCTTGTGTTTGAGATCAGGATTGATTACAGAGGCAAAATCAGGGTGGAGACTGCTGTAGGGTCACATGGACCCTGCTCTGAGGAGCAATGGGAAACAGAGGCTGGAAACTAGGAAGAGCCTCACAGATTGGAGAAGCAGAGCTTAGTCATAGCAGGGCAGCAAAAGAAGACAGAGAGAAAACAAAACAAAGCAAAACAAAAACAGAAATATAAACTATCTGTTTTGCTGATTGTAAGTTTCCCACAAGTTACAAGAGTGAGGTTCCCTCTCCCTTTTATAGTATATAAAACAAAATATTCAAGAGTTCTGCATTACTGTAAACCAGTCAGGCAGTCCCCTAGAGTACTGTCTAATCATTGCATCCCATTTTTAAAAGGTTTGAGAGGCCCCACGTCGGCCTGGAGGATAATATTACAGGACCCCATAATATGTGAGCAAACAAAATAGAGCTTTTAATGTCCCTGTGGGGGAACCAAAGCCACGTCCATGCATGGGAGGAAGACCTCTTACAGTATTTGCAAGGCTATCTTCTGAAGGAAGAGTGGTTGATCCTTGCTCATTTTGCTGCCAAGGACCAGAGAATGGAAGCTCCAGGAAGAGAACTTTTACATCCAAAGTCAATGCAAGGGCAGAGATGCAGGGCTTCACCTGGGGAAGGGCATACCTCCCACGGCTGGGAAAATGTGCTCAGGAGTATTCCAGCATTGCTTGAATGGGTTAGATGGAAATGTTGAAAACCTTTCCCCAACATGGCATTCTATATTTCTATAAAAACTACTATGAGACAGTTGAGTGAGCCCCATGATTTTGGCATGCATCAATGCCATATTTAGAATGGCTGCCCTGAGCAACATTTTTCTCTGCCATCTTCGCAGTCATTCCTGGGAAGCAAGCTGTAGTTCTCTGCCGAGCCAGGAGGTGGAGATGGCCTATAATGTACCCAGAGAGCCTGCAGGGAGGGCTGCGTGATGAGGTTGAGCAGTGGGGCTATCTGTGTGGATTGGCAGCCATAAAGGAATCCGAGAGCTCATCGGCCGCCATCTGTCTTCATTTTGCTAACCCCCTCTATTGGATGCCACAAGCAGCTCACTTCCTATATTTATAAACATCCCCAATCAGTCATTTCTCTGCCCACTGTCACATATTTGTGGCATTAATGCTGGCTGCTTTATCACAGATTGGACTTCATTTCAGGCATAACTCTCATATACTGTGGTTCTGAGATCTTTATAGCCACATTACGGTATATGGCTGAGTTGTGATTACACATCAGTACTGTGAGGCCACTGACAGCGATTTGGCCCTCTCCCACCACCTGCCACACCTGCCCTCTGAGGGCAGCTATAGATCATGCTAGAGACACAGGAAAATGGGATCTGTGAGGGAGAGAGAGAGAGAACAAAGGTTAAGGCACACACTCTCCAGGATTTAGGGTAGGCCAGGGCTATTCCGTAGGGCTGAGAACCCACAGAACTGTCTCCTATTGGCAAAGTGACCTGACAGATGGAGAGAGCTAATGGGAGGGGATGGGAGTTGAGAAGGAGTAGTCTATAATTGAACTGACCTTTCTGGTTGCCCCTGATCTCAAAGCCGACAGTGGGTGGTAGACTTCCTTTTCTGATGTCTGAAATCAGGAATGTAAGTTAGCATTTCTTCGTATTCCCTTGCATCATGCTTGTCCCATTCATAAGATTGCTCTCCTTGTAGAGATGAAAAAAGAATCTTTTTTAGTCCCACTGTGTTTGGGTTCTTGTAGCTGTCATGCACGGATCCCAGGAACCACAGTCGCAGGGGAAGTCGCAAAAGTTCTCTCTCATGGAAGTCACAGTGGCCACCAAAAGGTCAAAAGTAAGAGCTATGCTTGGTCAGTAGACAACAAAAGAGCTTGGAGGCAGGAAGCAATAAAATTTTAGGGAATTATGAGGCCCTGGGTTATTGCTAAAAGGGTGTGGGGTATGGGGTTTGCCACACTCATCTTCAGAGAGAGTATTTTTTTTATTCTGGAATAAAACAACTTTTTCAAGTCTTCTTGGTCATGGCTTCTCCTTACAACTCAGAGAGACAGAAGAGCTCTTTTCCCCTTGGTGGGCGGAGCCCACTGCTCTTGCGGGTTGCTGGCAGTCTTCCTGGCTCCTGACTAGCCTTCCACCTCTATTTTCCTCTTGCTCTCCAAATGTGTAGATACTGTTCTTTTCCTCGGTCCCCAGGGAGGCATGGACCACAAGATATTACTGAAGATTGAGCGGTAACAGAGGAGAGTTGCTTCAAGGAGAGGGAGGAAGTCTAACAGAGTCAGATGACGAAATTACAACGAATTTAGTTGAAAGCTCCATTTGGATTTTACTTTTGATTTTAGGATCGGTAAAATAAAATGAGTGTTCCTATGAGCTGAGGGTGTTGGCTTTATAGGCAAAAAAGGGCTGAGGAAAGCAGAAACAGAGAACAAAAAGCAAATTGGCCTTTTTAAGGGGTACTTTATAGAGTTCAGACAAGGGGACTTCCTCGTTATTCTGACTCTGGCTGACCAGAATTGCCTGCTTTTTGGAAAACTGGTCCATTTCAAAGTTTGGTTTGATTACTGAACACTTAACACAAGTGACTCCGTTCTGGTTTTGGTCTGTTCTGCCTGGGCCCAGGGCAGGAGACTGATCCCCTAAAATGGCCTCCCATGCACTTTGTTTAATAAGAGATTTCCGACTTCACTTATGAAACCCAGCACTTGCAGCCTTTCCCTGACATCCACACTCTGCTGGTGCCCTGATTCTTCCAATTCCAGGGCCCGAGACTGCCCCTCACTCTCCCCCCTCTTCTCAAGGGAAACAAACTGGCTTTCCTAATAGTTCTAATTTCCCAGAGAGGGTGCCCTGCTCACAGAGGAACAGGCTTTGCCATGACTATGCAGAGCTTTTTCATCCTGATGATCTCAAAATCCCCTTCTAGAGGGGCTCTCAGCCTTCACTCTGCAGATCAAGAAGCCCACCAGTCCTCACCCACCCGACTCCCACCTTCCCTGCCCCTGGGAGCCAGCTTTACCCAGACGAGTTCTGCTCCCAGCCTCTAAAATGCAGAACGGGCTGCTGCTTTCAAAGCTATACTTCGATGGAGTTTCCTATACTAGTGAAATCTGTTTTAAATGAACATCAAGAATAGCCTTGAAAGGGAAAATATGGACTCGAATCTACGCCGACTGGCACCAAGCGGCATGTGAGAAACGTGAGGAAAAAAAGTCCAGCTCTTCCTGCTCGTCAGCTGGGCCCTCCCCCTTCCAGAAAGCTAACTGTATGTAAATGAATCCCTTCATCTTTTTTTAGACCCATAGCAGTTGCCGCGCTTCCAAATTTAAGTAATATATGCTAAAGTTAACTTAGTAGTTAAACTATGCTTTGGAGTTAAACTGCCTGCATTTTAAATCCAAGACTTACCACTTATTAGTTTTTATGTTTGTTTTGCTTTGTTAATTTTTTTTAACTCTAGATGAGTCTCCATGTTCTTGCTTAAAAAAAAAAAATATTATTTACTCCTGCATCGGCAAGAGGAGAAATCAATGGATGCCTTCAAAACACTCAGGACAATTTGTGGTGCATAGTTAACACGCAATACTTAACAAAGTTAATGCTCAATAATTGTCAATGTCACATTCCCCACGTCCATTACTTTTCTGTTAGACAAACAACAACCCCCACGCCCCCTTCCCCCACCAAAAAAACCCAGCCCCTTCTGAGATTTACTGGCGTTTGGGGTAATGCCATCGCAGCAGAGCTGGGCACTGTGAGTCCCACGGAATCCCGCTCTGTCTGCCATCCCTCTCTATCCAGCCTGTGGCTTCATGGCCTGTACTTTCTTTTAACTGAGGTTTTCAGGAAATCAAATAGAAGGGATTTCTGTAGGACGATGGCTCCGAATGCTGCTTGGATCTTCTAGATGTTCCTCTTTTCACACACGGGTAGCGTCTCCCTGGCTCTCTTTGATGATCCAAATGCATCACTAACCTATTTCCACAGTGCTGGGGACACTGTACCAGGAAGCTGCCTCTGAGTCCTCAGTACCAACAGAGCAGATTATGTTCCATGTTCTTCCAATTGGATTCAGGTCCCTAAGCTGAATACCAGCCTGCTGGCCCTAGAGAGTAGAGAAGCCTCTCTGCACCTTGAATTTTTCACTCATTTCAGAGAAATCCGTAGCCTCATAGCAGTACCTTCCCCATCCACCTCCCCAATATACTGCACACATTTCATTATCTAGTTCTTTAGCTCTTGTGGCAAATAGATATTAAAATATTAAATCTGTCTAAGATATCTTCTTCATAAAATATTAAGAGAAAATGTCTGTGTTAACAATGTTTTAACATGAAATCATAAACAAACTGCTGTAATTGGGTATTTTTCTTCTGAAGGTCATATGCCTCCAGAAAAATCACCCTGGCAAGTGTGCAATTCAGAAGAGTAATCGCGCCTTACCTTCAGACACTGTGCTTTTTTGTGTTCAAAGAGCATTCTTTAAACATTAATTAGTTATTCCACCAAATATCCTAGGAGGTGCGGATTAATATCTGCTAAACACAGATGGTGACTCAAAGGGAGAGGGAGGCTGAATCCTGCCTCACATCACACAACGAATTGGAGGCAGGACTCTTTAGTTTAATCCCTGCGAATGGACTAGCAATAAATCACAAACTGGGGCCAAGGAACCAAGGAGTATTTATTCTAAATTTCTTATGGATTTCTTCTATTCTTGGATTTGTATGAAACCCATAGATGAACCCCTGAGAAGTACCTTCATGGATATGAGTCCACTATCAATGGACCCCTTAAATCAGATAGTCACTGTCCCAAGGATCTGCAGCTAGGCACTGTTAGAATGAAGCTCTCTCCTCCTGTCTAACAAGATGGGAACTGCTTGCTTTTGAGTCCATTTTAGCTACAAGTGATGTTTTATGAATGCTGAACAGTAGAAAAAAGAGACGTGCTGGCATCTTCCTGGGATCCCAATACACTAGGACTACTACAGGCAAAAAGCTCAGAGGTTAACTGGCTGACAACCCTCTTTGCTGACACCAGCCATGAGTGAGTGTCTCTCAGTCCCTGCCCTGTGCTTTTCCTAAGGACTTACGACGTCCCCATCGCATAAAACCACTTGCAACCATTCCCAATAATTGCAGTGTGAAAAGTGAGCTGATCAGCATCCGACTTTTATGGCCGGCTACTAACCCAGCCAGCATTTTCTAATAATACTTTGCCTTTATATCCCAGGATCGCAGAGCAATTTACGAAGATTAATTAGAAGCGCCTCAGAACTCTCCTTCTTGGTGGAGGCAGGGGCGGAGGCCATGAGAGGGGAGTTAAATGAGCCTCCCTGGAGTGTGGGAAGTGAGAATTTTAAGTGAGGGCTCCTCTGGTTCAAGCCGGGACTATATGTGAGAATAAAACGCTGGGTCCCATTAGTAGTCAACAGAGAAACAATCTGTCATCTGATATTCCAAAAGGATTCAATTGGGAGGAAGTAACGAGCGTGTATTTGTTTATTTTTTATTTGAAAAATGATGTAAATACCCAAATTTGTTACTACCCCTGGGGTTTCGGCAAGATGCCCAAGATATCTGCAATTTTGTGAGATTACAGCCTGTGTCAATCACCCTGGACGGAGCCATTTCACTCTTTGCCCTTCAGTGCCCACAGCCTGCAGTCTCTGGTTCGCCGAGAGGCCGAGGGCGAGCTGGGATCCATGTGACCCTTTGATGTCTGATGGGACGGAGGCTGGCCCTCTCCGGGCCTCCCCCTCTCAGTGCTGCATCGGGCCTGGTGCTGCCAGGATCCGCTTGGCAAAGAATAGGGAACGATGGTGGAGAAAGGACTCTATCAGGCCATTGAAGAAGCGCAGCTGCTGAGAGGCCAAGGGGGGTGCAGTGGGGGGGAAGCTGCAGTGACGTTCTGTTTTGTTCTTGCAACCAAGGCACAAATTAAGGCAAAATTAGAGACTTTCTTTGGGCTATTGGACGGATGGGAGGAGGAGGAAGACGGGGAAGCAGAGCTTTTAAGGACAGCAATTTGAGAACATCTGAGACAAATCTGTGGCTGATTCTTTTTTTGTGTGAATTAGTTAGTGACTTTCTTTTTGGATTCCGGAGGGGTTTTTCCCCCCTTCCTTTCCCTTTTTGCACCATGCACATGTAAATGTGATTGAGAATTCTTTCGTCAGATCTGCTGCCTTGGCAGCCTTCCTGCCAGCTGGCCTGGCTGGGGGAACCCACGCTGGCGGCTGATTGCGATTGACAAGTCCGGGTTTGGTGGGAGGAAGTTCACCATGGGAGACACTCCTCAGGCCCTCCTTTGGGGCTTGGTTCCTGCAGGAAAGGAGGGTAGAGGGGACCCCCCAGCAGGACTGAACTCCTCCTCTCTGCCCGCAGAGGGCGCCCAAGCCAACACCACCATGTTGTGTGACCACCTAGCAAGCACAGTTGTGAGTGCAGACGGTGGCTACTCTCGCCGGGGCACCATCTGATGCAGAATCACTGATGCCCAGAGTCGAGTAGAGTTTGAAAGGCCATGGAGTTTACATCCTCCTTCTCTATCTCATTTCATGCCTCTATGTAGGGCATTTCATCAAAACACCGAGATAGAAGTAAGTGTAAAAATCTTGCCTGCCCCAAATGGTTGTAGTGTGTGGTTTGTCCTATTTTTTGCTTCTCTGTTTCAGCTCATTTTCTCTTTGTGTCCTTTCCTTTTTCCCACTGTGGCTCCAGGCCATGTTGATTTGCTAGTGTTTTTCCTTACCATCTTTCCTTTCTTCTCCCTGCCCACGCAGATTCTCACCAATTTGCCAGAACCTAACTCAAGGCTTCCATCCCCACAAGTTCTCTCTGCTAACTAAATGGGATTGTGTTTACAACTGTTGAGCACAGAAACTTACCTGTCGTAACTGGTCTCTAAAAGTTCAGTGAAATTACACACTGTCATAGGTAATCTCGTGTGTGTGTATGAGTGTGTTAGCCTTTTAAAACAATATTTTAGTTTTTCCTTTTTTTTTGGATACAGGTTCTCTCTCTGTCACCCAGGCTAGAGTGCAGTGGTGCAATCACAGTTCATTGAAGCCTCAACCTCCCAGGCTCAAGCAATCCTCCCATCTCAGCCTCCCAAGTAGCTGGGACCACAGGCATGCAGAGACAAAGTCTTACTATGTAGCCTCATGTGATCCTCTCCTCCTTGAGTATGGGTTATGCTTATTCTATTATTCTTACAAATAGAATACAGCCGTAGTGATGGGATGCCACTTCCACAATTAAGTTACAAAAAGCCCATGGATTTCCTCTTGGGCAAGCTCTCTCACTCCCTCTGGGATTACTCACCCAGGGAGCCAGCTGCCATGTTGTGAGGAAGCCCTGTGCAGAGACCCCTAACCTGTTAATGGTCATATGAGTGAGCTTGAGGCAGATCTGCTCCTCCTCCTAGGCAAGACTTTAGATGAGACCACAGCTCTGGCCCACAGACTGACTGTAACCTTAGGAGGAACCCTGAGCCAGAGGTACCCAGCAAAGCTCTTTCCAGATTTTTGACCCCAGAAACTGTGAGATAATAACAGTTTGTTGTTTTAGGCTGCTTTGTTTGTTACACAGCAACAGATAATTAATACAATGGGTTTTCTATAAGACTCTTTTCTCCTCTTAAGGTGCTTTAAAGAAAAAGACGGTAGGTTTTCAAAAAGAAAATGGACAAGCTTCAGCATGAAGAGACTGCTTTTTAAGTGTTTTCAACTCTTTGGAAAGAACAATCTATATCACTTATCTCACACTAACCGTTTCTGAACCTAGAGCAACTTCAGCTATTGAAAGAGGTATCAGGCAATCTACTATATCAAATTAATTTTAGTTAACTTAAAAAATAAGTGATGCTCAATTGGGAGGCTACGGAGCAAGCAGAAGTACTCAGAAAAGAGAAGGACACTAACCAGTACTAACTACACCCAGTCATTACTCCACGTGACTTGCATTGTATTATCTCATTTTATTTACCCATTCATGCTCTGGAGTGAGTTCTGTTATTATCTCCATTTTACAGATAAGGTAGCTAAGGCACAGAAAGTTTAATTACATTTCCCAATGTTGTATAGCTTTGATAGGCTGAGGTGGGCAGATCACGAGGTCAGGAGATCGAGACCATCCTGGATAACGTGGTGAAACCCCATCTCTACTGAAAATACAAAACATTAGCCAGGCATGGTGGCAGGTGCCTATAGTCCTAGCTACTCGGGAGGCTGAGGCAGGAGAATGGCATGAACCCAGGAGGTGGAGCTTGCAGTGAGCAGAGATCGCACCACTGCACTCTAGCCTGGGAGACGGAGCGAGACTCTGTCCAAAAAAAAAAAAATAGGCCTTACTTCGAAGTCCATACTCTTGACCACAAATTATTCTGCCTTACCATTTCAGACAAATTCAAATTATTAAATACAATCCCATTTTAGAACTCACAAATATTGGCTAATTGAAAAATTGATGAATAATATAGATGTAGAATGAAATTGATACTATATTATATATTTTTTAATTTTATCCTATATAGGCAAAGCTTATTTCACCAGTCATAACACACACCTGCATGAGTGGAATTGTATCTTAAATGCTCCACTGCACCCAGTCCAGGACTCTATTCTTTCATGACTGTGCATCAGAAACAACTGGAGGAAGTAAGTAAGACAGGGGCCAGCACAGAGAGAATTACAGTAGTTGACAGCATGAAAGAAGAGGTGGTCAGAGATCAAAACAAGTTCAGGGCTGGTGGAATACAAAGTGAGAGAGAGAAAAACCAAATCATCATCTTTAGGATGAGGCTGATGAGGAAGAGTGACCCATAGCTGAGCATCAAGTAAGCCAAGGTCACAGAAAGACAACTAGTAATAAAGCATGTGTGGAATGCTTGCTATGTGCCAGGCACTGTTCTAAATGATTGTCATGTATTGTCTCCTTTAATTTTACATCACCATATGAGGTGGTTACTAAAAGCGTCCCCATTTCACAGATGAAGAAACCGAGGCACAGATTATTGTTAACTCCCAGCCACAATTAGCAAATAAAAGGGTTAAGACACAATGAGAGATCTGCTGCAAGCTCACTCAAATGACTGTTGGCAGGTTTTGGTCCCTTGCCAAGCAGGCGTCTGCACAGGGCTTCCTCACAACATGGCAGCTGGCCACCCCCAGTGAGCAACCCAAGAGACAGTGAGAGCTTGCCCCAGAGCAAAGCCACAGGCTTTGTATAACTTAATTTTGAAAGTGACATCACATTATTTCCAAGATGGCCTGAAACAAAAATCCTTTCTCTTGACCACTACTGTAAATTTTCTTGGCAATGTAGTTTAAGTCAGTACTAGTGTGCCATGGTTATGAAGCAAATTTGAATTAAGGAATGGGGATATTTACCTTTTGCTATATTTTATAGATGCTGGATCTGGGTAGGGCAAGGACACAAAAACCAGTGATAGCCAGAGGGATTTGCCATCTTGGTAACTTGAGTCTACCTAGAACCAAAACAGACAATCAAAAGAAAAAGCCTGGAATAATTATTTAGTCCTGCTATAATTTTACTGAACATCATCAAATTTTTAACACTTGTAATCAACCTACTATGGGGAATGGCATCAGGCTAGTTGGGTATAGAAAACTACGTCAGACAAGGTCTCCATCTGCTTATGAAGACATTACATGTAAATATTAACTCTGGGCAATGTGTACTTATTGTTAAATGGGGTAAAGACATTAACTGCTTGATGATTCTGAGAGAACTCACTGTGAGCTCATGTGCTGTGATTTGGGTTTTGAACAAGAGAAAGAAAGAGAAATGGCATTAACAGGTGTGGCTCATGCAATGTGAAAGTGGAGGGTTTATATGGGAGAGTAGTGGAGCCTCACGCTGCAGAGGACTCATGCCTGAGCATGCTAGGGGAGAGGTTGGTCTTCGTCCTGTAGGTTGTGGGTGGACACTAAGGTTTGTGAGAAGACAGGTGGCATGATAAATTAGTATTTAAGTGAGATTAACACAGCAGTTATACAGGAAACCATGCCACTCTTAACCTGGAAAAATGTGTGTGTGTGTGTGTGTGTGTGTGTGTGTGTGTAGGCTCTGGTTGTAGTGGGAAGGCACGAGGCTAGAAGTCAGAAGACCCAGTTTCTTGTAAATATCTTACCATTAATAATACACATGAATTTAAGCAGGGCTTTTTTCTCTTCCCTGGGACACACATTCTTCATTATAAAGTGATGGGATTGGAGACTCTCCTAAAGTCCTCCCAGCACTAGCATTCTGGATTTTTCACACTGCCATCCCCCTCAATTAGTGCTGTAATTAAAAGCTGACTACACATCCATTCTCCATCCAGAAACTGCAGTCCAGGGCTTCCCACAGGAGCTTCTGCAGAGGCAAAACAACCCTGTCCTCTTCTTTCTTACACATGATGATGAAACCAAAGTGTTTTTCTCCCCTCTGGCTTATTTAACCCCAAATCATTATTTGTTTTTTTGTATCTTATGCCTTTCATGTCCTAGGTTTGAAGGTGATGTGTACATGGCAGAGAGACACCATCCCACCCCTTCCTCGTCACTTTTGTTGAAAAATGTTCCTGCATCCACACATACACACATGCGCACACACATGTGACACCAGGTCACTGCCTGGCCTCACTGCTGAGGAGATGAAAGCAAAGTTTCCAGGGCACTTATTGTGCCTCACCTGGTGTCCCTTAGCTGGAGGTGTGAGGCTTATATCAGGTAATACAGAGTGGAGGGCTCGATCCCCATATAAGTAGTACATTTCAGAAAGTAGCAAAGAATATTTCTTCTGCGCTAAAACCCAACAAAGCAGCAAGGGATACGCTCTTCCCCAGCCACATGCCAGGATCCTCCTAAATGCAGATATTCACCAAGGAACTGGAACGTTCTCACTCCAAGGCTGGAAAAATGACTCCCAGGATAATCTGTGGATGTAATTTGTCTTTCAGTCTATTTTGATCAATCTCTTCCCTGCACCCAGCCCTCGACCTTGCTGCTACTGGGAGGCTCATTCTCATGGAGACAGGGAGAACCTCTGTCCCCTCCCCAGTCAAAAGTCATCTGTGTCCTTTCTGTTTTTTAGAACCAGGACTGTCTGACAGCAGTGATGACCCTGGGGGCTTGTGTCATCATTCAATTCCCATGGTGGGGGAGCAGGTGGGAGCAGAGATACCTGAAGCACCCAGA
This sequence comes from Homo sapiens, assembly GCF_000001405.40. NCBI lineage: Eukaryota > Metazoa > Chordata > Mammalia > Primates > Hominidae > Homo > Homo sapiens. The sequence continues at coordinate 131,590,320 of NC_000011.10, forward strand.
AGTGAGTGGGTTTGCCCAAGAGCTGAGTGTTCATTAGACTGAAAACAGCAAACAGGTTGATACCAGAGGAGAAGAACCAAGCGACATGCTGGAAGCCCAAAGTAACAGCCTCAGAGTTTAAGAACAGGGGCAGAAAACAGTGCAAAGCAGATCCCAGAGATAGGGCCAGAGGAAGTGCACTGGACTGGTCTCTGGTGTCCAAGCAAAGTGCCAAGCCAGGTGTCCCCTGCACGACAAGAGGACAATTGGATGGCTTCTTAATGTCCCAATATCAGGCCACTGGCAGCATTTACAAGTTATTATAACAACAACATTCCTTCTTTGAATGCTTGCTCACGGCCAGACACTGTGTAAGGGCTTTAGAATACTATTAAAACTCATCTGCATGGCAATTGATGTGAAGGCTCTTTTCTCCATCTTGTAGGTGAGGTAACGGGCTTCCTAAGAGAACTTATGGGACTTGTCCAAGCTGTACTGTATAAATGGCCGATGTAAGGTTTAACCCAGGTCTGGCCCCAAATCCAATGCTCTTAATTACTGAACTTTGCTGTCCCCACACAACTCCAAAGGGATAGCATGCGAGTGGATACCCAGTCATCATTTGGGCAGTGCTCAGTGGCCCTGAAGTGAGGTGGGCTGGAGACAGGACTGCACTCCCAGGAGAAGGGCTCCGGGTAACCTGAGGTGACAGGAGCAGCAAGCAGGCTGGATGAACCAAATGAAATCCTTGGGCGTAGTTTCAGTGCATCCATTCTGGGAGAGTCAGCAGCACTGATTCAGCCAGAGCTTCAACTTCTTAGGGAAATTTCTTGCCAGCTCAGCTGTTAAGACTCAAATTCCTCACCTCCTCCCAGCCCCCACCGCAGGGTTCTCTGCTCGCTGCTCTCATCTTCCCCATGTCACTCACTCATCGCAGAACCAGAAGGCTCAGCCAGCACTGAAAGGTCCCTGGGGAAAGGGGGGCCCTCCTGGGGGGCCCAGATCTGTAACAAATGACTTCCCGCAGAGACAAGCTGTGCTGTGCTCAGAGGCCCTGCTGGGGAGGGACGAAGCCTCCCGTGGGCCTGCTTGGTCTATCTGCTGCTGACAGTCCATGGAGCTGAGCTGGGGGAGATGGAAGGGGGGCACACCCTGGCTCCCCACTGGGTTTAGGACCCAGCCTGCTGAGATTCGTCCCATCTGACAACCCTGCACGGAGATGCATGGATTCCCTGCCTAACAAGACTATCTACTGGTGAGCTGAGCTGGGTAGTTCCCAGCTCAAATGAGCCAAGGCTTGAGATTTGCTCCCCGAAAGGGTCACTGATAAAGAAAACCCCAACTCTGTTGCCTTCAGTGTGTCTTTCACCAGGTAGATAGGTTCTGTCAGTCACATGGAGGAAGCTTGAGAGTGTGGATGGCTCAGCCCTGCTCATCACAGCCACTGGGAAAATACCCAGAGCGCTAATGTGCCCAGCAGCAGGCACCAGCATGAATGGGAAGGGGGCAGTTCATTCACAGCTGAAATGCACTTCCCTGTGTCTAACCTGAATTCCTCCTGCTGCAAGGTAAACCTCCCTTCGTTTCTGATTTTATTAGAGAAACAGTTCTTGTGTTATGCTCTGGGTAAGAACTACTCAGTTGTTGGAAGCCCATCCCACAGCCTCACCTGCTGGAAATCAGTCACCTCTTCTTTTCCTCCCTTTATACAAATAGAGCACTTTTGCCCCTGGTTGGATAATGATGTTCCTCATAACAGGTTAAGTCAATGGTTAAGTCAGTGATGAGGGGTAGGAAACTATTTTTATTGGGCATCCACTACGCACTCACCCCACTTAATCCTATTTAACTTAGTATTTGTCAAAGGATCAGAGGAACAGCTCTGACTATGGGAGGCAGAATTACTGGGCTCTGCTAAAAAATGTGGTAGAGCATGCTGGGCCTTCAGGCCTAGACTGGAGTCCTCACACTGCTACTAACTGAGAAGCTTTGAGCATGTAACTTCACCTCTCTGAGACTCAATGTCCTCGTCTGCAAAATGGCTTTGAGCAGCAGCTATAGCCTTTTAACCTAAGATCCACGAAGTCTAGCCCAGGGCCTGGAAATCACACATGCTCAGTAATGACTTGTTTAGTAAACAGGGCAGTGCTTGAATGATTCTGGTACAGATCATTCAAATAACATATTTAAAATGCCTTACAAAGCTTGGCATATAATAGGTCTTTCAAAAAAAAAAAAAAAAAGCTAGTTTCTTTTGTCCTGCAGTAGTGATGAAAGCCAAACAACCACGACCTGAAATTTCCTCTCTCCTATTCACCTCCCCAACACAAATACACACACACACCCCAAACACACACACACACACACACACACACACACACACACACACCATAGTTCAAAGTTGACCTTTAGGGGCTGTTTCCTCCTCCTTCCCCACCACTGCTTGCTCCCTCTCTCTACCTGGTCTCCTTGCCAGCCCTGGCCTGCCACACTCCCCAAGCTGCAGTCCCCCAGGTCCCCTCTCCCTGGCCCCTGCCTCCCCACAATGCTGGGCTCAGAGCAGATGTGCAGCAGCCTGCCATCATCTCTGATGCTGCCCTTCCCTGCCAATCTCCGGCCACGTCTGGCAGCTGGAATTGCAGTTCTCCTTGTTTACAATGCATTGTAATTGCAGACACAGGCTATGCTGTCATTTGTAATTTTCTCTTGTCCTGTTCTCCCTGCACACTCCCTTGCCTAAGTGTCAAGCAGTTGCCCTTGTGAGTGGTACTATTGGCAGGAAATGTGCTCCAACATGCAGCAAAAAGCAAACTATTATTTATTTCTCATTCTCTCCCTCTCCACTCAATAGATGAAATAGGCAAAGAGCAGTCCTGTCCCTCCTGCAGCCCCCACCCATCCCTACACCTCTCCTTCCCCAGTGCCATTAGTTCCTCTAATTGCTAGGTCTCCTCTTTCAGTTTGGATTTTGCTTCAGGATGTCTGGAGATTACAGGGAGAATTGCCTTCCCTGCTACAGTTGTCTTTCAACAAGTGAGGGAGCAATTGCCTGGCTTAGCTCTCAGCAGGTGGGGTACGAGCATCTTCTGGAGACAGGCTGCTGGCTGGGACTTCCCAACCCATCGTGTCAGGCAGGGGACTGAGCCTCACCAGGGTCCATGGGCTCAAGGCAACTCTGCCTGTGGATCTCAAACAAGCCAAGTGTAAAGGCTCCCCTGCCCCGCCCCCCTGCCATAGCATGCACTGTTCTAAGTGGATGACACGTTACCCCATTTATTCCCCATTAGAGCTTTGTAAAAGCCGTTATCACCTCTGCTTCATAGATGAGAAAACTGAACCCAAGTACCTAGTCAAAGGTCATTCAGCTGATAGTACGTGGGCAAAGCTGAGATTTAAAATTCACTCAATCTAGTTCTAAAACCTCTTGTATTTTGTTGTATTTTCTTTTGCGCCACATTCTGTGGCCTCACGAGGATCATGTTTGTCTGTGTCTCTGGACATATCAGTTTCTGCACTTGGCAGGTTGCTTTATGATTATCTGTTTGTCTGTCTTCTGTCTGCTACTAGACTGTAAGCACTCTGAAAGCAAGGCCTGTATTTCATTTTATTTCCCCCTTGTGGTGCCTGCATGGTGCCCAGTGGATCTTTTACATGGATTTGTTAGGATGAATGCATTCAGAGGCAATATTTGGTCAGGTTGCTGCCCAGAGATTGCTAAATTCTGTGCACCAGCCTTATATAGTCTTGTTTCTGAGGAACATGGATGATTGTTTGCCTCTAAATGCATAAGGATGGTTGTTCTAGACAAAGTTAGAAGTCAGGAAAACTCAGTATGTATCTCATGACAATTGGATTCAAGGAAAGTAATACACACTAATAGGTCTAATTCATTTGTCATTTGTAATAATTTGGCACTGGGGAGGACCTGGGAAAGAATTTATGCTAAGTCCTGTAGATTTTTTGAAATCCAATACAACTGTCCTGTACCAAGAACTGAGTGCTTGCATTAGTTGAGTATATTAGGAGTTGGTTCTCTTTAGCTCCTTTCCCCCAAAATCTTATGTAACATTCTCATATTACATTTATAACAAAAGGAAAGTTTACCAATTTTTTTTAAGACAGGGTCTTGCTCTGTCACCCAGGCTGGAATGCAGTGGTGAGATTTCAGCTCACTGCAACCTCCGCCTCCCAAGCTCAAGTGATTCTCCCACCTCAGCCTCCCAAGTAGCTGTGACTACAGTGCAGACCACCGCGCCCAGCTAAATTAAAAAAAAAAAAATTCTTGAGATGGGGTCTTACTATATTGCCCAGGCTGTTCTCCAACTACGGGGCTCAAGCCGTCCTCTTACCTCAGCCTCCCAGAGTGCTGGGATTTATAGGCATGAGCCACCATGCCTGAAAGTTTACTAATTTAATATTGGTAACAATTCTCCTTCTGATGAAAATATTGCAACATCTTGCAGGGAGGTAGAAGGAAGGAAATGAGCTCTGGCTTGTTCACCTGCATTGAGACCTAGAGAAGTTGACAGGGAGGACAGGAGAGTAGGGCGCCATGTACTCTAAATATTGCAGTAATTTCTCCTCTCTTCCTCACATCCCTACTCAGCCACTCAGTAGCCATGTGTCTTTAAGCCACTTGCTCAATCTCTCTGGGCTCTGTTCTCTTACTTATAAAACTGGTCTAAAGATCCATCTGCTTCATAATATTTTGTTGGCTTAAGTCATATAATGTATGCAGAATGCTTAGCCCAGTGTCTAATGCACCTGCGTCTTTAATTAAGGGGGAATTCCACATCATAGCTGTTTTGCCATTTGGGGAGGAAAGGCAGTGACTTGAAGGAGGTGGGATGGCTGTAGCTGAGTCTCAGCATGGGGCTTGCTGCTCTGTCTAGGGCTCATCCAGCCACAGCAAAATCCTAGGCGTGGTCCACCAGTGAATCACCTGCTGGTGTCTCTACCCTCCCTCCACATCACCATGCGCCTCCACCAGCTGAAGGCAACAGAAAGCTTTGATGAGATCCAATTAGGAATAAAGACTGTACATTCAAGAGGGCTGAGCAGTTCACACGGAGGGGAAAAAAGACCCTGAAATTACTGCAAGTGCTCAGCTTATGTGTCCTCACAAGCTAAATAGTGAAGAAAGATGTGTCATTTAGAAGGACTGACTCCTGGTGGAGGTTTGCCTCTCATCAGCTGAGAAACTATTATTTTGCAAATGACATCTCCATCCCAAGCAATTGTGTTTCCCCCTTATTCTAAAACACACATAAATAAATGATATTTAGAGAGCTGCTGACTGTGGAGAAGGCTTGCCTGAGATGAAAGAAAGGAAGCTTGTATTTGCCGGAACGGACTCTTCACAAACCTCTGGGATGGGCTGTGTACAGATGAAGGTTTTGGGCTGACAGTGAAGGCATATCAAGCTTCTGTGCCTCCTATTGGGAACTACTGAGGACTTTGGAAAATTAGAGGGATTTGCAGGAAGGCAAGAGTAGCCCAGGAAGACCTCAAAAGCAAACCTTAAATACTTCAGAGCAGATTCAGGGACAGCTAGACAGAGAATGGTTTACTTCTGTTGAACAAAAAGCAGTAGAAAGAAGCCAGGGGTTCTTGTCAACAGGACATAAAATACGGGAGCCCATGCCTGGATTGATTGACATGCTTTGTTTAGGAGCTAGGTCCTATTGCAGTCACCATCTGCATGGCAGGCTGGAAGAATGCCCTGAGTCCTCATCAACATTTGCTAACAGTGTGACCGGGACAGTGTTTTTCTTGTTTGTAACATGAAGCTAATACCTCCCTTGTGGCTGAACCTACCTCACGGTATTTAGCTGGAAGACATTCTATTAAACTCCGAGGTGCTGTTGACCTGACTTTTCATTCCCCCTTGATGATAGGAAACCTTGATCTGGATGCCTTCTAGTATCTTCAGTTCGATCTAATGTCTGTCTTCCTTTTGTTGTCAAATTCAAGATTATTATTTAAGTGAGAGTCTAGGGATCAGCAAATATATTTAGTAAAGAGTGAGACAGTGAATATTTTAGGCTTTGGGGACCATAAGGTCTCCACTGCAAATACCAGACTCTGGCATCACGGCATCGTAGGTAAACAAATGGCAGTGGCTGTGCTCCAGTCAAATGTCATTTACAAAAGCAGGTGGCCGGCGGAATCTGGCCCAAGGCCCATGGTCTGCAGACCCCTGACATACTCCATCTGGGTTTTCCTCCTCTGCCGACCTCCTCATGCCATCCCCTCTCTAGCCTTCCTTTCTGCTGAGCTAGGCAGGCAGTGGGGACAGCATTCATTTAGGGTTCGGGTAAATCTGCGGGAGCAGAAAGCATGTCTAAGGACACCATGGAGGCCCAAGCCCTCGAAGGTCTTCTACCCGTGTCCCTGTCTGGAGCCCTGTACTCCAACAGACATCCCTGGGGCTGGAACTCAGACTGATTCTCCCAGTTAATGTGATACTCAGTGTATTAGTCAGGGTTCTCTAGAGGGACAGAACTAATGGAATATATATACGTATATGAGTTTATTAAGTATTAACTCACACGATCACAAGGTCCCACAATAGGCCATCTGCAGGCTGAGGAGCAAAGAGAGCCAGGCCAAGCTCCAAAACTGAAGAACTTGGGTCTGATGTTCCAGGGCAGGAAGCATCCAGCACAGGAGAAAGATGGAGGCTGGGAGGCTATCAGGATCTCTTTTCACATTTTCCTGCCTGCTTGTATTCTAGCTTTGCTGGCAGCTGATTAGATGGTGCCCATCCAGATTAAGGGAGGGTCTGCCTTTCCCAGCCCACTGACTCAAATGTTAATCTCCTTTGGCAACGCCCTCACACACACACCCAGGATCAATACTTTGTATCCTTTAATCCAATCAAGTTGACACTCAGCGTTAACCATCACACTCAGGTTGGGCCCTTAGGAAACTTAGGGGCCCCTTTAATGCCACGTGGGAGGTTCAAGCTGTCTGTGGCACTTGCTCTGTCTTCCTCTGTCTACCCCTTTGTGTCTGCTTCTGTCTCTCTGTCTCTCTCTGTCTCTCCTCCCCTTTCCCCCTCACCCTGCCTCCACTTGCGCTGCTTTCCCCACCACTTTGGCGGGGAAGCACCTGCAGAGGCTGCACTCAGCAAATTCCAGCTGGGAAACACAATTCCAGCTTCCCACCTCCCCTGTCCACTTCAGATTCCGCATTCTGGGCCAAGGTCCTCTTTTATCCTACCCGGACATATCAAGGCCTAAGGCGCGCAAGTTCCTGTTCCTATTTCTGCTGCACTGCACTGCCCTCTACCCTTACCCCTGGGAAGGAGGGACCTTTGAGGGCAATGGTCCTGTCCCTGAGCTTTGTGCTCAGTGTCTCCACAGAAATCACCCCTTTTCAGGTGCCCCAGAGTGAGGGGGAGGCAAAAGCAAATGGAGAGAACATTCAATTAAAATCTTCAATTTCCTACCGTCGGTCTGTGGATCAAGGGAGTGCACATCTCCCAGCACCAAGCAGCTCCTTGTTATCTTTATTATCTTTGTTAAGCCTTATTAGCTTTAGGAAAAGTTCACCCAGAAGAATTCAACAGAGTCCTTTTTGCCCAGGGTGAAAAGAAGTCCATCAGGAGTCCATAGCCCATTAGAAAATCCCAAAGAGAGACCAGCCACAAAACTGGAAACGTGGCCAGTCTGAGTGGCCCAGGCCCCAGGGACAGGAGCCACAGGCCTCCAGCCCTTACGCTGGGATCCAATTGGCTCTGCTCCTTCAGGCTCCATGGAGGAGCAGGGCAAGGGGTCCCCTGGGGACTGAGCTCAGACCCTGCCCTTTCCAGGCTGGAAGGGGAGGATACAAGGGAGCAGACACCAGTGTATGGGGACACAACTCACAGTTTATCAGAGGTGGGAGAATTCCCCCTGAAAATCACTTTTGCAAGAGATGCCTCAAGGGAATATTAAGGCTGGGTCACATTTTCAGAATTTCAGAAACTTTTCCAGAACTGTTTTATCTTCTAGTTGTGGTGCCAGATGGTAATGTTCTGGTAAATTTCCGTGTTCCCAAGTGGAAGGGTTTGGAAATGATAAACAAAACAAGGTAACAACAACAAATCCCTTGTACTACACGCTTGTCTTTCTACACTGTCCTTGTTATGTAGATTCTGTTAGTCAGGATTCTGTGTGGCTTTAACAAAACAAAGGTCTATTGCTCCCACACTGCACAGAGGGAGCACAGGTCACTGTGTGTGTCACATGTGTGCACTCGGGGCGGAGAGCTCCCCCCTCCATTAGTCACTGGGGTCCCAGGCTGATGGGAACTCCACCACCTCAAAAGCTGCACCATCCGAACACTGGCTTCCACCAGCACTACAGCAGCAAAGAGAACTACTACTCTCTTCTCATTTGTTTTCTTTCTTTCTTTCTTTCTTTCTTTCTTTCTTTCTTTCTTTCTTTCTTTCTTTCTTTCTTTCTTTCTTTCTTCTTTCTTTTTTTCTTTCTTTCTTTCTTCTTTCTTTCTTTCTTTTTCTTTCTTTCTTCTTTCTTTCTTTCTTCTTTCTTTCTTTCTTTCTTTCTTCCTTCCTTCCTTCCTTCCTTCCTTCTTCCTTCCTTCCTTCCTTCCTTCCTTCCTTCCTTCCTTCCTTCCTTCTTTCCTTTCAGACAGAGTCTCGCTCTTGTCACCCAGGTAGAGTGCAATGGCACAATCTCAGCTCACTTCAACCTCTGCCTCCCAGGTTCAAGCAACTCTCTTGCCTCAGCCTCCCCTAGTAGCTGGGATTACAGGCGTGTGCCACCACGCCTGGCTAGTTTTTGTATTTGTAGTAGAGATGGGGTTTCACCTTGTTGGCCAGGCTGGTCTTGAACTCCTGACCTCAGGTGATGCACCCACCTCAGCCTCCCAAAGTTCTGGGATTACAGGCTTGAGCCACCGCACCTGGCCTGTTTTCTCATTTTGATGCATCGGCCCGAGTGTGCCATGCCCTGTCTACCCAGTCTCCAGCAGATGCCCTGTCTACCCAGTCTCCGGCAGATGCCCTGTCTACCCAGTCTCCGGCAGATGCCCTGTCTACCCAGTCTCCGGCAGATGCCCTGTCTACCCAGTCTCCGGCAGAGCTAGTCACATGGCCCTGTATAACCCTATATAACCTCAAGGGGACGGAAGGGAGAATCTGTCGGAGTGCATGGATATTTGATGAGCAGTAAACGGCTCTGCCACATCGATCTCAGCACCTTTTAGACCCTGTTAACAGCTGCTTTAGAGAGAAACATTTTATTGGCCATATTATTTATGTATCCATTCATTCATTCTAAATAATTATTGAATACCTCTGTGCTAAATATACTTCCAGTCATTGAGGTCATAATGGTGAGCAGGAGAGAACCTGCCCCTCCCTCTTATGGCTCACAACAATGAAATATTGTCATGTGACAGATGCTGTGATAGGCAAGGGACAGGGCACCCCAGAAGCACAGAAAAAGTTTAAGTGCCTGGAGTATGTCAGGAAAGGCTTCCCAGAGAAGTCAAGTCTGCAGCTGACCCATGAAGAATGGTTGGGGATTTCTCCCAGTCAGACCTAGATCTGTAGCAGAAAATGCAAGTCAGGAATCCTGCCTCCCTGGGCAGAGTTAGACCCTGCGGGTGACTCCCTTCTGGAGTAAGGACAGTTAAGGAGTAGACAACAATTGTTATAAACAGAGACTACCTTAGGCTGATTGTTTTCCTTGCCTTCTCCAAAAGAGTACACATCACCTCTCCGAGGCGGCTCACCTCTGGGGTCTGAAGTTGAGCCACGTGGAGGAACTTGCTCAATCGGCTTCTGTTATAGATATGAAATTATTAATAACTGGGATGTAGCTGTGCATGTTCGGACCCTCCTCCCAGCAGCCCTCTCTGGGGATCTGGGGTGAGGGTTGTAGGGAGACACCTTGCTGTTTAATAAATAATAGAAGAGATTCATAAAGTGTCTGGGAAGCACATTCCTCATGCAGAAATGTTACGGAATAACACAGGATGAATAATAGAAAAGGTTATTGAAAAATTCATAATTTCCAAGTGCCAGTGAAGGGCAGCTCCTGTGCAGTCTATTTGCCTGTAGAAAAGTGATTAAAATATATATTATTGTCCTGTCTATAGGAAAATGTATTATTAAGTGGATACTAGCATGACATTTGGAAAATCCATTTCATTCCATTTAGCAGCAATGGGCTTTTGGCTGCTGCTTTGTGCAGCAGGTTTCACAAGCATTTTAATAAGCCTTTTAAAAAACAAAAAGGGGATTTTAATTATGGCCCCTGCCTCCCAGCCATGCTATTGCTTTGCATTTACCGTTCCTCTGCCAAAGAAATTTTAAAACATATAATGGGGAATGTAAATATCCTGCCTACGTTTAGCAGGTCCACTGCCAAGAAAGGAACCTGACCGCTGGCCAGGAGGTACTTATGGGCTGCAGGAAGGCAGAATGGGAGATAGGTTTGCCTGTCCAGACACAACAAGAAGCAAAGCCTCAGTGTAAGAGGCCCATAATCCCTGCCAAGCCTTACGTGTCACTACTCTTCTGTATAAACATTCACTTTTTTTTTTTCCATATGAAACCAGGAGTTACTTTTGAGGTCTAATGAGAAACAGTTCCTATTTCTGAATAATGAATTGAGTCAGGATCAGGGATCATCTGATTTGCCCATCTGCTTCTTGGCAAAATGCATCTCCTCAGCTTGAAGATCATATGCCCAGTACTGCTCGGAGCTGGATTCTGAATAGATTCAGGTTTGGAGTTTGGGATGGGGCACCTCTCCATGCCTTGCTCAGTATTCAAATTCTCCTATAAGTTGGGTAAGGGCCAGGAGGCAGGATGGGATCTGAGAGGGGTGGGCCACGCCCTTTCAACCTCAACCTCTGATTTGGCTTGGACAGCTCTGTGGTCTGATGGTCTTTCGGGGAGCATACAGATGGACAGTGGTGGCAGCGAGGTCACCCCAGCAGGTGGTGTAGGAACTGAGGCAGAAGGAGCATGATGGACCAGAGCACCATCACAGTCCCAGTCTCTTCCCTACTAACTGCATAAGTTTGGCAGAGTCATCTGACCTCTCTGGGTCTCTCTGCATTTTAATAATGAACAAAACCTCTTTGGGTTTTAATGACAAAAATAGAGCAATTTACATCACATCATAGTTTTAAACATTTTGTTTAAGACACTTTTGAATAATTAAATCATTTGTTTTAATGAAATCTCATTTGGACGCAGATAAAATTGTTTCTCTAGTTGAAGAGGGATTAGGGACTAAAATGCTCCCACCTCAAACCCCCTTCCCTCTCCTTTTTTTTTTTTAAGGCAGCCCCAGGAAGCCTGTAGTTCTGATTCCACAGGGATTCCTGGAGCACAGTATGAAAACCAATGCATTTAATGATACAGAAGTTCCCTTCTGACTACAAGTTTCTCAAATTGAATTGTGGCCTGTGTCTGACTCATTGGGATGAGAGAGAATGGCTTTTCTGTCCTCATTTTTACTCCTGTTTATTTAGTCATCATATATTTATCCATTTATTCAACAAACATTTACTGAGAACTGCACATGTGTTGCATTTATTCTAGAATACTGGAGTGAGCACTGTCTGAATATGGATCATGAGCAAGACATACTCCTTGTTCTCTCTGATGAAGCAACAGGCACCTAAACAGGGTGCCATATGGTTCAAAACACAGGAAATAAGAGTTATATTGGGGGCACAAACAGATTTTTTACTAGTAAAAATTATGAATTAGGTTTAAAAAGAAACTAAATATCTCTCTAGTTTATTTTTTAGGCCAGTTTATTAATTAAAAGTACTTATTTCATCCCTGTATGGATGGCAGATTGCTACTCAGGCAGGCTGTACCAGGATGGTGCCTCAGCTGCTGAAATACTGAAATAGTTCATTTGGGTTGGTGAATAGATCCTGCCAAAATTCCCTGAATGGCCTTTGCTGTTCTGTTACCTTAAACCCACCTATCTCCAACATTTTCTTGATTCAACTATTCTCCTAAACTGTGTTAGTAAGGACAGGGGTTTCCATCGCCATGCAGTGCGGTGTTCAGAGCCTGGTCTGGGTGGTTAATACCAGTATCTTACCACTTATTAAATAAGTCGAAAATATCCTTCTCAAAAAGTCGGTCTCCTCAATGCTTCCTTTTGATTCCAAGTTCCCAGAAGACTGGTTGTACTTAATATTCACTCCCCATAGAGTTCCCAGTGTTTTCCTGGCTTGACAATCAGATAGTGAAACTAACATCCCTCTTTGGCATTTTAAAATTGCTTCAGATTCTCTACACTCTCCCTAGGTGATCTCATTTAAATGGCATCTTTATGTTAATGACTCTCAAATTTATATCTTCAGCCCAAACATCTCTGAGTTCTAGACTCACACATCCATCTGTCTACTTGACATCTCCACTTGGACACCTTTCAGAAAGCTCAAACTTAACATTCTCCAAATTGAGCTCCCTTTTTATGTGATGCTATATATCTGTCCCCATCGATTGTCCCTATGTCAGTAAATGAACCGCCATTGACTCAAGAGCTCATGCTAAATGCCCAAGAGTCATCCCTGAAGCTTTTCTTTCACTTACCACCTATATTTAATTGTCAGCAAGTCCTGTCAATTCTACCTGCAAAATATGTCTTGTAATCAAACTTTCCTCTTCATCTCCACTACTGCCATCTTAGTTCAAGACACAAATGTATTTCTATCCAGCAACTAACCAGTCTTTCAACTTCTACTCTTGATCTGGCTCAATTAATATTCCATACAGCAGCAATTGTGATAGTGTCACTCCTTTGCTCGATCCTTTTAATCTTCCTCCATTGCAATAAAATCCAAACTTCATTCCCTAGACCCTAAGCCCTGCACCTGTGTCCCATGCTTGCCTCTCCCCACTAACTCGGTGCCATTTATCATTTTATTCATGCTAAACCACGTGGGTCCTCTCCATCCCTCCAACATACCCACTTCAGAGTCTTGACTTTATCCTCTCTCTGCTTGGGCCAGTGCTTCTCAATTATAATGTGCATATGAATAACTGGGAATCTTATTAATATGAAAAATACCATTCCACAGATTTAGGGTATGGGCCAAAATTTGCATTCCTAATAAGCTCTCAAGTGATGCTAACACTGTTGGTCCATGGACTATAGTTTGAGTAGCGTGGCTTCCGTTACTGCCATCCCAGATTTATTGCTTGGCTACTTCCTCCTCATTTTAAAAAATCAGCTTGATTGAGATATAATTCACACAACTTGCAATTCACAAGCTTAAATTGTGAAATGTATTGGTGTTTAGTATATTGACAGAGTTGTGCACCTATAACCACAGTTAATTCTAAAACATTTTCAAGACCCCACGAGGAAATTATGTGCCCATTAACAAGCACTCTTGACATTGTCCCGTACACTCAGCACTGGGCAACCGTTAATCTGCTAATGTTCCCACAGATTTGCCTATTTTGGACATTGAATATCAATGGACTCATATACCATGTGGTCTTATGTGACTTATTTCTTCCACTTAGCATCGTTTTTCAAAGTTCATGTGTGTTGTAGCATGCAGGTTTCATACCCCATTTCTTTTTATGGTCAAATAATATCCCATTGTGTAGATCTGCTACATTTTGTTTATCCATTCATCATTTAATAGACATGTGGATTGTTTTTACTTTTTACCTGTTATAAATAATGCTGCTTTGAACATGCTTGTACAAGTTTTAGTGTAGACATATATTTTTATATCTCTTTAGTATTTGACTAGGAGTGGGTCATATGATAACTGTGTTTAAAATTTATAGGAACCACCAAACTGTTTTTCAAAATGTGGACACACCATTTGACAGCCACATCAGCAGTGTGTGAGGGTTCCAATTCTTCGAATCCTCCTCAATCCTTGTTATGATCTGTCTTTTTTTACTATAACCTTCCTCGTGGGTGTGAAGTGGTATCTCACTGTGGTTTTGATTTGCATTTCCCTAATGAGTAATGATGCATATTTTCGTGTGGTTATTGGCCATTTGTATGTATTTGTATAACTTTGGAGGTAGGACTATTCAGATCCTGTGACCATTTTTTAAATTGAGTATTTGCCTTATTATTGAGTTGTAAGAGTTCTTCATATATGTGGGATACTAGTCCTTTATTAACTATATTGTTTGCAAATATTTTCTTCCACTCTGTAGCTTCTTTCACTTCCTCAATAGTGTCTTTTGAATCATAAAAGTTTTAATTTTGATGAGATTCAATTAATCTAGGTTTTCTTTTGTCACTAGTGCTTTTGTTGTCATATCTAAGAAGCTATTTCATAGCACAAGGTTGCAAAGATTTACCCATATATATTCTTCTAAAAGGTTTTTTTTTTTTTTTTAAATTTAGCTATTATGTCAAGGTCCATGGTAAAATTTAAGGTCTTTTTTTCTTTCCTTTTTTTGGGGGGAGGGGGTGGGGGAGTAAGAATCCCACTTCTTTCCTTTGTATGTGGATCTCCAGTTGTCCTAGCATCAGTTTTTAACAAACTATTCTTTCTCCCATTGAATTTTCTTGGCACACTTGTCAAAAATCAATTGATCATATATTATATATGTGAGGGTTTTTTTTTCTGGACTCTATTCTATTTCATTGGTCTATATGTCTGCCTTTATGTCAAAACCCACACTGTTTTGATTACTGTAGGCTACTAATACGTTTTGAAATCAGGAAATGTGAGGCCTCCAACTTTGTTCTTATTTTTCAAAACTATTGTGTCTATTGTGGGTTTCTTGATTTCCTTATTAATTTTAGGATCATCTTGTCAATTTCTGCAAAAAAAAAAGCCACATTGAGATTTAGATAAGGATCATGGTGAATCAATCAATACATTTAGAAGTTCAACATCTACTCTTCCAATCTATGTTCACAGAATGACTTTTCATTTACTTGGGTCTTTTAAACTTTCTTTCAGTAATGTTTTATAGTTTTCAGAGTGGAAGTTTTGCAATTATTTTGTTAAAATTATCCCTGAGTACTTTACTCTTTTTGATGTTGTTGTAAATGAAATGATTTTCTTGATTTCACTTTTGGATTGTTAATTGCTAGTGTAGAAAAGTGTGATTTATTTTTGTATATTTATTGTGTACCCCGCACATTTACTGAATGTATTTCTTAGTTCTAATACTTTCTTAGTGGTTTCCTTGGAATCTTCTCTGTATGGGATTATGTCATCTGCAGACAGTGATAGCTTTAATTCTTCCTCTCCAATCTGGATGCATTTTATTTATCTTTTTTGCCTAACTGCCAGTGCTATGCTGAATGCAAGTGGCAAGAGTGAACATCCTAGTACAGTTCCTAATCTTACAGGGAACGTTTTACTCTCTCCCCAGTAAGTATGATGTTAACCCTGGGTGGTTTGTATGTGCCCTTTATCAGGGTGAGGACGTTTCTTTCTATTCCTAGCTTGTTGAGTGTTTGTATCATTTAAAGTTTGAAAAAAATAAATAAAGGTGCCCTATTCAATTTGAAGTCAGCTTCAACAGTTCCTTGGTAGACAGCCCTATTTCTAACTGCCTGGAAGCCTCTTCTTGGACTATCTCACCTGAGGCAGCTTCACCACCCCACTCTATTAATCATTGTTTCAATTCTGTGCTTTCTCTTTTATGTTACTTATTTAAAATTGTAAATATTCTTTCACTATTCTTTTCTTTTTTCTTTCTCTGCCTCTCTGCTCCCAAGGACAGTGAGGGACCAAGTTTGTCCAGTTCACTGCTGTGTTTTTTGTTTGTTTGTTTGTTTTTGAGATAGGGTCTGTCTCTGTCATTCAGGCTGGAGTGCAGTGGTGCCATCGCAGTTCACTGTAGCCTCAACCTCCCTGGCTAAAGTGATTTGCCTACCTCAGCCACCCTGGCTCAAGTGATTTACCCACCTTCAGGCACACACCACCATGCTGGTGTATTTAAAAAAATTTGTTTTGTAGAGATAGGCTCTCAGCATGTTGTGCAAACTGGTCCCGAACTCTTGGCCTCAAGCGATCCTCCTGTCTAGGCCTCCCAAAGTGCTGGGATTACAGGTGTGAGCCACCACACCTGGCTGACGGCTGTATTTTCTGCATCTACCACTGTTCCTGGAATATAACAGTTGATCAGTCAATGAATATTTGTTAAATAACTGAATAAATAAGTGCATTATTGATGTCCTAGGTAGATAGATGCTGAGTGATTCCTCATTAAATAGATGCAGAAGAGACTGATGGCCAGTGACTGGACAGCGATGACAGTAATGGGTTTGGAAAATAGTAGAAAAACTTTTACGATGGAGGATTTCAGTGGCCAAGACAAAACAAAATAACACATGGGAACTTGGGAACTAACTGCAAAAAGTGTTCTGTCAAGGGGGTGGGCACACTCACACCCCACCTGACATCAGGATATGTTGTGTTCAGTAGTCTGAGTTGTTAGCAAGTACATTTTGTTTCTTTGTAGGGCAACAAAGAGCAATAATAGCTATTAAACTCTCCCTGGCAGTCTAAAATCCTAGGCAATGGGCCAGTGTGCTTTAGTGAGTTTTCCTACCCCAGCACAAAAAAAAGAGGCCGTGGTTTAAGAGACCACATGTGGCTGGCTAAATAGACCTCTAAATGTATCTTTATCATCAGTTTCATCTCATTTCTTTTACCACCCTGGAGTTAAGTCTGTCCATTTCTCAGCCTCCTCCTCCTGAGCCCCCATCGTGATCATCTGAATTAAAATCTGTTATCGGTTTCTGGGTAATCCCCTTTGATGCCCTGAGTACCGCAG
Source organism: Homo sapiens (assembly GCF_000001405.40). Taxonomy (NCBI): domain Eukaryota; kingdom Metazoa; phylum Chordata; class Mammalia; order Primates; family Hominidae; genus Homo; species Homo sapiens. The sequence goes on from NC_000011.10 coordinate 131,607,061, forward strand.
GATCTGTGTTGCTCAAACCTAGCATGCAAGTGCTGATAGCTTTTGAGCAGCTAAAATGGCTTTGTGTATCTCACACAAATGTCTGCATCACTTGCGACCAGCCAGGAGCTGGCAAAAAAGACACAATTTATGGCTGGAGATTTTATGAAATGGTGAGCAAAATTGCCTTTGAGGGTGACTCAGGAGGCCTGAAGCTGCTGGCCTTCTTGCCATTCTTTGTTCACTCCCTTAGAGAGAAGAGGAATGGGGCCCCCATGCCTCTCTGCTGTTTTGCGGTTATAGTCCTCCCTGTGCTGTGTTTTGTTTGTTTGTTTTTATAATAAATCTTGCTTCAGTAGGTTATCCTTGGGTCACATCCGTGGCCAAAGTAGAAATTAAAATTTTGCATGAACAAGTAATAACTTCACCTGGGCCAATTAATCCCAATCATGACATGACCCATAATTGCAACTTTGTCATTTTTCCATTTCTTTCTTCCCTCAATGATGGCCTCTCTCTCCTGGGGTAGGGGAGTATGTATGAAAGAGCTTGGGGTCAGGGTTAGCAGAGCCTGCCTGTAATGAACACTAGTTGCAAAATGCTAGACCAGCTGTGTGAACCCTCCAACACTCATGCTTTTGTCTATAAAACAAGGTCTCTAATTTTCATGTAGCATTTATTAAAAGAGAATGAAATTGATGATTGTTGTACGTATTTACCATCACTCTCCATGCTAGATTGTAAACTGGACTGTAGACTCCAGGAAGGCAGGTGATGATTCTATTTTGTTTTCTGTATTGCCAAACCTTGTACGCACGGTTTGATCGGTAGACATTTTTGGTTTTTTGTGTTTTTTTTTTGTTTTATAATTATTATTATTATACTTTAAGTTCTAGGGTACATGTGCACAACGTGCAGGTTTGTTACATATGCATACGTGTGCCATGTTGGTGTGCTGCACCCATTAACTCGTCATTTACATTAGGTATATCTCCTAATGCTATCCCTCCCCCAACCCCACAACAGTCCCCAGTGTGTGATGTTCCCCTTCCTGTGTCCATGTGTTCTCATTGTTCAATTCCCACCTATGAGTGAGAACATGCAGTGTGTGGTTTTTTATCCTTGCGATAGTTTGCTGAGAATGATGGTTTCCAGCTTCATCCATGTCCCTGCAAAGGACATGAACTCATCCTTTTTTATGGCTGCATAGTATTCCATGGCGTATATGTGCCACATTTTCTTAATCCAGTCTACCATCGTTGGACATTTGGGTTACATTTTTGAATGAGTGCATGAGATGACTTGATAGGAAAGAACTCAGTGCTCAGGCTGTCATAGAATAGGTGTTCAGGAAATCATCCTTCCTTTACCAGTTTGAATGTTTCTCAGATGCTTCATATCAACTGACAGTTTAGAAAAACCTCAATTAAGAAAGAAAGTTCTTTTTTTTGGAGCTTTGTCCATGTGAGGATGTCCCATCATTTCTTATGGTGACAGGCCCTGACAGCCTCATGCCTCCTGACCCCAGAGGCTGTGCCTTAATCAGATGTGCATGAAGCCACGGCCCTCGATTCTAGGCCTTGCTCCTGGGAACATGTCCATTCCCGCCTTTCTTTTCAGCCTATCAATTATTCCTCGCTCTTTTTGTCTTTCTCTCTCTCCCTTTTTTACATCCCCTCTCTCTCTTTCCCGTTTTCCCTGTCTCTATTGCTCTCTCTCTTTAAATGTGCCCTGTTTGTAGAGCTTTCTCTGATATTTTCTGGCCCAGTTGGTTCATTTATTAAAGATAAGATATCTTCAGGGACGCTGGATTCAATGGTGTCCTACAGTGAGTTGACGATGGAGTCATGATGAAATATCAAACTTGGAAGCTCGACCCTATAGGCTTTCCTGTGTTTATGCTACTGACAGTAGATGCAAATAGTAGTTAAAATAATAATGTAAAATGTTTTCTTAAACACCAGGGGAGCTCATTTATGGAAATAGGCCTATTCGCATGCCCAACAGTTAAAAATAACAAAACTGGGGGTGCATGGGTCAGGATGTGGACAGGAAACATCCACCACAGTTTTCTCTGAACCTCGGGAGGCTGAGCTGGGCGAAGGCGTGGGCCCTGCACGGCTCTCTGCTTCTGTGCTCTGGATGGGAGAGATCTGACTGCCAGGGTTCCTTTCCCTGAGGCACGCAGGCACTACCTTCCTGACAGGTTTTTCTCAGCCACACTGAGAGCTTAGGCCTGGGTTGCTTGAGATGGTGTGCTGTTTGCATTGTTACGCCTGGCTTAATGATAAAGCTTAGAAGTGTGGTCAAAGTCCTATTATTAAAGTCATTTAAACCCAGACAGGACTGAGTCTGAGAGAATGCACTGCAGGGAAGCACCTTGCCCACACTCAGTAGTGGAAGCTGTGACCTAAGCCTTCTCCATCTCTTATTTCAATTTCCCCATGTCTGCTTTCATGCTGTGTGGTTTCCTGACTGTGACTCAGTCTGGGTTTCCATCGCAGGCTTGGACTTAATCCCGAGAAGATCGAAGACGTCTTGATGGGGCAAGGCATTGGAAAAGCAGACTGTGGTTTGCATTTGAGCTGGATTTATCTCTGGTGCTTTTTGTATGAGTAACAATGCCAAGCCCTGGGTCTGACCCTTAATAGATTCTTATTTGCAGAATGTGTAAATAACTACTCTCCTTTATTCACTCCTCTTGAAGAGCCAAACATGCTTCTGTCTTCAACCCTTCTACCCAGTCCCTAGTTCACTTAATATAAATGCTAATTAGGATGTGGGTTTAAGGTCACTCTTCCCTCTCAGGGAGAAGGGACCAAACACAGGCTTTCCATCTGCAGAGGTTGGCAGAGCTCAGGTTACCTGTTTTTCTTTTGCTTCTACCCCTTCATCTAGTAAAGAAGGTGGGTATCCCTGCTCTTTGTAACAGGAGAAACACATTTCTTTGTTTGAGTCATTTGCACAGTTCTGGCAAAATCACCCTAGCAGCATCTTGTGGAAAACAAAAATGCAAAGGCACAGATGACTCCAGCTTCCCACAGTGGGTAGCCCTAAATAGGACACTTGCCAATGGCACCAAAACAATCGTTAAACTGTCCAACAACGAGCTGGGTAAACTGAGAGAAAATAAACCTAGTTCAAGCAAAGAAACAAAACTAGGGACTCCAGCAAGGGCGGAGTAAATGGAGTGCCTCCTCCACAGGGCAGGATGCTGCAAGCCCCTCATGGGTCCAGAATCAAAGGCTTTGGATTAAACCATGGCAGGAAACCCAGCTCTTTCCACCCAAAACAACTGCTGAACCAGAAGAGGAAGAAAGAAACCCATTAAAAACTTTGTTCCTGGGGCTTTTATTGGGGCTTTTGGCCCACGGAATTCATTAGTAAATAAGTGCAGAATTCTTCTCCTATGTAGAATAGTGGGCTCAACCCAGCTGGGCAGGCGAGATCCACAGTTTCATTTAGAAGAAGACTGTTGTTCAGAAAGCTCTGCACCAGGAGCAAGGAGAGCTTGGTTTTAACACAAGCTTACACAATGGGGCCAAGGAGCAGAGTAGATGATAACCTGACTTAGGGTTTAAGTGAGGAAGCATTCAGGAGAAGCTCCAGCCCCTGAGAAGTGTTCTAGGAGGCTGTGGAGCACCCGCAGATCGATAGCATCTGGGCAGGCAGGGGGTAAGACCACACTGGGAATGGAGGAGGGCGTGAGTAGTAGCATGAGATGAGGATGCTTGAGTTGGTGGGAGTGAAACATATGTGGGGATATGCTATGAAATGAACGCTGAGGATCCTAAATGCTGGACCAAGGAGTTTAGACTTGATCCTGACATCAGTGGAGAAATGCTGAAAGGATTTTAGAGCAGAAGAGTGAAATGAAAGTGGCATTTAAGAAAAATTGATCTGGTGAAAGCGTGCAGAATCGATTGGATTGGAGGCATTAGAGGTGGCCAGACAAAGAGATGCTGATGTAAATAATGGGATGGGAGCTGAGGGGAACCTGGACTGAGGTGTTTATAAGAATGGGAAAGAGGCGTGGAGGAGGGAAGCAGTTCAACATCCATCTCTGAGTGTAGGAAGAGGCATCGGGGACCAAGGAAGCTGAAGTGACGCTTTGGGTTTTTAGCCTTTGCACCTGAGGAGGGAAAAGGTGGAAATATGGTCAAAAAAATGTGAGTCAGGAAGAGGAGCTGGCTTTAGGAGGATGATGAATGTGGCTTTTCTTAAACTTGTTAAGTATGAGGTAATAGCACGATATCCTAGGATAGGAAGGTAGAGAAACTCAATTAGAACTTGAGCTTCAAATAACACCTTGGATCTGTGCAGAACTAATTCCTGGCTCCTGCATGTATGATAGCATTTTATAATCACACGCTACACGCTGCATATGAACATGAATGTGGTAATTACAGGATAAATCCTCCGGCTCTCTGCCTCTCCGGCTCCTCTGTGTGGAATCAGATTGCTCTGGGACTGAGAGAACAATAGATCAAAGGGGAATCCACTTACATAAAGAAGGAGGAAAAGCACAAGGAAGAAAGACAAAAGATTTTTAATTCAAAAGGAGCTGAGGACCTAAACACACATCACTCCTATTGCTAATAGCAAGGAACTGCAGCTAGAAGCAGAACGGAACTAATGAGAAAGTAGAGGCATTAGGAAGGAAGACCTCGTGCTGGAACTGGGCTGCAATTCGGTGGTGGAACAGAAGTTGCCAGAGCTAATGTAATGTGTGAAACATGTCAACCAAGGTGGGAAAGACCAGACTTTCCCCACACAGAGCTATGGTGATTTACTTACATATCTGTGTTCGTGAACACATGTTTCTGAAGATGGTCAGAAGTAGATTCTGAAGATTAATTGCTAACTGTGGCAGCCATCCTTCAAGGATGACTTCAGGGACCCTCACCTCCTGGTACACACACCCTTGGATAGCTCCTTTCCACAGTCTGTGAATAATAGAAAATGGCAGAGGTGATGGCATGTGACTTCAGAGACCAGGTCATAGACAGTATTATCACATTTGCCACCACATCCTAAGGGGAAAGCCAGCCACCACATCCTAAGGACATTTGAGCAGCTCCTTAGAGAAGCCCTCAGTCATCACCAGCACTGATTTGCCAGCCATGTACATGGGCCACCTTGGAAGTGGATCCACCCACAGCAGTCAAACCCCTGCCTGCAACCCCAGTCTACCTCTGACTTCAACCTCATAAGAGACCCTGAAGCAGAACTGCTCAGCCAGGCTGCTGCTGAATGCCTGCCCCACAGAAACTGTGAGCAGTAGCAAAGTGTCATGGTAGCTTAGGCTATGGCCTGCTTTGTTATACAGCAACAGATAACTAATACGCTAGTTCCACAAAATGTACTAGAACTGTGGAGAGTGCTCCTCGCAATTTTTATTGTGAAGAATATTTGGGCTGCTGTGATGCGTCACCAATCTATTGAAATGTATGAATAAAATGTTTTCAGCCAAAGTCTATCCAAAAGGGTGCAAAGCCTCATGGAGGGAAGCAAAGCTCAGAAAAAGAAATGGATGCATATTAGATGTCAAACATGTGCTTATTGAGTTAAATTGAATTGAAATTGCAGACAGTTACAGATGAAGCACTTTACATTGTTACCTCACATGTTTATCGAATGCTGAACTACTGACGACAGCGTGCTAGTGGAAGGCTTCTGTGGTTAAACTTAGCACAGTGGAACACCAGTTGGCCCAGCCACACCAGTTGGCAGATGTGCTGCAGGGCCCCACTAAGAGCAGCCTCTCTGGCTGAGTCTCTGGGCACTGAACAGCAGGAAGCCTGTCCCCAAATCCCTACCCGGGTCCCTCTGTGGCCTGGTTGTCATCGCTCCCTCTGCCTCTGCTGCAGGAGCTGGCAGTTTTGTAATAGTCACAGTGCAGCCTCCCCTCATGTAAAGCAGGTGGAATTATCCATAGCTGCTACCATTTGAGGCAGAAGCTTAGTTCCCTGGGGCCAGGCACATTTGAGGACACTCATGTGTGCTGCACTTCCGTGTGCCTCCCTGGTCTGTCCTCCTCATTCAAGCTTCTCTTCCTCCATTCCCACTTCCCTTACAGAACTTTTTCCTTTTCCATCTAGCACACTTCTTGCAGGAAAGCATGGGCAGGGAGCTTTTCCCTGGTGGCTGGCCATCAACCCTCAGGTCTGGGCACTCTCCTCGCCCTGGAAGCTCATAGGCCACTCCGACAAGCAGACCCTGATGCCCTCCCCACCCATCCCACTGACCAGGGACACCCGCCTGACTTCGTAGTTTGCCCAAGCCTGGGCCCCCGCCCAAGTTCTCTGAAATCGTATTTTACAGTTATTCCAAAGCCCCCATGGTCCTCGGTGAGGAGCACATTTTTCTTCCAGCTGGTGCAATGAGGAGGTTTCAGCCCCCATCCTCAGGTGGCTCCTGGGGACAAGCTGTCCCCTCCTTTCTGATATTGATTCCCAAATGCCAGACAGAGGAGGGAATCTATGATAAGACGGGCGCTTCTTTCAAACCTAGTAAATATTATAAATCTACTATGACTCAAGTTCAACCGTCTCATTTTAAAATGTGACTAATTCCAGCTTCTGCTGGTGTGCCTTGCTGAAGAGCCAGGCGCGATGCTGAGAACAGGGCGTGTGTGGTCACCTTTCATCCTTACCCACTACTGAGAGGTGGAACCAGCTCTCCCGGTTCACAGGAGACGTGGAGACTCCGAGAAGTTAAGTCACTAGCCCAAAGCCACACAGCCCGTAAGATCTGAGACCTTTTTATGCCCCACTCTCCTAAAGCTGGCGGGAGCCTGGGAACACCACGTACCTGCCTTGCTTTGGTGGCTGAGGAAACAGAGGAACCCTGGTCTCTGGTTCCTCACTCCTGGCTTCCTCCTACTCCCGGCTGCCTCCCTTTGTCTGTGAAATTCTCTTTCTACACGCAGACATGCACCATGTTTTTCCCTCCCTGCTCTGCAGAAAACCTCAAATAGTGGTGTCATAGAAGGACTTATGAGTAGCCTCTCAATACCTGGGTGCACCATGGGGCGGAGATGCCCAGGACTTGCAAGGTTCACTGAGATCTGGGGCGATGGGCTACCGACAGCCTTGAACTAGAAGCACAGACTTTAAGGAGCTGCCTCCCTCAGCGGGAGCTCCCTTCTCATGATGCAGAAAACAGGCCTCTAAAGAGGGACCGTGAGCGCAGTGGACAGGGCTCTACTTCTAGGATCATCCCTGTGTGACCTGAGGAGGGAAGTGGTTCCCATAAATGCCCCATGCCCAGAAGGGCCGTGCAGAGTTCGGAAGGAATCCTGCCCCATGCTCCATGGAGACCCACCCTGGCTGCAGCTCTGTTATTAGCAATTACAGCTCTACGAAGGAAAATAAACACTTTCCCCAAAATGGGTCTGTTCTTTTTGTTTTAAGCTCTTATTCTTCCCAAAGGGGACAAAAGTGCTGATGATCTGCAAAGCTGTGAGGGGACTAGACAGGAGGGCAGTGACCCAGAGAAAGCCCATGGGGCAGGGGTGCAGGATTATTCCTTAAGGCCAGAGCTAGTCTGCAGCTCTTCTGTGCCATTTGGCCCAGTTTTCTGGGGCCAGCTCTGGGTGACTTTTTCTCTGCCATCGTCACTGCTTTGTCAGTTCTTGTTCAAAGGTCCCCTGAGTTGTACAACTGCCATTGTCTGTCTCAGACAGTTCTTACACTCTCAGGTCTCAGAGCACATAAAACTGTTGCAGCTGCATATTGTCCATCAAGACTATGAAATTGGAAAACATGCTTGGATTTAGAATGTGTTCAGTTGAAAGTGAGACACTGGAGATGCCTCCCTCACGTGACCAGCAGCACTGGCCCTGCCCGCCTGGCTTTGATTCCAGCTGTTTCTCTCACATTCTCTGGCTGGCTCGCCAAGCTCATGCCCCCTCCATTCTGCCCTCGCCTCCTCCCACCCTTGACCTTTGTGGTGTGGTAGAAGCAGATGGTCTTGCAGCCAGACAGAGGTTTTTCCCCTTGAAGTTGCTCTCCATCCCAAAAAGCTGGTGAGCAGATACATTTCTAGACAAAGCAATATTCTATCTTAATCAAGGCAGCACACACAATGGCGAAACACTTGGACTGAGAAATTGGGCTCTGAGAGACCTGGGTGCTAGTTCTGTCTCTTTTGAACATAACACAGTCTGGGACTACAGTCCAGTTACTGGGTCTCTCAGCCTCAGATTCCTCTGTGGCAATATAGAGATGTCACAGTATCTGCATCATGGGGTTGGCAGGCGAAGTGAAGGGGCCTTCAAAGTTTAGCACTGTGCGTGGCTCATAGCAAGTTCTCTCTCTCTCTCTCTCATTTTTTTTTATTTAGACGGAGTCTCTCTCTTGTCACCCAGGCTGGAGTGCAGTGGTGCAATCTCGGTTCACTGAAACCTCTGCCTCCCAGGTTCAAACAATTATCCTGTCTTAGCCTCTTGAGTAGCTGGGATTACAGGCACCCACCACAATGCCTGGCTAATTTTTTTGTAATTTTATTGGAGAGATGGGATTTGATCTTGTTGGCCAGGCTGGTCTCAAACTCCTGACCTCAAGTGATCCACCCTCCTCAGCCTCCCGAAGTGCTGGGATCACAGGCGTGAGCCACCGCACCCGGCCGTAGCAAGTTCTTAATGAACAGGGGCCTCTGTTGTGTTATGGGATGTTCAGGACATGGCTCCCGTCAGCTCCCAGCTCCCAGACAGCAGGGATTTTTGTACCATGATTATTTTGTGAACCCTCTGGCCCCTAAGGCTGTGCTGAGCCTGTGCATCCCAGGGAGCTTACTGAGTCACTGTGGAATCTGCTGCTGAATGGACAGCCCATGGTTGAGGCCAGTGAACACGGCAGGACCTCTGCTTCCCTTGGGCAGCGGCTGGGGCGTAGCCTAGAGTCCTTCCCAGAGCCGAATGTAAGAAGCAAGGCTAAGCGTGGCTGGGTGAGTATATTCAGCATGTTAGCTGCTGCTTCACATCCTTGCGTGGCCCTCAAGAGAATCCTCAGGACACGCTATCCAGGGCTCTGTGCTGTTCTCAGCTGATGCCTCTGTTCCTGCAATTGCATGGACTCTTTCATCAAGAGGTAGCAAATCATCTACAAATAAGGGTTACAGGCTCTGTACAGGGGACAGAGATGAAGGACAAATTGCATCCTCTGCGCAGCACTGGGGAGACTGCACCTGTCCCGTGCCACCTCCCAGGGCAGGTCCCTTTCTCCTTCCTCACCCAAGACAACCTGCTCAACATCCCTATCACCCAGAAATGGGGCTTGGGAGTTGGAGGACAGAGGAAAAAGAAACATTTATCAAACTGGAGAGTGGGAAATGACCGCGGACGGAGGCAAGGGAGAGAGCCAGGCCTCCACAAAGCAGAGAGGAAGCAATTTGACAACGAGGTGAAAATTGCCACTGCTGATTCTCCTGACACTCTGAGCTTTACCCATGGGCCCAGGGAAATCTGTCACTGGCTCAGGGAAACGTCTGCAAGGAACTGGTAATAGTTTAGCAATGGCCTAGTGACTTAGAATGAGATGGAGGCTGCGGCGGCACCAGGGGACATACCTCCTGTTTTTAACCCAAGATGATGAGATACGGAGACAGTTCTCTTCCCCACCCGGCTCCTCTGGTGACTGAGCCAATCAGCTCAAAAAGCCACAGGGACAGAGAGAACATGCGGTCAGGAGGAAACTCAGATTGAGACAGGGTTTTACAAGCACACTGTCTTGAGGGGGTGTGTGTGTGTGTGTGTGTGTGTGTGTGTGTGTTGTTTGGTTTGGTTTTCCTACAGCTGTTTTAATGAATGCACCTTCCCTTCATGCAGCCCTCCTCCTCTGTAGCATATCTCTGCTTTATGGCAAATGGGTTTTGATTCTGAAGCAAATTGACCTTGAAATAAGTTCCAGGATTTGAGTTCTTACACCCCAGATGCTGGGTTTGGAATGCAGACTGCTCAATCAGCAGATTCCAGCTCCAACTCCTGCATCTGGAGGGGGACACTGCATTTTGTCAAACTATTAGGCAAAGTCAGAATTGTGGGGCTGGACGCTGCGAGGCTGGGGCAGGCAGACCCTAGGTGTGCTGCCGATGTCAGGGTTCCCTCGGTCCTTCTCTCTGATGGCGTGTGTGTACTCCTGTGTAACTGAGGCCGCTTGGGAATGTTGCAGAGAGTGCTGAGAGTGGAGGGCTGCAAGAATCTAGGGTGACGTGGCTACAGAGCTCTGATCACAAACCCATCATGTCACAGGGAAACTGAGTACACTTTGCGGAAAGAAAACGTGTGCTTCGTACGTGCATATGTTTAAGAAGATCATCTTCATCTTAGTTTTGCTGAGTTCCCGATTCTACTGCGATTGTGATTCAGGGATTTTGTTGTAACAGACCCAAAAACAGCAAGTATTTATTGAGCATCTACTGTGTGCCTGGCCATGGAGCAACTATCTTTAAAGTGAAAGTATGAGCTGAGCTGAGTCCCCTCGTGACTGCCTGTGCTCAGCATGAGGCAAGCGTGTGCTCAAGGCTGGTGTCTGAGTGCTGAGCAGTATGGGTGATGGATTTAATTTAAAGGAGATTCTGGTGGCTTTAATGTGTCCAAGCGTTATGTTGTTCTGAGCTGAAAGATGAATGGAACTGGCAATATAGGGGCTCGTGTGAACAGAACTAAAATGTCCTCCACCAATTTTCAGCTTCCACAACACAAAGGATTGTTGAAACTCAGTTCTTTCCCCTGGGGTTTTTGTTTTTGAGGCTGAAGCAATGAAACAGATCACTGCAAAGACAACCAGAAGCCTTTTGTAGATGATAGGGGTGAATCTAGACCAGAAGGCAGATAGGCAGGGGGTTGGGAGGGCGAGCCACCCAGTGTGCCGTCTGACCTTGAGATGGACAGGGAGGGGGCTGTCTTAGAAGAACCAGAGCCTCTGGGCCAGCGCCGGGCTACTCTGATGTGGCCTGGGCTACAGCCTTTGGGATGAGAGCCAGGCAGAGAAATAGGTAGGGAGTTGGTGTTAAAAAAGCAATCCCAGAAAGGCTTGAGGCTGCTCATTTGCAAGCTGTGCATTTCTTTTCCAGTAAGGGAGACCTTTGGGAGTGATTTTTACAGAAGAAGCAGTTAGGTATAACTCTGGTTACAGCAGAAATTCAGCACATCCAAGACCTCAAAAGGCCTCCAGAGGTTGCTTAGTGCAGCCCCTTCCCCCAAGCAGGTCTGCGCCTACAGCCATTCCAGAACAATAGTGTTTCATTTTAAATATTTCTCAGGAAGGGTATTTCGTAAACTCCCTGATGCACTGGTACCAAAACAAAGCCTAGCAGAAAAAGAACCAAATTTTCTCTGGACTATGGCCAAGTGCAATCCAAGATGGATACAGATGTTGCAAAAGCAGCCAGTTAGTCAGCAAATGTGCCAATATACCTCTTCTCTGTGCCCTCTGGTGACATGCTATCCGAATTAAATTAGTTCAGTATTGCTTGGGGCTCCTATTTGACTCTGATTCATTCCGGTGGGAGCAGCGTTTTAAGTTCAAGGAAGAGAGGTGGGCAGAAGACTTTGCTCCCAGTAACATCAGGATGTGAGCCCACTTTAAAACCTCCCCTATGCTCAGATAAGATGGAAATTGAGCTTAAATGCTAGTTACACACGTTCTATAATTGTCTTGCATTTTAGCAAATTCAGGGATAAGTAAGTATTGAAAAGCCAACGTGTTCTGGAAGCAGAAGGCTTAGAACATGTTCTATGCATGGATAGACAGGAACATGTTCCGATGAGCTAGAAGTTGTGTGCAGTAGAAGACTGCCCATGTGTATCCATCACCAACTATTTACGCCACCAATGCAAGATGGTATTCCTGAAGAAATGAGAGTGAAGACATAGAAAATCATAATTGTCTGGCATGTTTTCAGAGCATATGTAGAGTGATTAGGTAGGACAAAAATCCTGTGAATAAAAATATGATGAGAATGGAAGAACTAGTGCTAGGCTCGAGAGGTATGCGAAAACAAACAACAACAATAGCAACAAAAAGATGTGAAGAGCTCTGCCTTTGGAGGGCGTAGCTGGAGTTTCTGAGATGCAGTAGCACTCCACAGCGAATAAGCCCATGAGAGAATGCACAGACATACAGTCTGACGACAAGGGAAGCATGCTGGGCATTGAGTGGCAAAGCCCGAATAAGGAAAGTGGAGGCAGTCAAATGGAAACCTGCCATGGTTATCAAGGAAGTTTCCTTTCTCCTTGCACCATAAAATAATAGGGGGAGGCAGCCAAGACTTGCCAGTCTCCCAAATGCTCCCACTCTAACTTTATGTAAAACACTTGACACAGTCAGAAAAACCTGGAACACATATATCTCTAGTAACACTGAGGCTAGGACACACACCAAAGGCTGTGGGAGTACAGAGGATGAGCAACTCTTTTGCAGTAGCTGAAGGTCAGGAAGGAAAAGCAGAAAGAAAGAAATTGAAAGTAGATATGGATTTAGTACTACGTTGCAGCATTTTGTCTTTAAAACCATAGTTTATCAGACTAAAATGGTGGGGCATTGGCAACAGACAGAACACACTCAAGAAAGAGGGAAGAAAGAACACAATTGGCCACAAAGTGAAAGAGTCAAGACGCAAATTTTTCATGAAAAGGAGAGATAGAGCCAAATGGAATTAACATTAGATTTTATGAAGAGCAGCAGACGTGGTGTAGAAAAAATGTAACAGATAAGTCACCCAGTAAAATAGCAAATAAGGATATGGGGGTAACATCTACCGCTAAACATCTTCTTTTTTTTTTTTTTTCCTTGCTCTGTCACCCAGGCTGGAGTGCAGTAGCATGATCTTGGCTCACTGCAACCTCTGCCTCGTGGGTTCAAGTGATTCTCCTGCCTCAGCCTCCTGAGTAGCTGGGATTACAGGCACACACTACCAAGCCCAGCTAATTTTTGTATTTTTAGTAGAGATGGGGTTTCACCATGTTGGCCAGGATGGTCTTGATCTCCTGACCTTATGATCTGCCTGCCTCAGCCTCCCAAAGTGTTGGGATTATAGGCATGAGCCACTGCACTTGGCACCACTGAACATCTCATATACTAAAGCACACAATAAAAATAGCCAGTAAAGGTACTACGAGACTATATCCAAGAGGGCAAGTTCTATGACTCTAAGTTTGAAATAAAGTTTTCTTTACAGACATTTTCCCTGATTTCTAAGCCTCTTCAGCTGCACCAAGGGTCTCCTCATGTCTACAGCTAAAACCATTTTCAAGTCATCATCTTCTTTAAAATCCCTTTCCTGGTCTTCCTACCTCTTCCCATCTCCCTTCCTATTCACTACTCATGAGGCAGAATGATCCTTTTCAAACATAATTAGACCACATCACTCCCCACTTATATCTCCCAGTGACTTCTCATTCCATGTAGAAAACAATTCAAATGCCCCATCTGGCTCACAAATCATCCCACATCCTGGCTGGCCCATGATCCCATTCCTGTCACCTCCCCTTGCTCACTCAGCCCCAGCTACATGGGCTTCTTGCTGTCCCTCAAACACACCAGGCATAATCCTGCCTCAGGGCCTTGGCACCTGCTGTTCCCTCTGCCTGAAATGCTCTTGCCCCTGAAATACATATGGGCTGCTCGCTGACTTCACTCAAGTCTATGCTCCCACGCTATTTCCTAATGGAGTGGGTCCACCACCTGCAGGCCTGCACTGTCCTTCTTCATAACACGTAGTGCTCTGGGATTGTAGATCACATATCTGCTTGTTATTGTCTATTATCTGTCACTTAGGCTAATATGTACTTTCTATGATAGCAGCAGTTTTGTCTGTCGGTCCACTAATATATTCTCCATGCCTAGAAGAGTACTTGGCACATAGTAGATGTCCAATAGCTACTTCTTAAATGAATGAATGAATGAATCATAACGATAAATTACGCTAACCGGTGCAGCACTAGCCACTAACTAATGTGATGCTGCCAGACACAAAGCTTGTAATTGTATGTTGAAAGAAAACAGAAACCTGAATGATGTAGCATGTGAGAGCAGGAAGAGAATTCAGGGTTAATTGAGCTCACTCCCTGTTAAGGTAATGAAACTCAAAATGTCTAATAATTTATTAATGTTCACATAACTAGTAAATGGTGGCCCAGGTATTAATTTACGTCTGTGTATTCACTGGCCAGAGTCTTGCTTGTTTACACTACCCAGCTAGGTATTTATCCCCTAAAAACTAGGATTCTAATAGAAAAAGCCAAATGTACTAAGTTGACAATAATTTAAGAACAGGTGTAAAGCATCACTTTTTTTGCCAAGTGGTCAGGAGATGAAGAGGGGAGAGGAGAGATGTTCCTGGGGGCATCTCCGGAGAAAGCTTTGTCTGTATGCTTCTAAATGACGGTCATGGCCAAATACAAGGGCAAGTGTGCTGTCTGTCTCTAAATGCAGACCACACATCAAGTGCCACCCTGTCAAAGAGGAAGCTACAGGCCTGGATTAGTGGTGTGTGCCTATAATCCCAGCACCTTGGGAGGCTGAGACAGGAGAATTGCTTGAGTCCAGGAGTTCAAGACCAGGCTGGGCAACATAGTAACACCCTATCTTTACAAAAAAAAAAAAAAAAAAAAAAAAAGTTTTCTTTAATTAGCTGAGCATGGTGGCCTGTGCCTGTAGTCCCAGCTACTGAAGAGGCTGAGGTGGAATGATGGCTTGAGTCTGGGAGGTTGAGGCTGCAGTAAGCTGTGATTATACCACTGCATTCCAGCCTGGGCAACAGAGCAAGACCTCAACTCAAAGAAAAAAAAAAAAAAAAAAGGAAGCTACAGACAAGTGGGGAAAGAATTATTTCTATGTGGAAGCTTTCGAGAAACAGGGCCAATATTTGGGGGCCTAGATAACAAAGAACCATATAGAATCAGGGGCAAAATGTCCTTTCAGTCTCTCTTTGGAAGTCTCTCCTTTGGGAAAGTACATGAGCCAGGAAAGCCACATTCCTGAGAAGGGTCCCGTGGCTGTGGTCCAGGCAGGCCCACACTGGAGAAATGTGTGGGCAGAAGACATTAGCAAAGGGCCTGAGTGGGAGGATGGGGGGGACCATCCACAGGAAGCCAAACTATTCCATGGGGAAAATGGAACAGAAGATAAAGTTCCTGTAATTAGGTAAAAGTGCTAAAAAGCCAGCAAGTTTCATCTATTAAATATAATGTGACCTGACGGGTACCCGTGAGCTGGTAAGAACAGAGGAAAGATGTATAAAAATAAAATAGGTGAATATATGTTTCATTTACTTCTTAGTTTGCATAATCATAAGTAAACAAGCATGAAAGTGATGCCTCGGGCCCCGGGCCATGTCCATCCTCGGCTCCACAGTTCAGGGACAGCCGCTCATTTGTATGCTCCGTGTCGCCAAGATTCAACAGCATTTGGGGAAAGAATGAACAAATAATTTATTTCTTACTTGAAAAGTTAATTCATTTCTATTAATATTTCATTTATTACCTCTAAATTGACCAGATTATTAAATTAACCACTATTTGGTAGCCAAAATTTTGCTGTACACACAGAATATAAATTGATGATATCTACTCCGTGACCACACAGTTAAGAAAGCACTGAAGTCAAAGGAAGAAAAACGGCGTAAATCTGCTTCAGTTCTGCCCCTAGGCCACTGTTTTCGGTCATGTTCTGTTGCAGGCAGGATGAGACAGTAGAGATGTGTCCTGATGTTCCCCTCCCTGACAAGAGCACCCCAGCAACTCTCCTGTTGGCCCTTGAGCTAACAAGCTGAGCAATCGCACCGACCCTCCAGGAGTGCTCCTTGGGTGGCATTCATCTGCCAACATCATGATTTTGCATTTGTCACTAACACACTGGTTGCCTTCCGTCCAGGTGCTCTCATTGGTACACTAGACTTCAAATTGGCGTTCTCCTGAATAAAACAGAAAAAGAGAAAGAGGAAGAGGAAGGGAAATAGCTCTGAAGAAACAACTTATCTCAAACGATCTCAGAAACTCACCTGCTTAGGAGACCCACAGCAATCATGGGGTGCCCATAGACACAGGGGCTTCTCTATACCGGAGTTTTACTTTATAAGCCCACCATGCAGTGGAGAGACTACCTTAAGTGGCAGTGTGGGTGTGAAGTTTGCAATCAGACTATCAAGGCTGACTTTTGATTCTCTTGTGTGATCGCTGGGTGACCTTGAGAAAGTCACTTTCCTTCTCTGGGCCTGAGCCCCTTCCTTGGCAGCATGGATGGACATCCTACCTCCCAGGACTGTTTTGAGAATCCAGTGGAAATATATGTGAGAAAGATTTGCACCCAGTAAAAATCGTATACAAATATGAGATATCATTAGAATGAGTTCCTTTTGATTATTCCATAACTAAAGCCCTTGGCTCAAGTCCGAGACAGATGCCATGCTGTCCACCGAATTCCATTTTATACCAAATCATGTTAGAGAGTCCAAAGTATTTCCATTTTAAAATCCCATCTTCGGCTGCTTGCATGTTTAAATGAAAATTCATTTGGATAGCAGCATGCTAGGAGCAAGACAGCAGTAACTAAATAAACAACTAATCAGCGATGGGTTAGGCCTCTCTATAGGGACGCGGATGGAGGACACTTGCAGTGCGCCTGCCTGGAGTGACCCCCGCAGATGGTTTTGGGCTCCAGTGTGTCCCCCTCTGGGCCAGGCCCACTCTCCCTCCCTTGGGAGGAAGCACACAGCCCAATTTAAGCACCCAATGTGTAGGCTGGGAATGGAAAGGAGATAATGGTGTGTGTTTGCTTTGTTAACTTATCCATTTTGTATCCTGCTTTTCTTCCACTGTTAGCCAAGGAAAAACCTCGGGGCTGCCGTAGCTGGGCAGGAGGAAATGAAGGGCCTACCCTGGCCGCTCCGACCTTGAGTCTCCTCATCCACTCTCACCCACAAAGGCAGTTGCTCTGACCGAGGTCACTAAAGGCTCTTAATTCTTTCTGTGAAAGACAGTGATGGAGCCATGTCAGGGGGTTTTTGCCCCAGTCATTTCCTGGGGCACCTTGTACTCTGTGCAGAGGCTGTGTCCTCACATTTGTGATTGAAGGCACAGGCAGACAATAGGGTTCAGATTCCATTTTCTTGGCTCATAAGGGCGATTCTCTGGCAGGTCCCTTAGTGCGGTCCGGCCTGGGTATCCTGTCCCTCTGCGTCCTGCCCTTATTCAAGGACCAGCGTTTCCAGCACATCATTCAGTGGCAACATGGCATCGTGTCTCTGCATTTAGAGGGCCACTGATCAGCACTGTGATCTCAGGCAGCTGATCTCAGATCATGGCAGCACAGTGGTCTCATTAGCGTCCTCATCTGTAGAACGGGCACAGCACTATCTACTGCACAGAGCAGTCCTAAATATTAATTGTGGTCCTGCAGGTACAGAGCTAAGCAAGTGTCTGTGGCCTCATAAGCCAGGGACATCACAGGAGGTCTTCCCAGTGGCTCCCACCCAGAGCTCATCCTGCTACAAGTTCTGAGCCATTGGAGAGCTCCTTCTATTATTTGCTGATTCATTAGGGCCTGCCTTTGACAGTAGGACTCATGGCCACTCATAGTGTTGTATTACTCATAGCACTTAACATTTTACTAAGCATAGGATGGACATTTAACAAATGATTGTTTTGTGCTTTGTGAAGTCAGATGTGCCCATCCACGCTAATCACGGAGGAATCCACAGCCTGTGCACAGGGCGAGTCCCTCTATCTTTGGTTCATGCTTCAGTTTGCTGGAGCCATTCATTCATTCTTTCCTGGAGTATGTCTCACATGCCTACCGCATGCCAGGAATCCAGGAGGTGGTGATGATCAGGCAGCCAGGATTTCTGTCTCCACAGAGCATACAGTTTAGTTGGCTGCATTCATATACCTAAAGCATTTTTGCTCCCTCAAAAAAGAAATTATCAATGATTCCAAGTACTTAAAAATCACCATAACCTGAAAAGCTTGCTGGGTTGTAAGTAACAACCTCACCTTATTCTGTTTATCTGTCACTGAGCTGGAAACAGTTACAAAGTAGGATGTGCTACACTGCCTATTGAGTTTATTTTGTCTTTTATACAGAAATCAACCTTGTAGAGGAAACCACATCATTTAAAAAAATACTCAAGCTCTATTTTAAGGGTGTAAAGTGATCACATTTTCTGGAGATGAATGTGTCCCTTTGAAAGCACCTGACTACATCAGAGGCCGAAATGCAGATGTGGGGGGCCACCCTGATAAGGTCCCCCCATGATGGTCTTTATGGACCCCTCTGAGCAAGGGGAGACTCTCTTGTTCCATTTCTGAAAAGTGGCAGAGGAAGGAACAGGTGCCTTCGGGATTCAGAGTTAATCAAATCCACAAAAGGCAATCCAGTCGCTTCTTGGGATTAATAGAAATTAGTCCACTGGAGACTTCTTAGAGAAAGAAAAGCAGAGAGAGAGACAAAGACAGAGAGACAGACAGACACAGAGAGAGACTGAAAAGATGAAGGAGGGAGGATAGAAGAAAGGCTTCATTTTTTTTTTTCAGATAACGTTCCCCAATAACATACATATAGCCTGGTGCACAGAATGTCAGCTCAATGAATTGTCACAAACTAAACACACTCAAATAACCAGCATGCCAATAAAGACACAGAATGAAGCATGCAGGAATCACCAGGCCCTGTTGTGCTCACAGCTGCCCTCTTCCACAGGTTAACCTCCAACTTGATGCCAGCCTCCCTAGATAAGTGTGCCTGCTTTACAACTCACATGAGTGAGATCACAGAGATTCTTCTCCTCTGTGGCTGGCTTCCTCTGTTCCACATGTGTTTGTGAGATCCAAGCATGTTGTGGCCTATATTTGTGGTTGTCACTCTCATTGCTGTGTAGTGTTCCATTGTGTGAATATGCTACACATTATTTTATGTACTGTACTTTCGAAGGGCATCTGGGTAGTTTGCAGCTTTTATCTGTGGCACGTGGCTACAGTGCACATTTTTGTACAAGGCTTTTTTTTGTGAATATATGCCCTTATTTTTATAAGGGATGAGATAAATTCAATTTATTTATTAAAATAAATTTAATTTTAAGAATCCAAGTAACTTTATAGATGTTGAAATTATTACATAAAGAGTCATAGAAGAGAAGTCTTCAATGTTCAAACACACATGGAGAATATACCTATTAAATAGTACTGAGGAAGATATTTAAGTGTACTGAGACACTTCTTCAAATATCTCTTTGTAGTGATTAGTAACTGCTGTAGTGTTAATAATTACTAATACTACAAACGTATATGATATACGTAATTACTAATATACAAACGTATATTCATTATTATAAATGCTAATGCTTGGTTGTTTGGGTAAAGAGTTCTATTTTGTCCCTAAGATGAGTGAGGACCTGTGTGAAATACATAGTAGTTGCTGATTCACACTTATAGGGAAGTTGTCTCTTCTTCCAAAGGGTGGCAGCTTACCTCAGTTGCAGGCAAAGGATTCCTCAATAGGAGATGATCAGCTTTAAAATACTGGTCTTGCAACTCCTCACGTGTAAAGCAACAACAAACATTGCAAACCAGGACGTGATGGGCAAAAGGGGAAAACAGGCATTAATTTGAAGACATTTACACTCACTCAAATGATTGAACTGGAACCCAAGAATCTGCAAGGAGGCGAAGGCTCCTAGACGATCTCTACTTATTCTCCATCTGTGACCTGCAGCTAGACTTCTTCCATGGCCCAGTTCTCCCCAACAAAACGATTGCCATCCTCTGCTTCTTAATGTGCCAAGAAAGCAAAAACTAACTAAATGAATGAGTAAAGAAAAAGAGCCCAGCCCTTGTTCCCCGAATTGCTTCCTCCACCTGCTCCTAATAGGGAAGCCACCTTATGAATTACAGCTGCCTGGGCAAAGCTCTGAGGAACCTGTAGGCTATCTCACTTCCCTTTCACCCGCTGTAGGGTAATGAGATGCGAGGATCTGGCGTGTTTGACAAGCTGGTTGCTCCAGCGGGCTCAGGCGCTGGAATGGGAGATTAATTGATGCTAAAAGACACAGTTTGATGTGGCAATGAAATTTCGATTATAATAATCTCTAATTATCTTGTACCTCGAGTGCCCTGGCTCTCCCAGGTGTTTCTTCTTGGTTGGAAATTGCTATTTGTGCATGAATAAAGCAGGCGGCTTTTATTTATTTATTTTTTTTGTGGGTTTGGGGGTATGGGGAAGGACGTAAATAGGAGTGGAAAAAGAATATACACTGCCACGTTTGAGAGCAGAGGAATGTCTGAGGTAGAGTGTCTCTGAGGAAAGTATAGCATTCGAGGAAAGTAAAGTTCACATTACTTTATAGCAAATGTTACTAAGACAAGATAAAGGCAAACGTAATAAAGATAGTAGACTAAACTGGAATTCTTATATCTTGACTATTGATGGCCAGGCAAGGACCTCCATGACTAGATTATACCATCTCTAAGACTATTGGAGAAAAAGGGTCAAAGACAAAATTAAACCTCATCTGGGCGGGCAAGGTGGCTCATGCCTATAATCCCAGCATTTTGGGAGGCTGAGGAAGGTGGATCGCTTGAGTCCAGGAGTTTGAGACCAGCTAGGCAACATACTTACACCCCATCTCTACAAAAAATAAAAAATTAACACAGGCATGCTGGTGCATGCCTGTGGTCCCACCTACCCTGGATGCTGAGGTAGGAGGATTACTTGACCCCAGGAGGTCAAGGCTGCAGTGAGCTATGATTGTACCACTGCATTCCAGCTTGGACGACAGAGTAAGACTCTGTCTTAACAAATGTATATATAAAGCCTCATCTTTCCAGGTGCCATTAGGAGTCCTCTTTATAATAGGGATTCCACTCTAGAAAACGAATTCAGGTTTCCATGTTTTAGTGCTTGGACAAAGGAAATAGAACTTCCATAGAGGAGAAGAAGGATTTCTCACTCCCATCTCTGACAGTGTATGCCCTAAGTCCCCTGCAACTTAAATGTCTATGGTAATTGTCATGTTTGCAAAGACAATGTGGACTATTCCAGGCTGTGAAACTCAAATTCTTCAAGATTGCTTAGAAAGTTGGGAGGACCCACGAAGCCACTAAGGGAATTGACAGAGTCCACCTTCTGGAAGAACACAGAGGGAGGATGTGAGGAGACAATCTCCCACACTCCACACACTCTGCAAAGCATCAGACTTATTCACAGATCTTTCACGGGTGACCCCTTCCTCCCAGTAATTAATTAACTTCTCTAAATCTGTTTTTCTCATTTGCAAAATGTGGAAAAGTTATTAATAGTTTATGAAGATTATCTTCCTGTGATAATAGGCCCGGCCCAGTATTTGGCATGTAATAAATGCTTAATAAACACAGTTATCACCAAGAATATTTTAAACATTCTCAAGCCCTTTGCCCAAGCGCACAGACATTTTACAAGATTTTAGGTAGAATCACGAGTGTGTGTCTGTGTGCATGTGTGTGTGCACGCCAGCATATTGGAACTAACTGCCCTTCAACTTTATTTTGGGCCTGTCTGGCAGCCAAGAGTCAGACACCAAATGGTACTCATGTCTCTCTCATCCTCACTCCCAGTACTAATTATCTTGCTCTCTAAGAAAATGTCTGCCTGCCCCTGAGCCTTCTTACCTGTCAGGAGTATTGGTGGTGCCTCCAGACCAAGGGACACCTGAGTTGAAAACTGGAAAGGACCTTCCTCACTGTAAGACACTAAACGGTGGGCTGAAGTGCTAAAGTGCTGTTCATGTTTTTAAAGACCGAAAGGGGGCCCTGAGGAACTGCTGCAGCTCTGGGGCAGAGGCAGATGTCCAGTTGGGGTGATGGGCCATGAGCCCAAGAGCCAGGGCTGTGGAGTACAGGCGGAGAGTGTGGCAGGAGATGGGCATGGTCCTGCCCAGAGGCAGGTGCTTTGCTCATTTTGGGGCATCTGTGCATGGTGTGGTGTGGGTGGGGACCAAGTTGAAGGAATCGGCAATAAGCCGTGTCTGTCCGATCTGTTTTCTGCTCTATGTTAGTGCATGGATTAGGAATAGGGAGATTTGGGACAGTGCCCTTGTGCAGCTTGTGGCTGAGGGTTTGAGGAATTTTTCTATCATCCCTTTAAATGAAGATGACAGAGGTCTTCCCAGGGACTTAATAATAGATTCAATTAAGAGTAAGGCCATGTGGCTGCAAATACATTAAAGATTTTTTTTTTCCATTCTGTAGAACAAGTACAGAATGTCTATGTCATTTCAAACCAGGCTCTCTTAATCTGATTATGTCCAGTTGTGATAGAATGGAGTCAGGCTTTGACCTGAGCCCAAAGAAGCTGTCCTGTACCCACCCACCACTGTTCCCAGCTTGCATGGCTGCTCAGGCCCTGGAAGGGTCTTACACTTAGAAAAGCTTTATATCCTTACATGAAGGACAGAACAGGCAGCTATATGGTGAAGAAATGTACAGACACAAATATCCATATATTGAATAATTGGCTGGCTGGGGAGAATGGAACACTCTGTTGCCTCTTACTCACACTTATCTGCTTAAAATGGCTTCTACTGATGGAAGCCCCAGGAAGAAGGCAGCTTGCTTACAAGGATCACCCTGGAGGATGCATGGCTACATGCACACAATTTCGAAACGAGAGTATTTACATTCGGTTGGTGCAGCTGAACAGAGGACAGAACCTCATTTGCTTTCCATTACACTCACACTTGGTGTGTAAGGGTAAAGGACTCAAACTGGTATTTTGCTAAAGGAGTGTATCTGTTAGGACTAGGTTTCCTTGCAAGTAATGGAAACCTGGAAAGTAAACACTTAAATAATACAGACATCCATTTTTCACATGCAAAATTCTGAAGATAGGGAGTCAGGGCTGGTGTGCTGCCTCTGTAATCTCCCAGGATCTGTGCTCCTCTGCACCATCCCTGGTGTGATGCTTGACCTCATGGTCTCAGCCAGAGCCACAGCCATCCCAGAATTCTCCTTTCAAGCAGTACAAAGGGAGGAGGAAAGGTCAAAGAGCATAAGCCAACTGTTTTAGGAAAATTATTGGAAGCTCCCACACAACCCTCCTGCTAGCTGGAGCTTAATCACACGGCTCCATCTACCGGCAAAGGAGGTCGGGCCATGGTCTATTGAAAATCAATGATTCTATGAAGGTGAGAATGGATATTGGCATAGAAAGTTAGCAATCTCTGCCTTGGATCAGGAGAAATCCATTACATTTAATATCTAAAAATCTGATATTCCCAGGAGTAGATGCTTCTCAAATATATATTGTTTTCTCTCTGCCAAGCCGTAACTTAATCTCTTGTGACTAATCCTAGCTTCAAAGATTTGGACAAGCTCTTTAGATTGAATCTAGGGAAAACCTTGGAAATATTCAAGTTTGCTTTGACTTTTCTGTGTTCTCAGTGTTTCTTTTTTGCATTCTACTTGAATTAAAGAAGAATCTTTGCATGATAAGAGTTTACTGATACTGGTGATCGGTCCCACAAAGTATTTCCTCTTCCCTCTGCATTCATTCACTTTGCATAGTCTGTACAGCCCAGTAATGGAAATGTGATCTACAGTCAGAGGACAAGTCAAAAGTTGAAGACTCTTTTAGAAGATCAAATCAAGATCCGATAGGCTCTTTTAGAAACTTGGATTTCCTCTTTGCTGTATCCCTCCCAGGTCAAATCATGATTATCACCGCCTGCACTGGGATCTCTTGGAGGTTAATTAGTTATCTGTATTGCAGCTCCAGTCTTTTATTGAATAGTTTTCTCTCCTTATCTTTGGCATACTACATGAAATTTTAACTAGGCTTTTTAGGGATTTAGAATTTTTTCCCTGTGAAAACTTAATTTTGAATGGTGTCTTTGTGATATTATTCTTGGATAAACTAACACTAAAACTGTGCTTTCAAAAAACAAAGCTTTTCTCAATTATTATTGTCTCATATGTCCCACAATGGCCAGCCAGCTTTTCATTACCATCCAGTGAACTCTGTTCTGTTGATCAGAGTGAAATCAAATAACTGAGGAAGTACGGCATAGCAGTTAGGCACTCAGGCATGGATTCAGAAATACGTGGAATTCAGTAGGGCTCTGGCACCTACTAACAATTTGGTTACTCTCCCTGGCTTTCAGATTTGCACCCGTTAAATGACAACAATACCTACTGTGAGGTGTTGTGAAGAGTTTATGGGACAATGTATGAAAAGCACGTAGCTTACTAAGTGTTCAGTAACTGCAGTGTGTGTGTATGTATCTCAGGCAGAGAAAACCACGCAAATAACAGAAAGCACCTGAACTAAAAAAAGTTTTCAATCAACCTAACTTGTCAATTTCAGATTCTGTTTCCTGTCCATAATATTGCTAGAAATTATCAAAGCAAGGTAGATTTTTAAATAATAATGTATTCTGCTCTCTAAAAGTCCTGTCTTATGTTAATAAAAAAAATGAAAGCCACTAAGAGACTGAAATATTTTTAAAACTACGTTTTCAATACAGACAGTAGCAATTGACTCACAACAAAAAAGATGTGGAATTAAGCACTGTAGTACTTCCTCCCACGTTCCCATTAATTATGTCATTATTTTTCCATTGGCATTCACTTTCATTTCTACAATTTCCATAACTGTTTGGTCCTAATTTTAAATGTTAATGCATTAAAATTTTACAATCAAAGGAGTCTGTTGCCTCCTTTTCCTCCACTGTGATTGGCGCATGCATTCTTGTATATTTCAGAATGTCTGCCCTGTATCTTTCAGGCAACTCGGCTGCCGTAATGTTTTGGGATGACATTTTATTTCTTTCAAATTCTGGTAAACACTGCTCTAATATCATCTAGCATTGAATGTTACCTTGGAGAAGTCTGAGATTATCTTTTATTTATATTATTTTATTTATTTCCGGGGACTTCTCTTTATTTTTTCCCTAGATGCTAGATATTTTTTACTTTATCCTCAATGCTAGATTACTTAGTATGCATATGTTTCAGCACCCATTATTCTGAAACAATTTTTCAAGGAATATAGAGTACTTTTTAGATCTGCAGATGTGGTGATTTCTTAATTTCAAGGCCATTCTTCTGTATTATGTACTTGAATATTTTTCACTGTATTTATTTGGTGCTGAAGCTCTTTGTGTCAGGGATAGCATTTTTTTAAGTTGGATTTGCTCTATATTAATGATTTTCTCCCTAATTGCTTGAGTCATGTTGTGTTGTTTTTCTCGGCACTGACTAACAATATCTCAAATCTCCCCTTTATGCCAGTGTTTGACTTGTCCCTTGTGCCCGTCTTTTATTACTGGCTTCCAATTTGTTAGTCCTAAAATGGTCCCCACTTAGGTCTTGGATCCATAGTCTTACTTCTTCATCTCAGTCTGAAGGTTTATAACTTTTCTTTAAGTCTTGTTTTATATTTACACCCATGTTTTTTGTTACATAATTGTACAGGACAAAGCTCTCATGGACAATGGTCTTAGACCATTTTCACCTTAGCTTTTCTTCCAGATAGGGTTCTTCCTTTGACATTTGAAAGCAGAGTTTCTTTTTTATTTCTTATTTATTCTTTTCCCCCCTTTTCTGGAATATGTTTGTAGAGCTGCCATAGCACTACTTTTCATCTTGGTCATGCTCGGGCAGCTTTTTTTTTTTTTTTTTTTGAGACGGAGTTTCGCTCTGTCGCCCAGGCTGGAGTGCAGTGGCGCGATCTCCACTCACTGCAAGCTCCGCCTCCCGGGTTCACGCCATTCTCCTGCCTCAGCCTCCCGTGTAGCTGGGACTACAGGCACGTGCCACCATGCCCGGCTAATTTTTGTATTTTTAGTAGAGACGGGGTTTCACCGTGTTAGCCAGGATGGTCTCGATCTCCTGACCTCGTGATCCGCCCATCTCAGCCTCCCAAAGTGCTAGGATTACAGGCGTGAGCCACCGCGCCACTCGGGCAGCTTTGTTCAGACCATCTATTTGTTCAGATGGTCTCTTCCTGCTGCATCCAAAAGCTACTCAGAGATGCAGGTGTTTGCCATTCTAATCCACTTTGCCAAAGCCTGAGGCT
The DNA here is from genome assembly GCF_000001405.40 of Homo sapiens. Taxonomy (NCBI): domain Eukaryota; kingdom Metazoa; phylum Chordata; class Mammalia; order Primates; family Hominidae; genus Homo; species Homo sapiens. The sequence continues at coordinate 131,633,088 of NC_000011.10, forward strand.
CCAAAGTGGGGGACACATCAGCTGAGCCTGTTTGAAGCACATCTTAATGACTGGGTTCTGATTTATCATTTTTGTTGTTGTTAAATGCTGACTCCCCAAAATCTAGCATGAACTGGGGAGTATTTCCCCCATTTCATTTTGGAACACTGAAGACCACATCAGTCAGCAGGAAACCAAACCTCTGTCGATGATTTTCCCTTCCTTTTTCACATATTTTACCCATCCCTTATGTCCCATTGACTCTAAATGGAACTTAATGTCTTGTGTACTGAATTGAAAGTGAGGCTCTACAAAATTAATTATCATGGCTTGATTCAGTCTCCAATCTCTGAAACTTAGAGTTTTCTATAAAGTTTTGAAGGTTGTTCTGTCTTCTAGTCTTCAAAGGAGTTTCAGTTTGCTGCATATCCTTTTCACTGTTTGAATCAGGGTTCTGTCTCTCTCTCTCTCTCTCTATCTCTATCTCTCCCTCTCTCTCTCTCTACCTCTCCATCTCTCTCCCTCTCTCACTCCCTCCCTCTCTCACTCTCTCCCTCTCTCTATCTCTGCCTCTCTCTCCCTCTCTCTCCCTCTCTCTCCCTCTCTCCCTCCCTCTCTCTCTCTCTCCCTCCCTCTCTCCTTCTCTCCCTCCCTCTCTCTCTCTCTCTCTCCCTCCCTCTCTCTCCCTCCCTCTCTCTCCCTCTCTCTCTCTCTCTCTCTCTCACACACACACACACACAGCCATACAATTTAGAAGAGCAAACAGCTGGACATAAAACCTATTTTGGTCTTCTTAATGAATCAGAACTCCTACCACAGAGAGTGATTTCTGAATCAAATTTTATAGGGAGGGGTTCTGTTTCTCATGGTATATTACGCTCAGACAATGCATATTAGGGCAGAGAGAGAAAATGAGACAGCCCAAAATCATGAATATCCAAAGCAGCCCAACTCTATCTCTTCAAGGCTATGTTGAACCAAAACCCCCTTGTGAGCTGTTCTGAGTTGCAGATCTGTTTGCACATGAGCTTGGAGCATACTGGGTAAACAGGAGTGGTTGGTAAATTCTATTTCACTTCACCAGTGAGCTGAAAAAGCATTGGGTAATATGTTATGAGTTGTAGATCTGTTTGATTGCATTGTTGCAAAGTGGGAATTGTTTTGCAACATAGATTCTTAATCACGGAGGCATCTATGATTGAATGCGTCGAAAATTGGCTGAAATTGAAAGTTAACTATACTGCAGACGGCTTATTCTGGTGTATAATTGAAAATAAATTCTAATAACTCTTCTTGAAAGAGCTGCTCAGAGGAAATTTCAAGCCCCCTGGAAAAAAAAAAAAAGTGCTTTCTCAAAGAGACTGTCTCTCTGCATAATACAGTAATGAAAATAAAGCTCTCTTCTAAGCCTAAACTAGCTTCTCCATGACGCTAATGCACTGACCAAAATATGTCGATGTTGAACGCTTGCAGACTTATTTTGTAATGTGCCTCCCAAGCCTTTATGCTGGAGAGGCCTTATCATTTCTCTTTGAAGTAACTTTAGGATGATTTTATACAAGGACAACCCACTAGAAAAAAGAAAAAAGAGTGAGCTTCTTTAATCAAACAGTCTTTAGTTTGAATTCTTGCTCCAGTCTTTGTGAACTTTGTGACTTCAGCAATATTTTTGTTGTTGTTGTTTCTGAGCTTCTGTTTCTGTCTTTGTAAAATGGGTTTAATAATATAATTTAATTTCCTCTGTTTTGCATACTTGTAAATATTACAAATAATATATTTACATGAATAGTACTTTGTATATAATTGGTATTCAACACCTTGTAGGAGTTAGATTTGGATATGATACGTGTATATATACAGAAGCTGCATATTCATTTCAATATCATTCACATATGCATATTCTTGCTTAGATTTAGTCTTGCAACAAATAATGACCTTTTGGTCAACAACAAGCCGCATATTCCACGGTGATTTCCTAGGATTATAAAAGAGCTGAAAACTTGCTATTGCCTAGTGCTGTTGTAACCATCGTAACGTCATAGTGCAATGCATTACTTACGTATTTGTCCTGATGCTACTGTAAACATTTCTCCCTAGAGACTGACTGCTACCTCTAGGTGAAAATGAGACTTTTTAAAAGAGTGACACCTTCTCAAGAAGAGCCTTAGGCAGGTCCTTCAGGAGGGATTCCAGAATAAGGCATTGCTATCACAGGAGATGACATCTCCTGCGTGTTACTGCCCCTGAAAACCTTCCAGTGGGATGAGACGTGGAGGAGGCAGACAGTGATATTGATGATCCTGACCCCATGTAGGTCTCAGCTAATGTGTGTGTTTGTGTCTTAGTTTTTAACAAAACAGTTTTAAAAGTAAAACACAAAGAAAATTTAAAAATAGAAAAAAACTTACAGAATAAGGATATAAAGAAAGATAATGTTTTTGTACAACTGTATGACGTGTGTACTAAGTACTAATATTACTATAAAAGAGTTTAAAAGTTTAAAAAATAAAAAAGCTTGTCAAGTAAAAAAGTTGTAATACAAGTTGAGCTAAAGTTAATTTATTATTGAATAAAGACTTTTTTATTAATTTAGTGTATTTAATTTTTATTAATTTAGTGTATTTATTAATTTAGTGTATCCCAAGTGTACAGTGTTTATAATGTGTACAGTAATGTCCTAGGCCTTCATATTCCCTCGCCTCTTCTCACTGACTCACCCAGAGGAACTTCCAGTCCTGCAAACTCCATTCATAGTAAGTGCCCTATACAGGGGCACTAGTTTTTCTTTTATACTCTATTTTTACTGTACCTTTCCTCTGTTTTGTTATATTTAGATACATGAATATTTGCCATTATGTTACAATTATCTGTAGTATTTAGTACCGTCACATGCTGCACAGGTCTGTGGCTTAGGACCCCTACGCTCCACGGTCTACCATCGAGGTTCGTGTAAGTGCTCTATGATGTTCATACAATGGGGAGATGGCCATAGGATGCATTTGTTAGAATGTATTCTGTGGTTAAGTGACAAGAGGCTGTATTTAAGCCCCTAACCTCCTCCATTTCTGCACGCCTATGGGCAACAATTGAGTAGGAGAATCAGAAGGAGACACAGAGCCCCACCACGGAGGACTGAACACTCCAGTCTCGGATGCAGAAAAACTAGAGTTCCGAATCTGGCTCAAGGTTAACCTCTCTACGGCTACATTTTTTCCGTCTGTACAACTGAAGTAACAGCTTTATATATAGCTGTCTCTTGGTATCTGCAGCAGATTCGTTCCAGGACCCCCACAAATACCAAAATTCAAGGCTACTCAGGCCCAGCGTTCCTCCCTGCGGAACCCTCGGAAACCAAATGAGCTCTCCCTATCCACAGGCGTGGCATCCTGAAAACACCTTGCTTTCCATCCATGGTTGGTCGAATCCTGAGTTCGGGAGCTGTGGACACGGAGGGTCAACTGAACTCCAGTGCACTGCGTTGTAACATAAAACGATGCAGACTGCCTGGCATCTGTGAAGTTCTTTTGAAACGTGTGCTTGCAGTCGCCCCTGCAGACGCAGCGGCTGCGCTGTTTGTGCGCTGCTCCAGAGCCCACGGAAGGAGAATGGGCTTCAGAACGAAACAGATCTGGACTCCTCCCGACTCTTCCTCTAACAGGCTATGAAACCTTGAGCAAGTGACTGTATGTCTGTGAGGCCACATTCCCACGTAAAATAGAGATTATAACACCTTTCAGTGGAAGGAGGAAGCTTTATTGAGATGGCGAACACCATGGGCACTAACCATGTTAGCTTTCTCCTTAACTCCTCTCCGCTTGTTGTCAGCCTAGTTTTGAGCAGCAGTGGACTTTAGTGTTGCTTTTTTCATGGTGGCTTCCGCTCAGGAATGGCTAGATAGATTGTCATCTTTGAGATGAGGAAGAACCCAGATTGCCCTTAAAGCTGGTTCTTTCTGTGTCCAGAGAAGTCCCCTGTTTCCCTCTTGTCTTCTAAATGAAACATCTGCTTCTTAGTCCAAGTCAGCAGATGCCAACCTGGGTACACAAGCTGTCTACTCCATTTCCCGGTCAGCTCCAACAATGCTGTGCTCACTTCCCTTCCAAAAATAAGTCCAGTGAAGTCTGCGATGCATAGCCAGGACATCCATCCTCGGCTGGCTATGGTGAATGTGGCCCCTGAGCTCGTCTTCTCCTTGGAAGGCCAGAGTCACCCTCTGTAGAGAAAGCAACTAAATCACAAGAAAAGAGACACTCCAGGTGCCAGGGCAGTACTCTTTAAGGAATGTTTGTGCATATTGAGGGTGATTTGGAAGTGCTCTGCATACAACCACATCACATCTCCCTCCCTTGTTCTCAAACTGGGTTCAAGGCCCACCCACCTGTATTCGTAGGTCTTTTCCAGATGGCCCACTGTCTAGATCATACTGCCTAGGTGTGCACTACTTTTAACACGCCAGGTGCTCTCTACTTGTAATAATCCTGTCTCTTCTGCTTGTGAGTGAAGCCTGGCCTACCCCCAAGGCTGATAAGTGGCAACTATATATCTGACCTCCTCATACCATTATTGAGGGTAGTAATTATCTGCTCATCTCTGCTCCCGTTCCTCACCACCAACCGTCTTTCCAGTTCCTGTGGTGCCCAAGCCAAAAGAACAAAACCACACCAATCTTAAGTAGATATTTTGCATGAAATTTGATCTACTGAAAGCCAGGCTGGCTCATCAACCTGGTGGTGCACAAGAGAAGGTATCTCGCAGAGATGTTACAAGGATTAGACATTAATTAAAGTTCTTGGGATAAATGTGCTCTCAACAATGGTAGAATTTTCTATTTGCTTTGCAGACTCTGATTCTAGTCTCTTCCTATAAATCAGTTTCTCTGTGGACTGATGACTAACAAAGCAAAATATCCTCCATAGCCCCATGTCCTCAGTAGCCGTATTTAACCAGGTCACATGGCTACACCAAGCGTAACACAAGCCTTAATGTTGTGACCACAGTTATTTTAGGAGCTCCTTTAGTTTGACAAATCCCAGTTCTTCTGCAGCATAACCTTTTCTGGGATGAAGAGCATAGTAGTTACCAATCACAGGAAAAATGTACCTTATTGATAAGGTTAGGAGCATTATTTTCATATAAGAGAGGGCAGTCTATAGACAGTTTTTTAAATTTAAGTTTAAAAAACTTTTAAAAACTTAATTTGAAAACATGCTAACAAGGAGGCAGGGTGTGGTGGCTCATGTCTGTAATCCCAGCACTTTGGGAGGCCGAGACGGGCAGATCACCTGAGGTCAGGAGTTCAAGACCAGCCTGGCCAACATGCTGAAACCCTGTCTCTACAAAAACACAAAAATTAGCCGGGCATGATGGCGGGTGCCTGTAATCCCAGCTACTGGGGAGGTTGAGGCAGCAGAATCGCCTGAACCCAGGAGGCGGAGGTTGTGGTGAGCTGAGATTGCACCATTGCATTCCAGCCTAGGTGACACAGCGAGACTCCTTCAAAAAAAAAAAAAAAAAAAAAAAAAGATGCCTAATAGGTAAATCACATAAAGAAAACTTTTCTGGAATTGCTCTGATAAAATGAAATGGGCTGGCTTCAAGTCATACCATTATGACATCCCATTTCTACCCCCTTCTAAGGATAACGATAGCATTCTGAAAACCTAGATTTTAGTCCCAGACTTTGCCACTAAATAGCCAGGAAATCTTGGACAATCTGTTTGGTCTCAGGTATTTTTGGTTTGTTTTGTTTTTTTAATTTCTAAAATAGAAACAGTATACTTCTCCCTGTACACCATATGAAAAAAAAAAAGTTTAAATTTAGAATAATAACAACAACAATAATAGCTTAGACTCATTAAGTGCTTACAGGTATTCTTCTGAAAAACTTTGTATAAATAAACCAATTCAATCTTCACAGCACCTTCATCGGCCAGCTGCTACTATTATACTCATTTGATATATGAGAATACTGAGACACAGAGAGGTCAAGTAACTTGCCTAAAGTCACACAGCTGTTGAGTGTCAAAGCTGAGAGTTCAAACCTGGCCACGTGAGCTCACACTGGTACAACTATCTCATATTGCCTTTGTAACAAATAAGACAGTGGTAGTCACAGCAGTGTGTATTCTAGAATGTTAAGACGTCTTTTAGCATAGAAATAATTGTAGACATACCATTTGGAATGGAAAGTGATACTACTACTTTGGATCTGTTTTTTGTTTGTTTTTCTTTCGGTTTGGGGATTTACTAAGAAGTTGTTGACTGTGCCTTCCTCTCTTTGCTGATAGCATTTATTTTCCAGAGAAAATGGCAATTTCTCAGATAAGAATTTGATAGTTGAAATGGAAGTGCCACTTTCAATAAAGAAATCTTAGAAAACTAAAAAAATTACACGTGCTGTCTTTGATATCACACCACAGACATCCTACCTCGTAGGTCAGATATAGTTCTGCATAGTTGGGAACTGCAAGACCTAACTATTTTCTGTTTAACTAAGGGGTAGAAGAATCTCTTTCTGAAGCACAACCGTTGCCTCTGCCCCACCATGCAAAGACCTCTCGGGCCCTGTCTTGGGAGAGGCTGGTAACCTTTCAAAAAGTGAGTGGCCCTGGCCCGGCGCGGTGGCTCACGCCTGTAATCCCAGCACTTTGGGAGGCCGAGGCAGGCAGATCACAAGGTCAGGAGTTCGAGACCAGCCTGGCCAACATGGTGAAACCCCATCTTTACTAAAAATACAAAAATTAGCCGGGTGTGGTGGCGGGCGCCTGTAGTCCCAGCTACTTGAGAGGCTGAGGCAGGAGAATCACTTGAACCCGGGAGGCGGAGGTTGCAGTGAGCCAAGATCACACCACTGCACTCCAGCCTGGGTGACAGAGCGAGACTCCGTGTCAAAAAATAAAAATAAAAATAAATAATAAAATAAAAATAAATAAATAAAAAAAAAGTGAATGGCCCAATTTCTCTTCTGGTTCTATTGAGCTAGGAAGACATGGGGGCGTCCATCCCGGAGGAGGATGGTGGCAGAGAAGCTCCAATTCTGAGAACGTCTTTTTGTTTTCTTTCTTCTGTGATCTTGTGCTGGTTCTGTAACCTCCTTGCAGCTGGGAAGAATATAATCTTCAAAGGGTTTCCTTAAGCCTAAGCAAAGGATGAGACCAAACCGGAGGAAACAGTACTTCCTGATGCTGGAAGGATAAATATGTGCAACCTGTTCTTATGAGAATAAGACAAAGACTAAGAGCAAAAATGGGTTCAATAAAGGTTGAGATGCATATATCCTGAAAAAGATTATTCACAAAGGAAGACGCAGCCTTTGTTCGTTCTTACCTGTGGAAAGTAAAGCCCAGGGAGGACTCATTCCTCCCGTCAGAGGCTTCCTGCAGGCTCTCATCAGCCGTATTTTGGTGTTGCCTGAACCATGAGATTGACCTAATTTGCCATCTTTTTTTCTTGCTAATGAGGCTGGCTCTACCCTACTGCTTAGAGAAAGATCTTGTGTTACTTTCCTAGTGAAATGTGAGACTTCGAGTCCAGAGGCCACACTTGCAGGATGTCTCACTCCACAGGTGATTTCAATTAAGTGCTGTGCCTGCTAAGCCAGTCACCTCACCCTTCTTAATATGGGAATTACCCATGAAGGGTTTAAAAAACCTGTAGATGTCCTTGTCCCACCCACTCTAAAACTACTGAAGCAGAATCTCAAGGAGGGACCTAAACATTAAAATTGTTTAAAATCTTCCTAGGCCATTTGGGATAAGAATGACTGTATCTGGCGCACAGTGTCTCCACATCAATAACTAAAGGCAACTGATCTCTGTCTTTTCTTTGCTCACCAGGCTACAGAATTAAGCAAGTTACTCGTATTTTCCAGACAGGAATATCAGCACTCTATATTTGCTGTCAGTACCAATACAAAGGGAATCATAGGGATGACATTGCTCAAGAGACCCGAAATTGGTCTACACAAGCAACCGCATATTCTTAGGAGCAGTCTCTCTGTGCTCATTTGCTACTTGAGGACAATTAATGGCTGTCGACACTGACACTGGTTCCTAATCCCTCTGGTCAGACTTGCATTCTTTACCCAGGTCAATGTGATAATGACAACGATCATGTTTTCCTTGTTCACTACACTGAGGAGTTCTGTAAAATGGCAGCATGACTTTGAATGGGAAGTCGGAGTTTTACTTGATATTCTGCTGCTGTGATCTTAGAAAGCCACTAATGTTGCTCAGCCTTAGTTTTCATTGTTTTGTTTTCTCATTGATAAAAAGAGGGGAGTTAGACTACATTGGTGGTTTTCAAAATCTGTTTCACATTGGAACACTTTAAAATAGACCAGACTGAAGGGATCGTCTCTGGTTGCAGCAGATCTTAGGTGGTAGAGCTGCGACCTACCTCTACGAAGCCTCTCTGAGACCTCCATGGATCCCTGGTCTGGTGAGGTCAAATGAAGAGAAAGTCTGAAGGTCATTCACTGATACCTGTCTGGGGTTTTGAACTGTCAGCCTGCCTGCCATTTCCAAGGGGGGGAAGCTATGGGTTGCCAACCTCTTTTCTTTGAGAGGAAAAGACTAGATAATTGGCAGTGGCCACAAAAGGTGCACTACTTGCAAATTAATTCAGTGGATAACTGAGTTTCTTTAAAGCTCTAATAGTCTAGATTTTTTTTTTTTTTTTTTGATGGAGTCTCCCTCTGTTCCCAGGCTGGAGTGCAGTAGCATGATCTCGGCTCACTGCAACCTCCAACTCCCGGGTTCAAGTGATTCTCCTGCTTCAGCCTCCCCAGTAGCTGGGACTACGGGCACATGCCACCACGCTCAGTTAATTTTTGTATTTTTAGTAGAGATGGGGTTTCACCATGTTGGCGAGGATGGTCTCGATCTCCTGACCTCATGATCCACCTGCCTTGGCCTCCCTAAGTGCTAGGATTACAGGCATGAGCCACTGTGCCCGGCCCCAATATTCTAGATTTTAAGACATCCAATCTTTAAAATGACTCTTTAGTGAAGAGGAGAACAAAAGGAGATACTCACTAAAATTCTGGTATTGTTTAGGAGGGCCATTTCCTGACACACGGCAGCCACTTGGAGCAGTTGGTCAGGCTGGATAAACAGTGCTAAGCAGGCAACATGGAGCCTCACAGACATGAAGGTGTGGGAAGCAAGCTCTAGCTTGTGAAGACCACCAGGAACCTGACTCCCAGGCATCCTCCACACATTAGAGAGCCAAAGCAGTGTGAAGTTGAGTCAGTACTTCATTCTGGAAACTGGAGAGAGATCCAGATAGTTGCTTGTCAAAAGAATAACAATTTGGGGAAGTGGGAGAAGCAACTTTGAAACAGATGAAACAATATAAAACTCCAATAAACTCAGGTATCACTCTGGAATTAATGGAGGACAAATTGGATTTGCTGTTAAGTTAAACACCCATCTGCTCACATCCCTGGAGCCCATAAATTTGTGGGGCTGATTAGTTGTTGCCATCCTTAGAGCAGCAGGGGGCTAACCACGTTCCCTGGAGTTTTGCTACAGACATGGCCCATTCCCTGATGCCTGTCCAGACACCCAAGCTACAGGGGAAGGAAAAGAAATGGAGTTGACCCAACCTGGGGTCATCCAAAAAGTTTGGAGGACATAGTGACACCTCATCTTGACCTTTCTGAAAGATGGTGTTGAGGAATCTCCAAACCAATTTAAATTTCACCCACTATTTTTTTCATTACTACAACAAACATTGCTTTTTCTCATCTATCCAATTATCGTCCTGTCTTTTCCTCAGTCCCCCTCTGCTACCTGACTTGACTCCTCTAACAGCAATTCTCTCTGTACCCAAAACGTGAAGCCTTAATATAGGCTCTTCAGCATAATCGCTTCTTAATTAAGTCAGGCTGTGGCTCCGTTTCCCAGAATCGTTTCCAGAGGGCTTAATTTTACTTCTGCTCAGAATTAATATTTTACATTCTACACTTAAAGGAAAAAGAATGAAAAAAAAAAAAAACTCAGAAGGGGGGAATGAGAAAATGGTTGAGGGGAAAAGAGAGATCATATTTCAATTCCTATTACAGAAGCATCCGAGCCCCTGTCGTTATTTTCAGCAAGTAACACTCAATTTGTGACATTCACTTTAGCAAAACAAAGCATGGATCAAGGTAATTAAATGGCACAGCTCAGAGTGAGTTAAGGGATGATTCTATCAACAGGAGACTCCTGCTGATATGACACTTTCCATGTGCCTGCTTTGTTCTGGCCGTGCCAGTCGTGGCCCAGAGGGCTGCAGGAAGCCTGCTGACGGTTCCAGCACATGGTGTACCCGGGTGTGCGCGGAGCGGCCCAGCATGAGCACTGTGTACTCGTCATGTCAGTAGAAGACCCAGGGGATGAAGGCTGTTAGTGACATTAAGGCCCCTTCCTCAAGAGCTGGCCAACTCTTGTCCTTTGCCCTGGATCAGTAGTCCCTAGGGCTCTACTCAACTCTCTCTCTCTCTCTCGTGTCGCACAGAAGCTTATGGATACATTTATCCTGAGATTGCAGTGAGCCTAATCATCTAGAGGGGAGTGCAGGACCCCTAGTCCTACTGAACCACCCTGTCTATCATCCATTCAACTGTTTAAAAAATACGCATTGACTTCCTACTATGTGCTGTCTGGTTGCTGGAGCTACAATAACACAGTGCAGAAACGTGTGCTGCCATTACCGAGCCTGCAGATCTGTGGGTCACAGAATACAGGGCCAGGCTGAGAGTTCACTTGGACAAACTCAGTACTGTGAGAGAGTTGTAAAAGAAGACTGAGAGGTCTCCAGACCTGAGACCAGAGGTGTGTCCTGAGGGTACACACTACCACAACATGGGTTCTGCTTTGGATTTTGGCAATATGGGCATAATCATGTATGCACAGACATTCTGAACTTCTTTGATCATCATTCATTATAAGACGACTTCTGCAGAATCTCCCAGGAGAATACAGAGTGGTGTCAGGGGAATGGATTCAGAGGCCATGGAGCTGGAACTCTGGTGGTATGGCTTCGGCTGAATGTGCAGGAGGTTGCATGCGACCTCCCCAAGAGATTCCTTCCCTTCATCTTCAGCTTCCCTTCCTCTCTGCCTCCTAGCTGAGACTGATACTGTCATTAGGGGAGGAGCAAAGAGCCAAGGGAGGTTGAAGATGCTCAGAGGGACCCATTAGACTGAGTATCTATTTACCTACTCATGTGGAATACATGAATATATGTGATTATACCTAAATAGGTGATCATACCTGAACTTCTCGCTCCAGTGGCTGTGGTGGGATGTTGACAAGCTGCATTCTAGGACCTGTGACTGGGGCTGCCCCAGGGAGTTTCCCATTCTGTTCTTTTGATTATTAGCCAGATAGTCCCATCAGTCCAGTCTCATGGCCAGCAAACCGTACCAACGAAGGGGGACTCCTACTACTTAGCCTGCTCTTGCTGAGGGACTGCCCAAATTCATTACTCGCCACAGAAGTTTATTTTCTAAACACCACATAAGATAACAATGCGGTATACCAGCAGGAATTGAGAAATCCTTTCATATTTGGATTTTCTTCATCATGGTATATAACTCTTAGAAACATACTTATGATAAGGGGCTTAGGTTGTAGAATTTCTCAATTTCCTTCCCTAAATATTTTATCAACATGATGGATTTTTCTTAAGAAGATTGAAAGATACATTTTTTTTTTCCTTTGGCCAATTTGGGTAAGAAGGGAATTTAGTTTTGTTTTGTTTTGTTTTGTTTTCCTAAAAAAAGAATTTAGGATGCTGGCAGTGAGCCCATGTATGTTCAGGTGTTTTATAATGGGAATTAGAACCTCTTCATTTATCTCATTTTGTTACACTTGCTACCAAACTCCATCAAGTGCTCCTTCGACAACAGGCAGGCTCACAGCATTGCCAAGCGTGTACTCTGTCAAGCTTCTCTGGGTCCACGTTTGGGGATCCTTGTACCCTGTGTCCACATAAAAATGTACCACAGATTGAGCCCTGACCAGACTCTAGGCCCTATTTTAAGTGCATTATTTATAGTAAGTATACCTCACAATAATCACATGAGGTCAATAATATTATTAACCATTTCATAGCTGGAAAATTGAGGCATAGAGAAGTAAAGTAACCACCCCAAGGTGATAAGAAAGCAGCAGGGTTTAGTTTTAATGACAAGGCCCTGCACTTGAAAATCGTATGAGGCTGCTGCTTTGTGAGGCCTTCCCAGTAAGAGGGGTCTCCTTTCTCCTCGCCGTGCGTTTGCTCTTCCCAGCCTTTCTGCAATGCTCCCAGTCCTCCTGAGTCAGACACCAGTGGCTGGAGAGCAAGCAGAGGCAGCAGACGTGCTGGGGAAAGGAGTGAAAGGGCATTGCCTTTCAGTCACGTCAGACACCTTCAGACCTACATGCTAAATAGGGAAAGGAGTTCTGGGTATTAAACCAAACCACAGGAAATCTATTCTTTCCCCTCAAGTGAAATCTTACTCTTTTACAGACACTAGTTTTAAAAATTCACCTCTTCTATGAAGCCTTCATCTAAATATGTACTTTGGCATTCTTCTAGTTCTTACGCCTTTATGTCCATTTTTTTTTACTTATTAGTACATTGTATCTTTTAAAATATGTGTGTATATATGTTTTTTGTTTTCTCCATTTGATTGGAAGTTCTCCTTCGGAGTGTCAAATGTTCTGCCTTTCATACTTCTTTCAATGGGATCTTGGATAGGTCTGTGGACATGGGGTTATATGGAGCATATGGAATGGATGCACAGCTAATGTTGGGGTTGAATCAAGATCCTAACATCACTCTATACCATTAGAAACGTTCATGACGTTTGGCTTTTGCAAAGTGAGATACCAAGGCTTTGCGTCTAACCAAGAATCTAAAGTATGAAACCTAATATCAACCTTAGCTATAGACATGTCAGTACGGAGCACAGGTGTGAAAGATTTAGAAGCTGCATGTATGTGCATGGTTAGCACAGAGATATTGATAAGAGGATAAGCCCACTTCCTGGGCAGGCTTCAAGGGCAAATACGCAATTGATCATCTAAGACGGGGTCAGCAAACTGTGCCCATGGGCCCGATCTAACCCATTGCTTCTTTTCATAAATAAAGTGTCATAAAAACACAGCCACACTCATTCTTTCTCATATGGTCTGTGGTTGCTATCATGAGACAACAGCAGAGCTGAATAGTTGAATCAGAGAATAGAGGGCCTGCTAGCCTGAAGATCTACTACCTGGCCCTTTTCTCTATTTCTATTTTTGATGCGTATAAAGAAAAAAGTGGATCCTTTCTTCTAAACTCACAAAGAAAAAAAATTCTACAAGTCCAGCTTTCTTCCCCAGGCCCTAACCCATTTCTTTTCTCTTCTACTAGTATCAGTTTGAAAAGGAGATCCCCTGAACTTCTGTTTCTGCAAGTCAATTATTTCTTTAGAATATTCAGTGCCATGGTCTATTTATATGCAGATTTTAGATGAAGTTCCAGATTTTTTATTGTGCTCTACCTTTTTAGAGGACATTTTAGCATACGTGGTACTAAAATTTTTTGTGTATTGTCTCACACTTAGAATCGTTTTTTTTCAAATCTTGCAATTTAGCCAGGAACTTCTAGGGAGATGTAATAACCGTCAGATACCTCCAACAGAAACGTATAGTGGGGAACTGAGAAAAACATGAACTCTAAAGGGGGTTTCAATCTCAGCCTTATCAACATTTGGAGTTTTGTTCCGATTTTAACCTACTATTCCCAGTGAGACATATTTCCCAGTTTTCAGTATTGATTTTTATATTATAGAAGACATACAAGGACGTGCTCACTATTTCTCGGCCACATTCACACTATAAAGTGCTTGCTAAAGAGCATGTAAAGCTCTAGGTCCAGAATTAAATGTGGACAGAACACGCAAAAGGGGAGATTAAAATAATGCACTGCCTTGCAGGGCTCCCAGGCCTTCGGCTGTGTGTGAAAAGTTTACTCTTCGTACCCTGGCTGTGCCACCTGATAACTCGGGGTGAACTCATCTTAAATCCCACACGTTTTCTCAGTGGGATTATATCCCCCACCAACTTTCCTTAACTAAAGGTCAAGGGGATCGTGGAGAGGGGTCCAGAAATAGCAAGGCAAGTCCTGGAGACTCAGAAGCATTTGATGCAGGGAAAATATGAACCCTGAGCAAAGAAAGAAATTCAGGGCTTACTTCAGACTTGAAAGTCGCACCATCAAGGATTTTTGTAGCTGCGCGGATGGACATCAATAGGTGATTAAAGAGTGCCAGGCATGGAACAGTGCATCTCTAACCTTCGGGGATGGCTTCGCAATGGGCAGCCCTACACTGCCTGTGGGCTACTCTGTAAAATATTGTGGAGGGAGGTCATCTGGGGAGTCCCTTAGCAAACAAGGGGACCCTGAAGAAGGGCAAGTGATGAGAAAAACTTGGGGGTGTGTGATCTGACATACAATCAGCTGCACAGCCTGCCAGGTAATTTTTATATTTTATCTCATTTGATTCTTGCCAAAGTTGTGAATTCTATAAATCATGTCCATTTAATAAACGAGAGAATTAAGCCTTAGCAGAGTTAAACAATTTTTCCAAAATTATATGATTTGTAAATGATGGAACTGGGGTATAAATTCATATGTGATTTTTATATTATACCATGCTGGGTCAAAATATTACTGCCCCAGGATTTTTCAGGGACCCAAAACAGAAGAAAAAGTTAATGTATGTGTACTTTATAGATATGTTTTATTTAACTATCCAGAAAGGATAGTCTTTTTGTTAACTTTTGTTTTGGGTTAAGGGGTACATGTGCAGGTTTGTTAATAGGTAAACTCGTGTCATGGGGGTTTGTTGGACAGATTATTTTGTTACCTAGGTGACAAAGCCTAGTACCCAATAGTTATTTTCTTCTGCTCCTCTTTCTCCTCTCACCCTCTATCTCCTGATAGGTCCCAGTGTCTGTGGTTCCCTTCTTTGTGTCCATGTGTTCTCATCACTTAGCTCCCACTTATAAGTGAGAGCATGTGGTATTTGGCTGTCTGTTCCTGCATTAGTTTGCTAAGGGTGATGGCCTCCAGCTCCATCCATGTTGCCGCAAAGGATGGGATTTTGTTCTTTTTTATGGCTGCATAGTGTTCCATTGTGTGGATGTACCATGTTTTCTTTATCCAGTCCACCATTGATTCCATGTCTTTGCTATTGTGAGTCATGCTGGAGTGAACATGCATGTGAATATGTCTTTATGATAGAATGATTTATATTCCTCTGGGTATGTATATATACCCAACAGTGGGTTTGCTGGGTCAAATGGTAGTTTTGTTTTCAGCTCTTTGAGGAATCACCACACTGTTTTTCACAATGTTTGAACTAATTTACACTCCCACCAATAGTGTATAAGTGTTCCATTTTCTCCCCAACCTCACCAGCATTTATTTTTTGAATTTTAATAGTAGCCATTCTGACTGGAATGAGATGGTATCTCATTGTGCTTTAGAAAAGATGATTTCAATTCTTAATTTAGGTAATTTCCTTTAGGCATATATTGTGTCCTGCGACAAGTACAGCTTCAGACCTAGTTTCTTTTGATAACATATATTCTTACAAACCCCATTTCTTTGTAATACCAACATGCCTTTATTATTCATACTATGAAAAAAGAGGCAGTAACAGTGAGTAGATGGTGGGATGTAAACTATCGTCACACTCTTGTTTCCTCACTATACTTACTAAAGGGTGGGAAGATATAGAATCTATCATATATTGCATATTTCTCTGGGAGGCCTTTTTAAGGAATATTCAGGAACTACTTTTGGTGGCACATCCAGAAAGAAGACATAGAAGAATAAAAACCACCCAGGGTTACATGAATTCAAAGGTAAAGTAAGGACTTGACAAAGAGCAAAGCATGAGCCTGAGAAAAAAGCAGGCCCCCTGAGGTCCGCTGATGTTGTGCCCGTGTTTTCCCTCTCATCGAGCACTATGACAGGTGCACGGGGGAAGGTTGGTCACTCGAACAACTACGTTTGTTCAGATAATCACTGGCACTCAAGCCATAACATTGTAGTGGAAGATGGCAAGCTCAGATCAAGTGACACCTTTCCCCAGATCCTAAGCAATAATGATAGTAATTGAAACACTGTGCGTGGCACCCATGAATGGTAAACAGGGGATTTACTTACATCAATTAAATCTAAAAGTTATTGCTGTGATAATCATATCCAAGTAAAGGGTAGAAAGGGCACCATGGTGCGTCCAGAAACAGAATGCAGTGTCTGTTTATGCATATCGGGGAGGGAGTATGGGAATAAGTATTGAACGGGATAAAAAGTGGTCTGAACGTTCCCAAGGCCTTTCCATCACCTGGAGAGAGCTCCATTATTCATAATCCTAAAATGCATGGGCTGATAATTGCCTTAATCACCAGAGAAACATGGCTGAGATGTACTGAAATAAGCCATAAAACTCATTACAAGATAACAAGATTCTATCTATTCTCCGAGGTCACACTAGAGTTCCATAAGGTCAAGGAGTTAATCGCCTCGTTCAGCAGAAACACCGTAGATAGTAAACTCTGTATGTGTGTGTTTGGGTGGGGGGAGGCGGTGCATGTAGTTTAAGCCTTTCTAGGTTCTCAGCCAATACACATGGTGACCAGATAGGTGAAAGGGAAGTGGATGATAGTCCATGAATAACCAATAATTTTGTGCTTTTTTTCTTCTTAACTTTTGGGGTGAACACTTCTTGTATGCTAGTAATTGTTAAATAGGCTTGTTTTGCAAAGTTAGCATTTCCCAGACTGACCCCCTTCCCACCTTACGATCTATTCAATTCTAATGACCTGCCCATAGGTCAACAGTGGTGCCAGGGCAGTTGCTCTAGACTTTGAGCAGACACGCTTCTTTCCCGTTTATCTGATGAAGCACACCACAGACAGTTACACAGGAAGGAAGCAGGAAGCTTAGGCATCACCCTTCTCACTGCCTCTGGTTTCTGGAGGAGGGAACAAGGCCCAGGGAGGTGTAATGCTGTCTAACACCACACAGACTATTCATGGTATAGCAGGACCGTGAGGCAGTCCCAGGTACCATTTCACTAAGACACCATGTTCTCTGATAGGCAACGCTGCAAGCAAATGTTCTTTCTTGAAGATGAAATCTCTGGATTCCCCAGTGATTCTAAAAGCAATGCCCTCCTAAATTTGGGGGGTACATCCTCACAGGTGTGCTAGTCAAGAGGTGTGGACTTAGAGTAACATTGGTTCACTGTGGCGAGGGGCCATTGCTTCTCCTACATTACTGACCTCATTGGATGATGTTGGTCTGCATTTGTCTTCTCTTCTCTGCCAGACCTCTGCTCCAACATGGCTCCTCATTCTTTGCCAGAGCTTTTGAAAGTTCGGTCCAGCCTTCAGATTTTGACTTCCCTGGTTTCTCAGTAAAGACTATTTTACTATGAAAAACAGTAAAAATAACAAGACTGCTGAGAAGATGTTTGTGAAGATAAAATGAGATTATGTGCCTGGCTCACAGAAAGTTCTCAATAAACAGCCATCATCATCATCACCATCATCATCTATGTAAGAAGGGCTCTGTTGAGGGATATAGGAACAGTAATTTACTATTTCCCATTATTACTATGCCCTCCCCAGAGGAAATGAGCTTAAACTACATCAGAAAAAAAAATACCAAATTTAAAAAAATTACTGGGAAATTCTGTTATATAATTTCAAGAAAATATCGAGAAATCTCTTGGCCTCCTTCTTCTTCAGGGGTTGGTAAATGAGTCATTGTTTGGAGACTGGGTGACTCCAGTGCTAGCTCCACATGTTTTCTAGGCATTTAGATACTATTAATCTTCAATAAGTTACATATAAATTTAATCTATTGACCAAGATTTCTAGTTTTTTGCTCAGTTCTTTGTTTTTGGTGCATGTGGTTTACAAATATGTAGATACAAAAGACCAAGAATGCTGTCATTTTTAGTTGAGTGAACAACAAACCTTAGATCCTGACTTTTGCAACTACCGACTGTTCTCAAAAGTATTTTTTTAAGTTTGCTTCATAAAAACAATTTAAATTAAGCTCCTCAAATATGCATTTGTTGAGGATTTACTTTGACAGATACTGTGTAGGTGGTTATTGCAGAATTAATCCTCAGTAAATGTTTTTAATAATCATTTGATTTTCATTTAACACACAGTAAGCACCACATAAATTCTAGTTGTGTATAGCTAGTCAAAAAACAAGTTGAATAAATACCAACCAGTTATTAAAAACATTTATGGAGAATTAGCTACTCATTGTTATCTGCATTCAAATCAATTGCACATCTTCCATAGTAAACTTTAAGCAAGATTCCCTGGCAGATGCTGTGGAATAAAGCTCATTCACCAGCACTGGTAGGATTCTTGGTCATACATTCAGCTCGGGACTAGTGCATTTAAATCTTTGTCTCCTAGGCTGGGGATAAAAAGATCATAAAGGCCGGGCACAGTGTCTCACGCCTGTAATCCCAGCATTTTGAGAGACCGAGGCAGGTGGATCATGAGGTCAAGAGATAGAGACCATCCTGGCGAACATGGTGAAACCCTGTTTTTTACTAAAAATACAAAAATTAGCTGGGCATGGTGGCCCACTCCTGTACTCCCAGCTACTTGGGAGGCTGAGGCAGGAGAATCGCTTGAACGCAGGAGGCGGAGGCTGCAGTGAGCTGAGATCACGCCACTACGCTACAGTCTGGAAACAATGTGAGACTCCGTCCCCGCCCCCCCGACCCAAAAAAAGAAAAAAAAAAATATCATAAAAAGCAAAATGGATTCCACTCCGGGGGAAGCTTAGGTCAGCTCATCCGCTGTGCTGTTCTGAGGTCAGGGAACAGATAGATACAGGCCCAAACAGCCTGAGGTGGCCCCCAGCAGAGCTGCTCTTTGTCCTGGAAGCAGACACTCTCCCATCAGAGAATGCTTAGAATACAGACACAGGATTGGGAGCATGTCACTCGAGTTCTAGACTTATGAGTTAACTTGTGACCTTAAGAAAATGACAGCCTTCCCAATATCCATGTCCTCTTGTGTAAAATGGAAATGTAAAAGAAGATTGGCCCCATAAGGCTTCTGTGAGGATCAAAGAGCCTAAGAATGGAGGTAAATGGCTATACACATGGAGCAGCACCTGAATAGAGACATGATCATTGTGTTTTTTTTCTATGAGAAAAGGCTTGAGATAACACTCACAGTTCCTGATGAGGCTTCCTTGGCAACCAGATATATTTACTGGGAAAATCGATGTACTCAGATTTCCAGTGGCCACAAACCAGAACAAAGCAAGGTGGTGCCCCAGGCCTTGTTCCCTTGGCCTGGGGCCCAGACCCAAGGTCATGCACAGCTGACAGAAGAACGAGAGGCTTCAGGGACCCAGGCTCATCTCCTGACATGCTCAACTCACTCTCACAGTTGATGTTTTTGGAAGTTTGCTGCTCAGCACTGTTGTCAAATACTTAGCA
Organism: Homo sapiens; assembly: GCF_000001405.40. Lineage (NCBI taxonomy): Eukaryota > Metazoa > Chordata > Mammalia > Primates > Hominidae > Homo > Homo sapiens. The sequence goes on from NC_000011.10 coordinate 131,652,580, forward strand.
GCCCAACTTGGGGCAAGACAGCAGCTGGCTCACCCTACCTGTGGACAGAGGCAGAGCGGGTTCTGGAGTGGGCAGGGGGATTTGTCAGCATCTGGATTGTGACTGGTCCAGCATGCCCTCCCCTGCCTGTTGGGCAGCGGGACTTAGACCTGCTTTCTCAATGAAAACAAGCAAACCAATGAGAATAGACACAATAGGATTGCTCCACGCTGCAGCAGGGCAGGAATCTGAGCAAGTCGGGGCACTCCAGACCCTCCGATCAGGAAGTACGCCCTGGCACAGGTGGCCATGGGTGGCGGTCACTCCGCCTTCAGAAAGCCACTTGGAATGCAACCTGCACAATTGCCTTCATCCTTTACCGCCCTGCCAGATTGTTGACGGAAGCAACCTTATTACCAGTCTCCAAAACATCTCCATAAAACCCACCGATCACAGACTGTAGCATGATTACAGCCACCCCGCTATTTGACGAGCTGCTGCAATTTCTCCCAGGGACTGGATGATGCAGGCTTCCTTCACCAGGTTCCCATGGGTGTGCCCTGTGTGGACCACAGAGCCAGCTCCAGAAAGGAGAAGGCAGGAAAGAAGAGACTTCGGTCCCTGCTTTGTAGTCTTCCTTTCTTAGGGACCTTTTTTTTGAGGTTATCTTTTTTTTTTCTTCCTTTGTTCTTTCAGTCTCACATGTCTCCCTCCACCTGCTGTCTCTCTTAGCCTTCAGAAACAGATGTGGCCCACTGGAAAGACAACCTCACAGTCTTCCTTGCTTCCAGGGGAGGACGGACATCAGCCGGAGGGCCCTGGGGGAGGGGAAGGCTCAGGCCTCGCTGCCTGCAGCTGCGGAAGAAATCTCTGATGAATTTCAAAACCTGCCTTTGCTTTGGATGTGATCAACAGTCACAGTGGGGCCTCTGTGTTTTACTATATGAACAAGCTCAGAGGGAGGGAGAAATGCAGCCCCCTGGCTCTGCCTCTCCCCTGCCACAGTGGCTGAGTGGAGGGCAATCCTCATCTGTGCAAACTGTGAGATGTTTAGCAGGATGCAAAGCTGGAGCCAGCTTGCTGCTCCTACCCGAGTGCCTGGAGCTGAGAGTGTAGGGCACCCCTGCGTGTGGGGTCCTGGTGGAGCTTCCAGTATGAGAACACAGGTGGGGACCACACCAAAGCACCCCCTCAGAGGGCTCCCCCCGCGGCCTCTTTTCTAGGCTGTCCTTTGGAGGAGTGGCTTTCGGAATGACCAGGATACATTGGTGATAATTGGGCTGGAAATTATATAATTTCATGCAAGTAAAATTCCTGTCTCAGGTTGTTACAGCCTCCAGCCTTATCAGGAAGGTGGGCAGGTGCTCATTGAAGGTGTTTGCTCAATATTTGTCGATTAAGCTCAACAATACCTTCTTCTCCATCAGCAACAATGTGACTGTCTCTTGGCTTCCCTGCCCGTCAGATGGAGAGTTCATTCATTGATTAATTCAACAGACAGCTCTCATGTGTACAGGACTGTAACCGGTGATGGTGGGAGAAGACAACCTTGTTCCTGTCCTCAGGAGGAGGTTTGGTGGGATCGTGGGGTTCATTTTTAAAGGCATAAAGTCAGAATCCTCTGTCAGCAGGAGAGGCAGGAAGAAAGGAGGTCGTCTGCCTTTTCTTTCAGTGGTTGAAGCCCCTTTCACCTAAGGCTTCCTTTCCAGGCGCAGCCCTAGAATGTCAAGGAAAAGCCATGTGACCCATCCACCCCCACCGCCAAAGGCAGGGCCGGTGTCCTTCTGTGTGTCCCAGGGAAGCCTGGGAGGAGGTGAGGGGACCTCACGGCCACAAGAACCGCAGTTGTATTGAAAAGCAACTCGTCCAGTCCCGACAGGTTTTTTTTTTCCGGGAGTCTCAGGGTTCCATCTAATGCAGAGCTTCTCAGAGTCCGGTCTCTGCCAATAGCAGTGTCATCACCCAGTCATATAGTTGGGTGTTTGTCCCTTCCAAATCTCATGCTGAAATGTGACCCCCAAGGTTGGAGGTGAGGCCTGGTGGGAGGTGTTGGGTAATGGGAGCGGATTCTTCGTGAGTGGCTTGATGGGGTCCTGGCAGTAATGAGTGAGTTCTGGCTCTGTTAGTTCGCCTGAGATCTGGTTGTTAAAAAGGGCCTGGCACCTCCCACGCTTGCTCTTGTTCCCTCTCTCACCATGTGACACACCCACTCCCCTTGCCTTTTGCCATGAGTGGAAGCTCCCTGAGGCCTCACCAGAAGCTGGCATTGGAGCCACGCTACTTATACAGCCTGCAGAACTGTGAGCCAAATACACCTCTTTTCTTTATAAATTACCCAGTCTCAAGTATTCTTTTATAGCAATGCAAAATGGATTAATCCACCCAGCTACTCAGAAATGAAAAATCTCAGGCCACATGCACATGTACTCAATCGGAAATGCTGGGCCTGGGGCTCGCACCTGTGTTTTACCAACCCCGCCCCCGCCACTCCGCCGGTCCTCGGGCACGCTGTAGCACACTGCTTCCCACATTTGGCTGCATGTTGGAATCACTCAGAGAGTTTTTAGAAACAGGAGTGCAGGGTCCCATTCTCAAGGATTCTGAGGTGATGGGGTTGGGATACGACTTGAGTATGCGGGTTTTTCAAGTCTTCTGAAGTCATTCTTGTGTGCAGACAAAGTTGAGAACTACTGGCTTAGTATCTGAGAGCTTAGCTGTTAAGAAAACAGAGGCTCCCATCCTTACCCTACACCAGAGCTATCCTTTGTGTTTTCTGGAATTCTTAGCAATTTCCAGACACTTGCTCCATCATCCGGGAGAAGATGCTAATTAGTAGCATTTAATCTGGTACCTTCCTCCTTCCTTTTTGGCAACACCTCAGAGAAAAACAGGAAACCTGAAAAAAGGCAAGGTCAGCAACAACCTCCAGGGCTTCCAGAAACACAGAGAAGTCTCTGGCTCGGTTGTTTCTGTGCAGGGGGCTGCTCTCAGCTGCTTTGCTGTAAAAGACACGTATGGGAGGCTGTGGGCTTGGCCTGCTGGTGAGCTGGGACCACAGCCCCTGCCGGGTCCATTCCCCACTCAGAAGTGGTGGAGAAAGGACGGTGGACTGGCAGGGAGGACAATTGAGATCCCCTAGATGTTTAGCACATTGTTCGATCTGACTGTGGAAATTAATAAATATGCTCACTGGAATGAAAAGAAACATCTCCTACCCAGCCAAGCTCTGTGTGAGGCAATGAAGGGAAAGTAAAAGTGCTGCTCAGAGAAATTCTAGTCTCCACTGGAAGACCCAGAGCAGCATAGAAGCAGTGCCTTTCTGAAGTGCTGGGACCAAATCGATTGGCCATCTGGGCACCTGCCCTATCCCACCATTGAACCTGTGCCCTAGGTCCTGGGAGGACCTCCTCCCTCAGCCTGGGAAGGAATGGGAGGGCAGATGAGGGACAGCCTAGACCAGTGGTCAGTTCCCCCTGCTTTTCCTTCATTTCCCTCAAATCCACCAGATCCTCATCTGCCATTTTCCTGGGCCTCAGTACTCCCACCAGCAAAGTGTTAGTGCCAGACCTCACGCTCTAGGGCATAGAGGAGACATGGGTAGGTAAAGGGAGAAGGCTTTGCATTCCAGTAGTGTTTTATGCAAGGAAAGAAAAGACCTCAGGAAAAAAAGTGTAAGAGATTCGTCTCCATACCACCACCATCCCAGTTACGGGGGTGGCTGGAGAAAAGATTTTAAATCCACCCACACAGTCCTTTAAAAAGACTTGCCTAAAAATACTGCACCTCTAGATGACCCCACTTCATTTCCCCACCTAAAAAGACACAGAAGCAACTCTCGCTTTCTTTTCCTTCCTGCGATGCAGCATGGGCTGTGAGGAGGCACTTCTGAATCCAGTGAATAACTGCAGGCATTGGGAACCATCCTCCCAACCACATGGATAGACTTGGGACTTGACATAGGTCCTTGAGAGATGCTAAGGAGAAGGAGTTGGAGGCTTGGCTACCTGTAGCCTGTGTCACAGATATACTGCTGCAGGTCACAGGAGGCAGAGCTCCTGCTGATGGGTTTTCCGGTTCTGGTTTGGACAAAGGAGGAGGGCGGGGCATAAGAGCTGGGGAGGAGGAGGAAGGGGCACTACCTCGTTCTGCCCCTGCGCGCTGAGCTCTGGCTTTTTCACCCTGTTTTTCTTTTCTTGGAGGCCCAGAAGTCTTCAGAGAGGGTGTTTGAGACAGAGCTAGTCTAGGTCCAAGTTTGGAGTAGGTATGCAACTGTCACTATAAACACTTCCCAAGAAGATGACCTACTTCTGCAGAAAGCACTTGAATTGCACGTGGAATCTGCTCTTTTTAAGTTTGACCGAGTCATCTGTGCTCCGTGAGCCACCGTGGTGGTCTGGCGCTGTTGCTCAGCTCTCGGAGGCTGAGGAGTGTCCCTGGCTCTGGAACTGAGGGGGTTAACCAAGTGCTTCTCTGCATTGTTAGCGGGGAGGAAGGCGGGCCTGGAGAAGGTCAAGCCCTTCAGATGAAACCCTCTTTGAGCAGTTGAGCTGTTTCCACTTGTGGTTTTACAATGGCCCTATGAAGACCAGCCCAAAAAAAAAAAAATCATCGAAATGGGTCAGGTGAGGGGACCCTTGAGTGGAGGCCCAGCATCAAGCGCTGGCCCAGTCTGAGAGTTAGCTGCTGTCTAGGGTTCTGAGCCCTTTGGAGAGGAAAGCATCTGAGGCCAGCCTTCGATTTGGGAAAGGTCAGTGGGGAATTCCATGGCAGAAGAACTATGCCGTGCAGGAAGGGAGAAAAACAAGTCAAGCTTTCCCTGGCGTGGAAGAATAAAGGGCAGAGGGTGGACCAGTGTTTTTAATGCCACATGTCAGCAGGTAGCTGCTCGCAAAGGGCCAGCCTCTTCTTCGAAGTTTTTGTTGATGGTCTCCACCAATTCCAGTTTGTTTTTCCTTTGTATTGTTATTAGCACCAAAATAGAAGACACTTCTCCACTGTCTCCTCAGAACACCCCATGCCTACCTCTGTCTTGTCAATAGGATGCTATATTACAGCTCAGCACCTACTTATCTGTGTGCCTTGCCAGGATATAAGAAGGCAGGCATCATATCTCTTATCGCTGGAATCCCAGCACTATCTCAGCATATCACAGTAGTGTGTATAGACCCACAATCTTTTATCTGCAAATTCCACATTCACAAAGGTCTGGAAACCTCGAGCTTTCTTACAACTCATTTTGCAGAAAACCCTGGGCTAGATGTTGTCAGGGTTGCAAAGTCAAAATGTAGGAGCAGAGTGGAAACAGCAGACTCAAATACATGGCAAAACAGAACAGAACCACAGGGCAAGGCAGGCAGCAAGCTGTTGAGTATGAGGGGAAGAGTGAGATGTGAGTGACACATTCTGAAGTGAGCTCTGAAGAGACCTGAGGGGCCAGGTGGCACTTAAGCTGGGTTTCAATTGTAGATAAGGTTTGCAAAGATAAAGGGGTGGGGTGGGGAGATAATCGTGGGACAACATGGTTTTCTATTTCCCTAACTTTTTATGGGCATATTGCTCTCTTTCCATTAAGTTTTCAGTCTCTCCCAGGGCTAGGATCTTAGTTCCATTTCTTCCATTCTGTCCACCGTACACAGAAAATGCAGTCATCTCTCAGAATTCTCCTATTCAATAAGAAATTATTCTGGGACTTACACATAGAATGTGCTTGAGAAGATTTTCTTGAATGAATAAGAACTTAAGGGCCTGTAATTTGTTTTCATTCATAAACTTTATTTTTGGAGCAGTTTTAGGTTCCAGTAAAATAAGGGGAAAATACAGAGCATTCCCATAGACCCCTTTTCCCACTGCCCCAGCCTCCCCAACTGTTAACATTCCACACCCACGTGGTGCAGCTCTTACATTCGTGAACCTACATGGACACGTCACTATGCTGATGCCCGTTTGTCCTCGCATTCTCTCTTATTCAAGAGTAATAGAGGATGCAGACGAGGACGGCATGCCTTGCTCTGATTCAGCGACCTCTCTTTCCTCCCCCGACTTAGAGGTTCCTGGTCTGCGGAGAAACTTGCCCAGATGCAAAGCCACAGAGCAGAGACAGCAGAATCAGAAGCTTTAAAAGGTGTAAGCGGCCGGACGCGGTGGCTCACGCCTGTAATTCCAGCACTTTGGGAGGCCGAGGTGGGCGGATCACCAGAGGTCAGGAGTTAGAGAACAGCCTGGACAGCATGGCAAAACCCTGTCTCTAATAAAAATACAAAAAATTAGCTGGGCATGGTGGCAGGCACCTGTAATCCCAGCTTCTCGGGAGGCTGAGGCACGAGAATCGCTTGAACCAGGGCATCAGAGGTTGGCAGTGAGCTGATATCGCGCCACTGCTCTCCAGCCTGGGTGACAGAGCGAGACTCCAAAAAGAAAAAAACAAATAGATGTAAGCACTGAGAAGGCAGAGAGAGCATCCCTGTGCAATAGAGGAAGACATGTAGGTATAGATACTAAAGATAGAAAAGACCTCTGGTATCAGTTCCCTCCCTCAGGGTCCAGAGCAGGGGAAATATTCAAGGAACTGCTGCCTCTGATGTCTCATTGGCAGACCACAGTCAAAACCACACATTTTTCACCAGCTCCCAGGGCAGCTGAGGCCAAGTGATCTCTTCTCCCATGAGTGTGGCCTCAAGAACAGAGGTACTGACACCACAGACCCTTAAAGTGTTGTGCTCTTTACAGTTTGCAAAGCACATTTAAAGTATTGTTGCAGCCTGACCACATCCTAGTGTGCAGGGTGCTTCGGGGTCCTCCTGTCTCACAGGTGAGAGAGCTGCAGGGAGCAAGGGGATGGCCCTCCATCACACTGGGTGAGGGAGTTGAGCCAGACCCTGTATGCTGAGCCCTCAGCCCAAGCTTTCTATAGGGCATGGTGGCCGGGCCATCGACTTCAAGGTCCTCTGGCCACTGCTTGTGATAATACCAACTCAATTGTATTTAGTTTTACATTCATAATGAGAGAAAAAGTAGTCATCCTTCTGAAGTACGGTGTTTTAGTTTATATATAGCAAGAAACATTTCTGAGTCAAATACCGTTAGGAAAAGTTTCAGCATAGATCTTTACCTCGAACCCTCTCCAAGTCTTTAACATACCAATGTGATCGGGATGCAATATTTGACCGTAATTCCATTTCTGGCAGAGCATCTTGGTTGGAAATCTCTTTGGGGGATGCAGCAACAGAATCGGGGGACACGTGGCTGCTTTTCTCTCCAGGGCTTAGCTCTGAGCTGTCCTCCACGGAGGGTCTCAGAGGAGCTTGGAGGAGGAAAGATGGAAAACTGAAACCTTTAAGAAGAGTCTAAAAGGAAATGAGTTATTCAGGCATAAGAAGAAGAAGACACTGGCAGGACCCTGAAGCCAATTTTCCAATATGTGAGCACGTGAAGGATCCGCTACATAGCGTGGTGGGTGAGGGGCTGTTCTTGCAAGTAGAATGCTCAGAGCCTGGCTTCCTTACAGCCGACAGAACCGAATCAGTCGGCCACAAGGAGCTTGTTGCATGAAGACAGGGAGCCTCTGCGGCCAGGAGCCGGGCAAGGCGGGGACTCAGTATCTCAGGGTTCTCAAAGTGTCCCGTAGGACTCGGGTGGGCCAGTTTGCATCATGTATTGAGGCAGGGGACTGAACACAATGACCCATTCAGGTGGTTGTTGGCCTCAGGGTGCTGCAATAATGAGGTTTTCTGTAGAAGCAGGTCTGAAAGACAGATGCTGCAGGATGAAGAGGGGGATGGAGACCTTGGGTGAATTCATTCACACCCAAACCAGGAGGGCGGAGGGGGTGAGGGTGAGGGAGGGAGAGAGGAGGAAGACTCAGAGCAGAGTCATTTGAAAGAGCCCAGAAGCCACCAGGTGGAAAATCACCCTGCAGGGAGCTGACCTTCCTCCCTCCTCCCGAGAGGCACCAGCCGGCACTGACCCTGGGTCCCATCTCTGTGGCCTGTGAGAAAAGAGGTGAAAAGCGGCTCCTCATGCCTCGAAACCTTGCTGCCCACATCTGAGGGCTGGCCTTGATCTCTGGGTCTGTGCACCCCTCCCCCCTTATTCCTTCCTGACCTTTCATCCATGAAGCGGGGACAGAGGGTGTGGGGCTAGGGTGGTGAAGAGGGACGGAGGAGGCAAAGAAACAAAAGGAAAATCACGAAGGGAGACTGGGCCCTGGGGATAGGCTACTTGCGAACTCCTGAGTTTCATTAAATATAGAAAGGTAGGATGAAAAAATAATATTCACTCATTGTTACAGTTTCAAAGTCGGAAGCTGGCCTTGATTTCAAAGAACTTGTGTGTAATGTGATGCATGGCTTTCTCTTCTGTCTCTTTTTATAGGTAAGTGACATTTCATTCTGCTCATCCCCAAGGCAAAGTTGGATGTTTTTAAAGTGGAAAAAAAAATGAACGGAAAAAGAAACGGGGAAGGTGGGAAGAGGTGGAAATGGAAGGGCACAGGTAGGTGCATACTCAATTCTTCATCTTTTGCACAGACTGGTGGGGGGGTCTTCCCCCTAGATTCGGTGGAGATTCCTTTCCTCAGGACGGAAGGTCCAGGTGGTGACTGTGGCTTTTGAGATGATGATGGCTTTGTTCTTTGAAAGGGGTTTGTCCTGTGACACAATGGCCAGCACTTTTGCTAGAGGTCTTTCCTGGGTGAAGTTCCAAGTCAGAAAGGATTTGAGGTTTTGCACGCTAATGCTATGTGTCAGCTACATTGCTGTGAGTAGGGCCTAGAAGAAGTAGGGAAAAGTGTTCTGGAGAGGCAGGATTAAAACATTCCAGGAAGGAAAATCAAGAACAAGGAAGAACGTCATTCCTGACATGATCAGGCAGTAAATGGCATGGAAATTTCTGGACAGAAAGGAGGTTTGTGGGAAAACTGAGATCTTGTATATTAAGAAATTTTTACTTAATTTTAAGGTCTATCCAACTACTGTCAATGTATTTTTCTATTCCTGCCTGGTCGCCGAGGCTGAAACATCACTTACTTTCTCTTTAGCATGAGGCAGGGTAGATTTCTAAAAGAGCTGGGGGCTGGTTTGTCATTGTAGTCACTGTACCTTTTCTTGGTCAGTCAAGAAAGGCGTTTTGAAGTTCCAGGCTAGTTTTGGCTTTCTACTGCTCTTAAATATAATTGCTTTCCCCTAAGAGTAGAGTGAAAATGCTCTTTTTTTTCCCCCTGTGAGTTGCCAACAATCCACTGATATAATTGACTGATGGCTCTGTCCCACACGTATTTGTTATTTTCTTTGCGAGAGAGAGAAACGTAAAACATTCTATTTAACAGTCTATAAATCCAGACTGGAAACATAAAACTCAATTCAATAAAAATATTGAACATACTCAGTCTTATCTTAAGTCCAATTAAAGGAGATTAACAGAATGAAGTGGGGGCTGGGTTAACAGAAAGGGGAAAAAGACAAAAACCATTTCAACTTCAACACTATGTCTAAGGTCTCAGAGGAAATGCTCTCACAAACACGAGAGAAATCTATAGGCTTCGGAAATCTTTGAAAGAGACAAAAATACTAGAACTTGTTTTTGAAAGTGTATAATTCTATTTCTATCATTTGAATACACAGATGTTCTTTAAATCTTCTTTCTCTTGCTTTTAACAAAGAGGGAGGATAAAAGAAAACTCAAAACCCAGCTTCCCCCTCTAAATTAGGAAAAGTGTCACCATATGTTGAAAATCACAAAGCATCTTTTTTCATGATGCCATGTCCCCGTCCTGTGGTCTTTCATTTCCTCCGAAGACACTGTGACTCATGTCACATTTTCACGGCTGCAGACACACCTGGGAATTCTTCTTGGTATTTGTCCTGCATAATGGGGAAAATTAAGCTGCCACGTATCTGGCTCCTAGCCCGAGCAAGGGCTTTACACCACCCCCACCCTGCTTTGAAAGGGAAGAAAATCTGAAACCAGGAAGCACTCCTAGAAACTGCCCAACATGGTAATAAGAAGGTGGGTTCTCAGCCACGTGGCTTCCTGCAGTCCCTCTGCCACAGCCAAGGCCTGTGGATCAAGGTTGATGGAGTCACTGATTTAGCGGGAACATTCGTGTGTTTTTGAGCGTGTTCACAGAAGAAGGGCTGCAACATAATCGCTTCTTGGTCTTGAGGTCCTCCCTTTTCTGCATAGTGTAGGCATTGCATGGATGAAAAGAGACGGCCTTCCCTCCTGGCTCCCTGTGGACCTCAGAACTTGCCTTGTCAGCTTGGGGCGGGGAACGCTGAGGGGCCCAGCTTATTGTGATGGATGAAGGCAGTCCCTCAGAATTTCCCATTAATAAGGAGGTAATAGAGTATATGTTAATTTTACAAGAACATGTTCCACAGAGCATATAAGTACATGGGATATATTTGAATAGTTTTAATATGCTATGATTCTCAGAACCATGGGAATGAAATTCTATTTGCACCTACCTAATAAACAACACATTCCCCAGCACTACTGGGCCCTGGTGGAATAAGAGGACAAAGGTGTAGTGTTTACAGGCACCCCTCCCCCAACACACAAACACTGGCACGTGCTCACACACACATTCATATTCCTACATGCATACTCACAGAGCTGTGATTTTGCCTTTGAAAGGTGACAAGGAGCAAAGACATTTTTCAGAACCAGATCTGGCCTCTCAGTGTTGTTTCCCAAGATATATGTGTCCTGTTTCATCACCCTCATCGCTCACCAAACGCCTGGCCCCGTCGCTGTGTTTAACTTCACAGCTTGGCTGCCGAATGCGCCAGGCTCTTCATTTGCTTGGAATCCATCGATCTGACCATCTCCCTAGCGCCAGTGCCCCAGGTTGGCACGTTAATCATCTTGGGTCCAGCATTGATCTCTCTCACTCCATTCCTCTCTCTGCCTCTGGTCCTGAGGCCTTCCTTGACCGCTCTGTCTGTCTGCAGCACGGGCCAGGCCACTGAGAGGGTTTCTGCTTCTCAGCTCTGGTTCTCTAGCTTTGAGGGAGCAGCAGTGAGTGCGAGGGGGACTGTGTGCACCGCTTCTAGCAGAGATGGAAACAAAGAACTCTGTGGTCTTCAACAGCAAGTCACGCCCTTGGCAGCCCTGGCAAAGCCGGCTGTGAGGAATGCTGGGGTTCCCACTCTCTCTTTGGACAAGGATGTTTTTGTTACCTTTTTTTTCTTTTTTAGCTAAGGCTTACCAAGTGTCAGACGTCTTACTAAACAATACACACACACACACAGAGATTTCTTATTTTCAAAGTAATTCTATGATACTGGTTTTATCATCCTCTTCTTACAAACAAGAAAATCCAGGCTTAAAGCGATGAGATAATTTGCCCAAGGTCACATGACCTTGAAGCTTGAATTAGAGCTTGTGTCTATCTGACTACAGTATTTGTGCACTTAACTGCTTTGGGATGAAAATTCTATCCCAAAAGAGCAGAAGGTGACAGGAAAGGAAAGTCTTTGGACCACCCTGGGCTCGCTCCCCTCTAGCTGTGCAGAGCAACCAAATTCTTGACTGCTAGGCCTCTCTGGACAGGGCTCCAGTGCAGCCAGCACAGGGAGGTGACAAAGAGCTGGGCCCAGATTTAGAAGAACCCAGTTTGAGGCCTGCATCTGTTACCAATTTGCTGTGTGCCCTTGGGCAATTTATTAAGTTCTCTGGACCTCTCAACATGGGACAGAAGCATGGTAGTGTAATACTGCATAAGCTTAACCAGAGACCAAGTACCTATAAAAGGATGCTCTGACAATATTTAATAATTATCATTACTTGAAAAATCCCCTCTCATCATAGCCTTCCAAATTTCTGAATCTAGTTCTTGATTTTTCTAATGAGGTCTAGAATTTTTGCCAATACAAGGAACAGTTTTTGGCAGCTTTCTGCATCTTCACTTCCTTTCAATACCAAGCCTAGTGGAGAGCAAAATTAGCCTGCCAATCACTCAGAGGCGTATGGGCCCCAGGAAATTAAATTCCCCCTCTCTCCAGCTGTCTATCCCCAGTGCCAGGTACCAAATGAACACGCGCCATACGTTGCGGTTCCCGTGTCTTCTTCCTATATGTTAATTTGATAATTTTAGTAAAATAAACCAAGTAGATTTGAGATGTAGTTCATTATCCCCAAAGTCAAGAGATTATAGAATGCCGTGAGTCAGAAGGGGGCCACTGCTCTCTTCCATTGTTTTTTTTTTTTTTTTTTTTTTTTTTAGATTTTAATATTTCCTTTTTCTGGCAACATTTAAAAGCCACTCTTTTACATCTGTTGCCATCCTTTAATGACAGACAGAATAAAGGGATGATTGTTACTCAGAGAAGCTAAACAAAGGGACTAGGATCACTTGGCACATCCTCGTGTGTGGCTGACTTTGAACTCCTGGAGCCCATATCCTCCGCGCTTCTGCTGGGCACCAGAGGCAGAACCCGCGGAACTGCTTCCTGCAGCCACGGATGGGTACCCACCAAGCCTTAGGGAGAACCGTGCTCTAAATGCCATCTGTGTTTGCCAGTGGCATTCACGCGTCCCCTCCTGTCCTGCAGGGAAATTAAGAAGGGATCTCCTCTCAAGGCTGACACCTGGAGACAGCGGCTTCCTCTTACACATCCTTCCCACGCCTCATCTCTGGAGTGAGTTATCTTAATCCTGACATTTGCCCAGCCATTCAGAATGTAAACCTTTTTGTACTACAGGGTAACAAATATTTTGGGTAAACAGTGATTGCATTGATGTGGAAAGCCAAGTAGAGATCCCTGGCAAGTGAAGGATAAAGAGCTTTGTCCATACTGTTTGGTCACTGTTATGAGCTGAACAGGGTCTTTCCAAAATTTACATGTTGAAGTCCTGACCTCCAGTAATTCAGAAGGTGACTGTATTGGGAGATACTTAAAGAGGTGATTAGGGCAAAAAGAGGTCATATGGCTAGGACCGAATCCAATATGACGAATGTCCTTATAGAAAGCGATTGGGACACAGCACACAGGGAGGAGAGTTCATGTGAAGACACAGAGACGCCTAAGAGGAAACTGACACTGCTGACACATTGATCTTGAACTTCTAACCTGCAGAGTGTGAGGAAATAAATTTCTGTTGTCTAAGCTACCCAGTCTATGGTATTTTATTATGGCAGCTCTAGCAAACTAACAAAGTCACAAAATGCATTCATCTAGACTCAGTCCCAATGTCTGGGAACAAGCAGAACTGGCCGTGGGCCACGGAAAAGAGGCAGGCTTGTGAGACAAATTCCCACCCCACCGTATTTTGCCTGACTTTTGTCAAGTTCCCATGTTGATCCCCAGTTTCCTTATCTGTACAATGGGTATGATATATATCTCATTGCTGTTTTGAAAATTAACTGAGATAAGGAATAATAAATATTTTAAGACACGCATTGCTCAGTATCCAGTTTTGCTGACTCAATTTCTCTTAATGGTCATAGGAATAAAAATACACAGTAAATGTGATGTTGTAATGTGTGGTATATATTAGGCTACATATTCACTAAAGTCACTGCATCAGTCTGTTGTATTTTTTTCTTCTGGTAATTGGAGACAACACATCTATTCTGAGGATTCAGTGCCCAGGGCTATTGAATTCCTCAACCCATGGTCAAGTGACTGAGTGAGGCCAGCCCTTCACCCTTCACCCTGCCTATCACTCCTTTGCTCTCAGCCTTACTGCTGTGGGAGAAGCAGTGCCATAGAATATGGCTCATGAGATGTCCACACCCTGCCCCTGGCCCTGCCTCCTGTCTTATAATTGCCAGAGGGTTCCTTTATTTCAATGAAACTTACAGTTACAAACAGCTACGGCCAGACTCATGGATTCACTTCTAATGACTAGCTTCACTGAGGAGGAGATCATTGACCATAATATACCACAAATGCACAAGGCGTTGCGAGGGCAGGAGACCACCTGACTGCCCCCAGCCTGGCCTACCCCATTGGAGCCATGCCTACAACCACCCCTCACAGAACAGAGGATCCCAGAATGAAGAGACATACTCGACAAACACATGCATTTCTGACATCCTGAGATGGGAGATGCCTATGATCTCTGGGCAGAGGTTGACTGAAAGCCAAGTAGCCCTGGATGACGTTCCCAGAGTCCCCGACCCACAACAGAGTCCTCAGCCTCTCTGGTCCACAAATGGATAAGATCAGTGCAACAGAGACGTCCAGGGTCCTGGTGAAGGACTCACAAAGCTGCACTCACTAAAGGCTGATGACACACTACCATTCCAGTGGGATGACTTACCAGGGAGGGGGGCATTCTTTTCCAGCTGTGGCTGGGATCAACATTTCTGGAAGCTGAGCTATTGATCTGTGGCTGGGTGAGTAAAGATCCAGGTCTCACATCTGAGCGATTCAGCCCCATGCACTGGGGTCTGGGGCCGTGCAGTGTTCTCTAAGGAACTGACTTGGAGGCCTAGGGGACCCTAGCAGAAGGGGAGTGCTTTGGCTGGCCCTTTGCTCCATTGCCATGGCCTTGGTCCTCACAATTATGCTGCAAGGAAGTAAGTGGGTTTCAGGGCTGGCTTATTGGATCTTGCCATCCCACCTCTGTGCCCTACCTGGGATTCCTTCATTTAAAAGCTTCTTTTTCCCTTAAAGAGGAGGACCCCAATTCTGGGCAGAATCTACAAAGCCTGTGGATCCTGGCCTCTGCTTGCTCTCCAACTCTGCTCTTCCGTGGGTTGTTCTTGTTCCAGCCACCTGGGCTTTGCCGTAGTCCTTACTCCTTCTGCCTAGAAAGCACTTCTGATCCCTCTGTTACTGGGTGACCCTCAGTACCTTTAATAATTCAACCGAAGACCCTTCCTTGGGAAAGCCTTCCTGATCCCCAGGCTGGGTGCTCACCCTTGAATCCACCCTTTTTCTTCTATGCATTTGTTTTGCTTTGTATGTAAGCATTCATTGGTGCTCTGATTCCAGCTCCCCAGTAGGGGAGCAGCCCCATGACAGCAGGTGATACACCTTCTTTTGCCCCCAGTGAGCTTCCCAGAACCTGGAACCATGTGAGTACTAATCCTGGTCATGGAGGGACCCAGAGAAAGTTTCCTGCCTTACAGCAGTGAGCAAGTGTTCAGCCTCGTGCTTCTCTCAACAGGAATAGCCCAGGAGTGAAACGTCCCTGAGCAGACCTTGAGACTTTGAGGGCTTCTCACCCTGATCTCACCTTAGAACCACCCAGGAACTTTTAAACCCATGGACGCCCTCCCCACATGCCTGAGATTCCAACTCAAACAGCCTGGGTGGGCCTGGGCATCCGCAGGTGTCTCCTCTGTGCTACCAGGATTGGGACCCACTGCCTGGAGACACCCTCTCTTCCCACTGCTGGGTTTTGATTAGTTGAACTCCAAGGGCACCTCTCTTCCAAGTTAATAGTCATAGTTGCCACACACTGTGCAATCCACTTCTGGTGCCTTGTGCGGCTTGAGCTTCATAATGATGAGAGATAGCTTTTGTCGTTCCTATTTTGTGGTTGAGAAGCTGCAGCCAGGGGAGGTTAAGTATCTTGAACAAGGCCTTGCAACTCACATGAGAAGAAGCAGGATTTGAACTCATGCCAATGGAACACGAGCCTGGGCTGTTAGTGTCTATATTATATCACCTTACGTTCTTGTGGCAGAGGACTTTGGAAGCACTTTGTGTCATGCATATATGTGTGCATGTATATCTACCTCTATCTATCTATCTATCTATCTATCTATCTATCTATCTATCTGTAAATAAATATCTTCTACAGCACTTACTATCAGCAATGCCTGGATATTCCTAAGTATTCCCAGGTAGTACTACTAATTGTGAGTGGAGATTTTAAAAAAAAAACAAAAACCTTGATTATATGTTACAAGTCCCTAAGTGGTTGGGCTGTGGCCCCTCACCTGCTTGTAGCTTTGAGTGGAGAAAGGACAGCACCCGCGTGGCCACCGAAACAAGCTCTCCTGGCCCTTTCCCCTGTTGGATAGGAACAAGGGGCAGGATATAATGAGTCTAAAGCAGAGACTTAAGATGACTCCTTTCTTCCCCCTTCTAATCCCCAATTTCAGACAAACATGGGGCCCAGAAGTGAGTGAGGGAATTAAATTAAGGAACACAATTTCTCCCTGTCATTGAACTCTGACTAATGAGTCTATTTCTGGGTAATAAGAAGGAGCAGGAAGTGACAAGGCAGTGTAATGAATTAGTGGCCCAGAACCTCGTTAGTCAGAATAATCTTTCCACGAAAGGTAAATGATGCAAACGTTAATTATAAAGCCAGGGTGGAAATGCATCCCATTATTTGGCTTCCTAAGAAATCTATCCCAGTTATTATGAGGCATTTCAAACAACAATAACAATAATAATAAAGTAAGGCTCAGTGAGAACTTTAGTCCTTGGGGAGACTTGTTCCACTGGTGGTGGCCGGTAGGGGGAGCACAGCTTTCTGCTTTCAAAAGGGGCTGGAGCTTGGGGAAGCCACCACGCCCCTCTGGGTTTTGTACCAGGAAAGATGCGGTAGAGTCCCTGTCCCGGTTTCTCTGTGCCCCGTAGGGTTGGTCATTCAGGGCTGTCCACTCTAGTCATCCAGATCCAGATGAGGTGAGGAGTTTAACTAGAAGTTTCCCCCATCCAAAGAGAGAGAGAGAGAGAGAGAACAAGGCTGAGGATTTTGCAGGAACTCTGGCATGTTAAAGGGGGTCAGAGATCAAAACCATGGAGGAAATAGAGGTTAAGAGGTCAGGCTCTGGAATCAGCCAAGCTGAAACCCTGGCTCGCCATGATTGGAAAAGTCCCGTAGCCTGGTTTCCTGCTCTGAGAACTGGTGGCTACCAGAAGCATCTGTTTAAGGAGGTTTTTATGAGCATTAAGTGAGGTGTGCATGTGAGATACTTAGCATCCATTAAGTGCTTCATAGATGCCACTGATAATGTGTTTTGAATGCAGAGTGAAGGTTGTAGAGCTGGAAGGCATGTTAGGGGCATGTTAGGGGCATTGAAGGAGGCTACCTTGTTGCACAGGTGAGGGGGGAGGGCAACGTCACTCAGCAATTCAGCGGTGGGGGCACCGAGGCTTCCGGCTCCAGGCTCAGGTGAGGCTCTGTCATCTCAGGCTGTTTGTCATAGCCTGGGTTTTTGGCCACAGCATAGAAGGGAGGCAGCAGGGGAAAGACAGGAAGCTAAATCAGTCTCAAGAAATGCAGTTGCTGAGACCATTCCTCAGGAGAGCAAATAAACCATATTAAAACTATAAAAAAGTATCCTGCAGCTCCGTGGTAATAAACTTGTCTGTGACTTCACGGCTTAGAAGGTCCCAGCTTCTGAAGATTTGAGCGATCTCTTGCCCACAAAGGGGCCGGATAAGTCATTTGCTGAAGGGAGAGAAGTTTGAAGCAAAGATGCTGGCACTCTCCGGAGCCTCCTTCCAGGTGGCGTCCGATTGAAGCGGAGGCTGGGAGCTGCTTTTGTTTTGAAGGCTTTGTCGGTGTCTGACTGGCAACTCTTGGTAATGAGAGAAGAAAAAACAATTAATTGGAAATGAATTTTAATTGTCTCTGACTCCTCATTTGTAGGCTATTAAAATGAGTTCCCTATTAAAATATCACATCAGCTGCCTCACTCCAAGATAACAGAAGGCGCCCCAAAAGCTCTTCTCCTGCCACGTCCAGTACCCACTCCACCCTCATCCCCTTTGGCAAAAAGTGGGCTCGGAGGTTTTAAGCAAAATGAACCAAAGAAGGAAAAATAGAAAAAAATTGCTCTCAAATCTTTCCTTTCTTTCTTTCTTTCTTTCTCTCCCTCTCTCTCTTACTTTCTTCCTTCCTTCCTTCCTTTCTTTCTTTTTCTTTCTTTCTTCTTTCTTTCTTATACATTTATTTATTTTTGCTAAGGAATACATGTCTGCATTCATGTAGTATTCTGTGGCTGTCTGTTTCGTTCCCATTTCTGAGTGCTGTGGCAACGTGGGTTGGAAAGCAGGGCTCCGCTGGAGCTGGGCCTTCTCTGCCAGCTGCTCAGTCTCTACCTGGAATGGAGGCTGTAGTGGGGCTGGGGTGAGGCCAAGGGAAATGGACATGTGGTACTGGGGCAGGAGACAAGGCTAGGAGGCCTGACAGTCGAGGGCTAGGACTACTGTGTCCCCTTCTCCTCCCTGCCTCACTTGCTCCTCTACCCCACTGGGTCAGGGAGGTTCATTTCTCGACATGGATGCTGTCCGAGAGGCGTAGCCCTTCTTGGAGGCCTCAGATCTAGGCTAAAACCACCTCTGATGCTGCCCGGCGAGGTGGCTGTGTGATCAGAGCCAGCCCCTTCCCCTCTGCTCCCTCTGTGAGCAATCCTAGGTATTCACTCAGTAGATGCTAAAGGCCTGGGGCCCAGGAGGCTCCCAGGGAATGTGGCCCCCAGCCCCTTCTGAAAACAGACGTCCTTCCCTCTGCTTCACTGTCGGCAGAGGCTCCCCTCTTCCTCCTGCTCTGTCCTTTCTCACTCCATCCTCCCTTCTCTGTTTCCTGCCCCCATCATCTTTCTTCTGACCCTTCCTCCCAGCCCTGTTTCTCTCCAAGCAAAAGCGCCAGGAATTCCTGCCCAACAGGCTCTGCTCAAGAACTTGCTAGGAGGCTTTTGGCCCTTGCCTTTCTAGGTAAGGTCTGCACTCAGCAACTTTATGGATGCCAGGAGGGAGCCATTCCTATCTCCCCCAGGCAGAGGCATAATCAGCCTAGAAGGCCAGTTCCACCCCTAGCCTCCCTGGGGCGCTATCTGGCGTCTATACTCATCCTCCCCGCCCAACCCCATCACTGCACACTTTATTTATGGAAGGCCAGGGACACCTGTCTCCATCCTTCTACATTACCTGCATATTCACAGGATCCACCACAGCTCCTGCTTGCCTGGGCCTTGTCAGCTCTGGGCTTGCAGAGAATGTGGTTGAATCAGTGTTAGCCCTGGGCTGGCAGGGCCTACCGGTGGCTGCCCTCACCCTCCTCTGGGCTGGCAGGGCCTACCGGTGGCTACCCTCACCCTCCTCTGGAGCCCACGCTGGGCTGGGCATATCTGCGACTTGGCAGAGGTGGCAAATGGCTCAGAGCCCTGTGAGAACCACCAAGACTCAGCGGTATAGGAAGCAGACGCCTTGGGCTAATTCACAGGCCACTGGAGAGTGACAAAGCGCCCATCGACAGTGGTCGATCAAAGAAGTGGCATCGAAAGTGGCAAAGAGAAGTGTGTCCCCTGAGCTCGCCTCAGAGTAATGACCTGGACGCTGGTGGAGGCAATGATATTTGTTGGTTTGAGAGCTAAGGCCCCTCTGAAGGCCAAGTCAAGGTTTGGGGGCTCCAAACCTTGGACAGCAGCAGGTGCTTGGCTCCGGGACAAAGAGGCCTCTGTCCCGGCTCCACCTGAGAGCACTGGGCTGGCTGTTGGCTGCCCCCTGGCTGCACCGCCTCTCAGCAGCAGATGGCCAGGGGCCCGCAGCGTGCCCTCGCTGTGTTCCTCTCCACGTGCACATCCCTTTCTCTTTGTCTTTCTACACAAATTGCCTGTTTCTGGAGTGGACTCGGCTTTCCACACCATGGGTCCGGGAGGACCGGCCTTCTTGGCAGGTGTGGGAGGAACAAGCCTGCGTGGTGCTGTCCCTCCCTCCCCACCAGGAGCAGAGCAGCAAGGGGACCCTTGAACATTTCCCCTCTGGGGAGGCCTCAAAGCATAGCACAGGCCCGAATGCATTGAGGGTTCAGGCAGGGATGCCAGCGAGCCAGGCTTCTGGGGCCAGGTGAAGGCAGAGGCGGCGACTTGAGCAAATGAGCCTCCTTTGAAGGCACCGCACCCCCACCGAGGACACTGGGCCTGCTTCACGAAGCACGCGTGGGCGTGTTTGGATGAGCGCTGTGTGGCTCTGCAGCTCCGAGGAAACCGCATCAGACACCCCGACAGCTGGAGTGCCTCACCCTTTCAGTCTCCCTGGGATTCCAGGCCATTCTCTTCGGCCTGGCCTCTTCCTATTCACCCATCAGACCAGGCTCAAACCCACCTTGTCTTGTTCATGGTGCTGTAGGCTGGCATTAATTGTATGACAGAATGTTTATTCATATATATATTTTCCCACTAGACTCTGGTGCCAATAGGAAAGGGACACAATTCTACTTAGGTATTTAGTACTCCTGGTACATAGTAGGGCCTCTGTGGAGGCTTATGGAATTCAAATACCCATGGACCAGCCTTGGCCTCTTCTTTCTGGCCTTCAAAAGAAAGGCTTTGCGATAAGTTCTCCCTTAAAACAGAGAAGACCACGGTGCCGGGGTGGGGGTGGGGTGTGACCGTGTTCCTTGCCTATTTCCCTTACAACAGAGAAGACCACGGTGCCGGGGTGGGGGTGGGGTGTGACCGTGTTCCTTGCCTATTTCCCTTACAACAGAGAAGACCACGGTGCCGGGGTGGGGGTGGGGAGTGACCGTGTTCCTTGTCTATTTCCCTTAAAACAGAGAAGACCACGGTGCCGGGGTGGGGGTGGGGAGTGACCTCGTTCCTTGTCTATTTTAGGCTTTAGCCTAAAAATAGATGGGGATGGAGAGGGCTAGGGAGGGCAGGAGGGTCAGAAAACTCCTGAGGTTTCTGGTGGTAAATTGTGAGTACAACAATGGATCAAGAAGGTGACCCCAGAACCCTTGCTGTGTGCCCACTGGGGTACAGCTGGTGACCAGGAGGATGCTCAGGGCTGCCTGTGGGCTCCTGAGTGGAGAGACTTGAGGTTGACCAGTCCATTTCCACTAACTTTGTAGGATGCCTACCTTAGAGGACAAAGGAGGCTGGTGGCCTTCTCTGAGCAGGGCATTATGGTGGCCCCAAAAGGATCACAGGGCCCTTTCTGCCAGCCCCCAGGCCTGTACTTTGTAAGAACTGCAAATTGTGTCCTCATTGTCTGTGTGTATGTGTTTCAGTGTGTGTGTCTTTCTTCTTATCTCTTCATCATCTGGGTCACCTGCCCACCTCTGGACAAAGCTTGCATTTAAATATGGTGCCAGACAGTGACGTGATACAGTTAGCGGGTGATGCTTGCTGCTCTAATTTTGTCTGCTTTTGGGAACTCTGCAAAAATGCTCTTCCATCCCTCACTGGGAGCACTGCTGGACAAATGGTACTAAAGGGACCTGTACCTTGGGGGGCCCAGGTGACACCTGAGACCCTCTGTAGACAGCATGGCAGCCCTCCACTCTCTCGGCTCTCCTTCCTGAGGCTGGAGAACAGAGATCTCACGTTTGCAGAAGTCCTTTTAAAACAAAGTGCCAGAACAAGGATTTGACATCACCAGTGAGAAAAAATAAATTCATTTTTGCCCACACCTCCACTCCCCCGTCTGTTGGTGTCAGACTCTGATGGGTTGAAAGGCGGCACAAAGAGAAAGAGGGTAGGGAGATGATGGCAACTCGGGGAGATAATTGACTTCAGAAATGCTATGTCTTGGATGTAGGAAGAAAACAAGTGAAAATATGTTATTTTACAACCTTGATACTTCTGACCTCATGGAAAAAACATACACACACAGCGTAGGGTGAGCAGGTAGGCAGGAGGAAGGGTCCTAGCACGGGGTGCGGGCGCCCTCGCGTGGCCATGAGAAGTAGTGCCACACGCACACGTTCTCTTTCCCAGAGAAGCAGACGTGCTGCACAAGTGCTTGGCCACCGCCTACACTGAAACTGGAAAGAGCTCACTGAAAAGGAATGCAGTTCATAAAAAGTCTTCCTTCTCTACCCAAGACATTCTTGTCACTCCTAGGGCTGTCATTCTTGAAAAGGAGAGGCTGGTATAGTAGGAAGAAAGCTCAATCCTAAAGCTCAGTTTGGTGTTTGTGGCTTAGCGGCTGGACGTCCTTAGTGTGTCTTGGCTTGTCGCCTGTAAAGTGATCAGCATGACCTGGATGGTGCTTCTGCTTCCCTGCAGCTGGGATGCTCTGGCCTTGAGGATGCTGAAACACCAGAGAGCTGGCCACTCGCTGGTATCAGTCGGGCAAGCGAACTCTTTGTGTGGGATTGCTTCATTTCATTTGAAGTCATTCATTGCTATGATTGTAGTCTTTTTCTGGTTCCCATGAATCTGGTGTTGGCTCAGTGTAACAGAACCAGCCTTATTGTTCCCATTTGCAGTTACAAGAATATTGCCATTGTTATTTGCAAGCCTGATTTCCCTGTCTGGTTACCTGTAATGCTGCTTCTCTGAAATTCTCTGAAAGACAGAAAAACCTTCCCCGCGGGATATAGGTTATCAGGCACCTAAACTCATTGCAGCTCCAAGACATGCATGGATTAGGGACCAAGATGTGGGGCTCATAGTTTACAGAATTTGGTCTTATATTCTCCCTTTCATCTGGATCTTCATACAGCTACTCACTTGCTGCTAGAAAAGAAAGCTCCCAGTGTGCCAGATGGATTCCAAAGTCCCATTTCCTGCATTCATCCCACCATATTTGAAGACTCTTTTCTTTTCAAATGCTTAGCCCGGGTGAGCAGACCTCAACCTTCGCCTAGCACCCATCTTCCTGATCCTGCCTGAGCTTCCAGATCCCCAGTTCCATCTTTACTTTGGTTCTTGTATAAGACGAAGAGAGCATTTATCTTTTCTGTTTAAACCCTTGGGATATTTCTGTTTAGCAAGACAGCAATTTCGGGCAGCTACACTGTTTTATTAAGTATATTAAACAGCAGAGTAGCTCATCTGTTGTCGACTGGCTTTCTTGGCTCAAACCCAATATATCACGGGTGGTTTTCCCAACACATTTTTAAATTCTTATTACTGGCTAGGATATGATTTCACAAATGTTATTATAATAATTCATTAGTATCTTACATAACCAGTAATACAGACTGAACCTTTGCCAAATGCATTGTTATAACTTTTTGGAATGGTGGCCGCATTAATTAATCATTGCTTGTTGAGTGCCTACTATGAGCAAGAGAATTTGCATTTTTGTTCTTTCATTTCTCATGACAGCCCAATAAGGGAGGTAGGATTA